>NW_009646197.1:0-300000 GCF_000001405.40 Homo sapiens | reverse complement strand
TAAGTCATTCCCAAGGAGAATTATGCTATTGATTCTATCATTTTGCCTGGAAAGTGAGAGGGCAGAGGTAATATGCAGTTTTCCCACATTTCCAGCTGGTTGAGGACTAAGTTAAATTTTGAAATAAGTACTCTTTACTATGCTAAATGGTTATTTTAAAAATATTCCATCCCTAGTCCTTTGGGAGCTCATTGAGAATATTTTTCTCCTTACCTTGGTTGGTTAGACTGACCATTTGTCACGCTGCGTAACTCAGCTAGAAAAAAAAAAAGTTATTAAAGGTCATTTAAATTGTAATATGGAAATCCTATTCTTCTCTAACATGTTCCTGGGTTGCCTGCTACATTCAGCCTCCTCAGATCCCTGACTTTAACAATGCTGTGCTCCACAGCCCAGGCCTTGATCCTATTCTCATTCTATCCCAACCCATTACTGGTTGTAACACCTAGTCTCATGGTGATAGAGACAGGAGACAGTCAAATGCTGCCCAGGTCATTGTGCACAGGGGGCTTGCCTAAACCTGCCCACGGTGAAAAATTCCATCCCTCAACACATGCACAGTAAGGGAAATAAATCAATATGGAGTGGCTCAGACTAAGGGCCCACATGCACACTGGGAGAATGGGGTGGAACCACTAGGAATTTGTGCCTTATGCAGGGAGAGAAGCCTGGCCTCTTCAGCTGGTGTGTTGTGGCCTGGTATTCAATCTGTGAGGTGGGAGCCTGTTCGCAGGACCTCCTTTTTTCATTGAGAGCGTTCTTTTAATAAATTCTGCTCTTCTCACCTTTCAATGTATCCATGTGCCTAATCTTTCCTGGTCATGCGACAAGAACCTGGATTTTAGCTGAGCTAAGGACCAAAAAATCCTGCATCATTTTGGTGGCCCATATAAGAACATGAGTAAAGGTGAGTAAAATGTGAACCAAAAAATATTTTTCCCTCTTGTTTCTGAGGCTTCTTGTCCTCGGACTTCTTCTGAGAATAGAGGAAACTGTGCCCCCTTCTACCCCTCATCGCTCTCAGGGGTAGGGAATGTTGGCCTCATTCCAACCCAGCCTTTCTGTGGCATTTTCCTTCTTTTTTTTGAGACTGTAATGGCACCTATCTTTTCTTCTACAATGTTGGGGGTGTTCTACCCGCAACCCAGTGGCTGCAGGCTCATGCGTAGGATGGACAGGCAAGTGGGGCGAGTGGCAGTTCCTTGCATCCCTCCCCTTCTGGGTGGGGCTGGGGTGCATGGCCCAAGGGCCCCACTTGGCTGGCTGGCCAGGGTTTCCCGCCACATGCCCACAGAGTCCTCCCCTCCCCTAGCCAAGGGGCCCAGCTAGGTTCAAGCCCCAGGGAAGAAACAGCAATTAAAGATTTCTCTCCCTGCTGCAAAAACTCATTTGCATAAGAATAAGAGGTTCTCCTTTCAGGCATCTTTCAAGCCCTGCATTTAAAGTTTTTTTTTCTTTTTTCCACCAGAGATTAACTTTTATGTGAGAGGCTTTGTTGTTGTTTTTTTTTTTTTAAGATGTTTTACTAGGCCAAGACCCCAACTATCACTGTTTATATTCTCTGTAAGGTTTCAATTATGAAAAAGGATTTGTGAGGTTGGTCTTAAGCTGTAACCAAGCTGGTGTGCTTTCCATGTCTTTCTGTATGGCTCTGTCAGAAAGAGGGGTACCTTAGGATGGGATGCTGGCATAGGACTCCATAGGTCCACTGTTCAAACCAGCCCGGCAAACTGGTTAATGGCAAACTTTGCTGCAGGCCTCCATCTTGTTTTATGTCCTTGGAAGCACGGCCTGTAACCACGTGCCCAGTGCTTTGTTTTAGCCTCTGCCATTTTACAATGGTGGCCTGGATTCAATCCTGGCTTAAGGAATGAGTCCTTTCTGGTTTGATATCTGTGTGACCTTAGCTATTTGTTGATTCTCTTTCCCTCCATGAACCACCTTGAATTTTCCTTTCTCTGAGCACCTGGGAAGTTACCTTTGGTAAAGTTTGGAAGTCAGAAATACTGGCCACTTTGCATGGCTAATGTCGGGTAATAAGGGACTCAAAAGGATTTTCTTAAAAAGCGTTCAGCTTAATTGAAAGTGGATATCCAAGTTATAAGTATATTTAAAAGACCTTTATGTTTTTCTCTTCTTAGATCTTATTTTGCTGGGTAAAGGTTTTTTTCTCAGTCAACTGAATTCTTTTTCTCCATTTTGTCTTGCCCCTCTTAATGCATGCATGAGGGGCCCTAAGATAATTTCTGATGGCCTGAGACTCCTTGGGAAAAATAGAAAAGTCTCCATGGATTCCATTTTGGGAGAGACCTTTGTTTTCCTAATGGAGCCCCAGGAATTAGAGGTGGATGGATCCCTCTCAAAATCTGTTTTTGTCTTCTAGCTATACCTGTTTACTAGGCCCTAGAAACTACATGCTTTCCTAGCCCTGCTCTTAAAGGGCCCCACTGAGAGGCTAATTGTCCAGTTACGAAATTGGTGAACAGAAAATCTTACAGCTACTGGATCTTCTTCTGGCTGTGTAGTTATGTATGTGTTGTGTGTGTGATCTCTATAAACAAGAGTTCTAATTAATTGGCCTAAAGGAAAATAAGCACTTAGATCAAATATTTTTTAAAGGAAAGAAGAGCTGTGGTACCTTTTAGTTCACATGACTTTAATCTTTGAGAAATAAAAACAGCCTTAAAAATTATTGGTAAAATGCAGATGTCATCAAAATGTACATTTTTGCCTAGGGTTAAAGGACTGTTTTGAATTAGATAAGATAAAGCTAAATGTGTAAACAAGTAGTGGAAGGATTGTAAAAATTGATCTTGCAAAAAAAAATTCCTTGTGTGAACATACTGATTAAATTCAAAAGGGTATTATATGGCTTTTCCATAAATTGAGCATTGAAATAAAAGCACAACAAGGTTCTCTTAAGGCACCAATCTGCTCTTTAGCTAAATCTGTAAAGGGTTATAAAAGGTTTTTGCTTTTTAAAATTTCTGAGTCATCATTTTGACAAAATAAATAACTTACGGTAATCTGGAATTCTATTTCATAAAATCAAATGTTTTAAACCTCTAACATATTCAACAGGCTTCCCAAAATCAAACTTCAGTTTCAAAATTGTCTTTCCTGACACCTGGCTTTTGGATGCTACAGAGGGCCCCTGACACATCCAGAAGAGAGGTAAACAGGATTACCTGACATGTTTAGGTACATGGGATTGCCAAAATAATGTTTAATCTTCTTCAGGTTATATTTTAGGGAATAATATTAATATATGTTCCAAAATTGTAAAGGATTCCTAAAATTCTAGTGTCTGGCCATAAAAATGGAATCTGTGGTGCCTTTTCTGTTTTTTCCGAGGAGTCCCAGGCCATCAGAAATTATCTTAGGGCCCCATCATGAGTATATGCTATCAATCACAATTAAGGTTGTTATGTTAAGTTATTATAAACCACAGAGATAACCAAATTTATTTGTCAATTCTGTTTCTGACTCTAACTACCCTGGACATTTTGTTATTCACAGACAATTGTTGTCTTGTTTTCATCCTCTTCAAAAGATGGTTTATAATCAGCCATAGAACTTTCATAGGTGCTCTCAAATGCAGGTTTCTGATAACTTTGGAGATTGAGACATTAGAATAAAGAAAAAACAAACAGGACTCATGAAGAGCTGAAATGTTCATGAATATCAAGCAAAACAAGAGTTAACTGGATGGACTTAATGAATACAAAACTGAAGTAATCTTTTTGACTTTCGCTTGGACCATTGCCAATCCTTGCTTTGTTTTTCAGAGTGAAGGAAACTTATTTTGAACTATTTACAGCCTTTAATAATTGAGTAAGGTATACTCCTGTGAACAAAATTTGGAGCATGTTTGTCTCTCTCTCTCTGCCTGGCTTCTCCAGAATTTGGAAACTAGTTGTGAGTATACTTAACTTATGACAATATATTTGTTTGCATCAGTGCAATAAGATTCCATTTTCTTTGCAACAGGACACAACTGAAGACACTAGTTGTTTTACCAAGGCCTTTGACTGGAAGGGTATGCTTCCTTTTAAGGAGTCAAGCTTGACTTGCAGAACTGATAAAAGCTCCTTGGGAAAACTGGCCTCATACCTTGCCTACACAGTCCCTGTACAGGGTTCCTAATCTGCGGTGAGTAAGAAGTGTCACTTTTTAACAGGCCCAGGAACCCTATGCTCTTGGGACCTCAAGAAGAGAGGAGTTTACCCAACTCACAGGTATTTGAGGGTAAAAACCCACAGCTGGGTTCAGCTTTAGAAAGTCCTATCTGAGATTCCTTGTGGAATAGAGTTCCATCAAAGCCAATCTAAAAGCCCTCTGTAAAAATAAGTATTCTTGCTGCACTTCATGCAAAGAATCAAGCCAAGTATAAGACCAAAGTCTATTTTGCAAACAACTCAGTCCTATCATGGTTTGTTTTTAAGAAAACTGAGGACTGGAGAGAGATAAATTATGTTTAAAAACTTATCATCATTAAATTCTAGACCCACTAGTTGTTTTCAAGTTTTTTGCCTAGTTCGTTTAAAAACTAACCCTGCTTATGCCTGTGATCCAACCAGAGATCTCCAACTACAGCCCAGAAGGAACAAAGGGGGATGGGTAATGTAAAAATCTGAATCAATATTCTAGTTCTAAGCAATTATCCTGCAAATCCTGCTAGGTGGTGGGAATAAATACAGTGCCTGTCATCCAGAGGTTTCCTTTTTGGGAAAGTAAGACCAAGGGAGCTAACCAAAGCCAAGCTCCATGCACCCAAATCTTAGCAAACATAACTATAGCCACCAGTTATCTGGGTGTGTCACAGGGCATCCTTTTCTTTCCCTTGGAGGAGGACCCCTTTCACAGCTTCACCTTAGCATTCAGCTTATGATAAGGAGTCCATACAACCCCTGAGACATATTTTTGGTCCCAAACTCAATTCCCAACTTCAGGTCAAAGCCCTAAGAAAAAAAAAACTGGATCTGAGGGATCCAGAAGCAGACGGTAACAGAAGTTAAAAAGCACAGCACAGGTGAGCATGACTAACTCCTGCCGATTAAGCCAAGCCTCCTGTTTCATGGATAAACATCATGCTAGTATCCACGACATAAATGAGGTCTAGAGAACTTGAAGGCTACTGACAGCAGGGGAGATAGGGCGTACGTGGGTAAGCCCTGTTAACATGGGGGAAAGCCGCTTTGACATTCATGGGTGGCACCCTTTGATGATCACCCAGGTCTTGGGGATATAAGGACAGAAGAAATGAAAAGGGGCACGTCACTTTCTCCCTCCCTCACCTACCCTGGGTATTCACTAGGAAGAGAAAGGAACCAGGGACACCTGCTCCCCTCTTTCTTGATGGATTGCCATTCATCTTCAGTCTGTGGCCTTTTTGAATACATCCTGAACCCCTGGGACTCCTTTGAAAAAAACACCTTCTTTTTTCCTTTTCCCCTTGTGTCCTCTCTTCACAGATAGGTAATTGTGTCTCCTTACTACAGCACACTCCCCTTGGATCCATCCTCTAAACTGCGAAAAGTTAATTTCCCAAACCTTAAACTTGAGAATAGCTTAGGACTGGGCTTGGGGGAAGGGAACCTCGAAGACTGACAAGCCAGCAAAAGGGTAAAAATTTTTTTTAACTTTTAACAATCAGGCTTTTGGCCTCCCTCTCCCTGTGCAAACCAGTAAAAGGCCTCGGGATTTTCGAGCATGACTTCTGGCATGACTTCTGTCCTTACCCCATCCTTGTTTTGTTTTGATACATGTTTTCTAATAACTCAGTTTGTCTCTTCTCGCCTTCAGGTCATCAAACTCCAGTCGTGCAACTGGAGCCTCAGATAATGGTCCCTTTTGCCAGGAACCTTTAGATTGGCCTCTTAGGGAAATCTGACTGCCATTTTCCCAACACAGCACCCCCTGTCAGCAGGAAGCAGTTAAGATTGGTCTTTGTCCTTATCTTTATTCTAAGGGCAGTTAGATGTACTTCTTTAGAGTGGGGAATGATAGAGACAGGAGACAGCCAAACGCCTGCCGGGTCACTGAAAAATTCTGTCCCTTAACACATGCGCAGTAAGGAAAATAAATCAATGTGGAGTGGCTCAGACTAAAGGCCCACATGCGCCCTGGGAGAATGGAGTGGAGCCACTGGGAATTTGCACCTTATGCAGGGGGAGAAGCCTGGCCTCTTCAGCTGGTGTATCACACTTTTTTTCACTGAGAGCTTCCTTTTAATAAATTCCACTCTCCTCATCTTTCGATGTGTCCGCGTGCCTGATTTTTCCTGGTCATGCAACACGAACTTGGATTTTAGCTGAGCTAAGGAGCAAAAAATCTTGCATCAGTGGTTTTTTTTTTCTTTTCTTTTCTTTTTTTTTTGAGACGGAGTCTTGCTCTGTCACCAGGCTGGAGTGCAGTGCCACGATCTTGGCTCACTGCAACCTCCACCTCCCAGATTCAAGCAATTCCCCTGCCCTCAGCCTCCCAAGTAGCTGGGACTACAGGGTGCACCACCACGCCTGGCTAATTTTTTGTATTTTAGTAGAGACGGTGTTTCACCATGTTGGCCAGGATGGTCTTGATCTCCTGACTTTGTGATCTGCCCGCGTTGGCCTCCCAAAGTGCTGGGATTACAGTAGTGAGCCACCATGCCTGGCCTGTTTTTAAATACTAGGTACAAATTGATGATTCACAAATTTAAACCTTCCTGGACTGCTGTCCTGAGCTCCACACTCCTTTTTTTTTTTTTTTTTTTTTGAGATGGAGTCTCGCTCTGTTGCCCAGGCTGGAGTGCAGTGGCGCAATCTCCGCTCACTGCAAGCTCCACCTCCCGGGCTCATGCCATTCTCCTGCCTCAGCCTCCGGAGTAGCTGGGACTACAGGGGCCTGCCACCACGCCCTGAGAATTTTTTGTATTTTTAGTGGAGACGGGGTTTCACTTTGTTAGCCAGGATGGTCTCCATCTCCTGACCTCATGATCCACCCGCCTCGGCCTCCCAAAGTGCTGGGATTACAGGCGTGAGCCACCACGCCCAGCCGAGCTCCACACTCTTACAACTTATTACCTATTTGATATCTCTAACTGGATATGCAGTGGGCAATGAATCAAATTTAATGTGTCCAAAATTGAGCTCCTGATCACCCCACCTCTAGCCCAAATGTGTTTCTACATCTCCGTTAACTCCATCTTTCCAGTTGCTTAGGCCAAAAACCATATAGTCATCCCTGACCCTGTTCTTTCTCACTCTTCGTATCCAATCTCAGCAAAGCTTTGGCTCTAATTTCAAAATATACCCACAATCCAACAACTTCTTGCCAAATCCACTGCCACAGTGTAGAACCAAGCCAGCAATATCTCTTTATTGTGTTATTACAATAGTCTTTCTGCTTCTCTTTCTCCCCCACTCTCATCTTTTCTCAACCTAGCGGGCAGAATAATTCTGTTAAAAAAGAGTTCAGAGATTGACTTCTGACATGACATTATGAGGAATTCCACTGACCCACTCCCCAGTGAAACTGGTGAAATTTAAAAAAAGAAAGTTGGCCGGGCACGGTGGCTCACACCTGTAATCCCAGTACTTTGGGAGGCCGAAGCGGGCGGATCACGAGGTCAGGAGATCGAGACCACCCTGGCTAACACGGTGAAACCCCGTCTCTACTAAAGATACAAAAAATTAGCCAGGCATGGTGGCAGGCGCCTGTAGTCCCAGCTACCCAGGAGGCTGAGGCAGGAGAATGGCGTGAACCCAGGAGGCGGAGCTTGCAGTGAGCCGAGATCACGCCACTGCACTCCAGCCTGGGAGACAGAGTGAGACTCCATCTCAAAAAAAAAAAAAAAAAAAAAGAAAGAAAGAAAAGAAAAGAAAATTAAAGCCTCTGGAAATGTTCCCAAAGACAAACAGCAAACCAAGAAACATCTGTTCAAGAACATTCATGAAAATTCATCAAGAAAGTTGATCCTGTGTTATTTGAAACAAGATTGCTGTCTCCCTCCCATCTCAGCAAGGCAAACACTCCACTGTAGATTGCAGCAGCCAAGAACACAGGGATCCCTCCAGCTCCTAATTGCAAGGGGTTCCTCCACAGAGTAGCAGGATGTCAGTGTATCATTGTGTCTCCAGCTAGCTACCTGATGCTCAGATAAAGTCCCAGACAAGTGTGGTTGAGAGGTGAGGGCTCTCCCTTCTCCCACACAGCCCTCATCTTGCAACTGCATGCTAAGAACACTGGGGCCCTGATCACCCTTGCCCCAACTCATTAGGCAGTGGTTCTGCACAAGGAAAGGAAAGTCTAGAAGGTGGGCTGCTACACTCCCCACCTTCCCCACAAAATGCTCAGCAACTACAAAGGGTATCACTCAGAGACAAGACTGCCATTATCCCCATCCCCAACTCAAGTCCCCAGGCTCTGAGATTTTGCCTAAAGGAAGAATCAGCCCATAAACAGATAACTCCTAATCTCTTCCCAAAGGAGCTGAATTCATTTGCAACAAAGCATAGAGAAGTTCAAACCTGTCTAGGTGTGGTGGCTCATGATGTAATCCCAGCACTTTGGGAGGCCGAGGCAGGTAGATCATTTGAGGTCAGGAGTTTGAGACCGGCCTGACCAACATGGTGAAACCCCGTCTCTCTACTAAAAATACAAAACAAAAATTAGCTGGGCATGGTGGCACATGCCTGTAATCTCAGCTACTTGGGAGGCTGAGGCAGGAGAATCGCTTGAACTCAGGAGGTGGAGGTTGCAGTGAGCTGAGTCCACGCCACTGTGGTACAGCCTAGGTGACAGAGCGAGACTCCGTCTGGGGGAGAGGGGGTGGAGAGAAGTTCAAACCTAAGGGCACTCTCAGGAACAGTGTAGGTTTTAGTGAAAGTAATTAGGAAGACATTCAAGATACAAGCTAAATTGCAGGCCTGTTCACTTGCAGAAGACAATGGGGATATAAGACAATTAGGAGTAGCTACACTGGAGTCACAAGAAATATGAAAGAAAACCTCAAAAACTACTCCTTCAATGGAGCAAGAATTGAAGTAGTTTGTAAGACAATTTATGCCCAGGGCATTGTTAAAAAACAATAGAGCAATCAGCTAACAATTACTGGAGTTTAACAGCTGTGTGCAGTCATAGAAAGAAAGAGATCCCTACCAAAACCACTGTCATCCCAGGATAAAGGTGGGCATATCCAAAGCTGGAGCTTTGGATTCCTGAGGAGCAATATCAAAGGCTTAACAGTATAGGAGGGAAATAGACTTCACTAAATTGATCCAGCCAGTTGCTAAGCAAATACACAAGCAAACAACAATAAGAAGCCCCAGAAGGTAGGCTGCCAGCTCTTCATTTCTGCAGAGATCTCTGTAACTGATCAGATGGAAAATGATTAGATGGATACTGATCTGCACTTATGTGCAACTTTCTGGTAAATCTAAAAGGAACCCAAAGTAAAATGTTTACTTGATAAAAAAAGAAGAAAAGTTAATAAGCAAATAGCGAGAGAAAGTGAAATTTAAAACTACACAAATGTAGATAGTTCTGGCATTATTTCTAATTGAGATCTAAGGAAACATCATTGAGAAGTGCTAGGATTTGAACGAAGGCATGCTAAATCCAGATCTCCTACTCTTAACCACCTCAATATGCTACCTCTTGATCAAAGGTTAAAGAGAGTATAAAAGTTTATCATGTGGCTGTCATAAAATTTTGACATTTAAAGGAAGTCTAGGCTGGGTGCAGTGGCTCACACCTGTGATCCCAACACTTTGGGAGACCAAGGTGGGTGGATCATTTGAGGTCAGGAGTTTGAGACCAGCCTTGCCAATATGGTGAAACCCTGCCTCTACTAAAAATATAAAAAATAGCCAGGCTTGGTGGTGGTTGCCTGTAGTCCCAGCTACTCAGGAGGCTGAGGCAGGAGTAATCACTTGAACAGAGATGGAGGTTGCAGTGAGCCAAGATCGCACCCCTGCACTTCAGCCTGGGTGACAGAGCAAGACTCTGTCTCAAAAAAGAAAAGAAAAAAATGAAGTCTATAGGCATTCACTGTAAAATTCTTTCAACTTTGAGGTCCTCTATGTGTCCATCTAAAAATATGCTTAAGTCTATTCTCAGTAGCTTTATTCATAACAGCCCTAACTATAATAAAAACCCAAATGTCAATCAACAGGAGAATAAACAAATCATGGTATACTCACATAATGGAACACTACACAGCAATGAAAAAGAACTGCTGCTACATACAATGATGGACAATGATCACAGACATAATGTTCAGTTGAAGAAACCAGAATAAAAAAAGAATACATACTGTACCATTTATATTAAGTTCAAGAATAGAAGCAAAACTAATCAGTGATAATAATAATCAGAGTAATGGTTGGGGATCAGGTAGTTATTGACTAGGAAGGGTCACAGGGAACTTTCTGGAGTACAGGAACAGTTCTATTTCTTGATCTGGATGGTGGTTACATTAGTGTATTTATATGTAAAAATTTGTTGAATAATATTAAGATTTGTGCCCTTAACTGCATGAAGCTATACCTCAACAAAACAGTAAGTCTTTTAAAGAGTCTTCCTGCTTTAAAACAGACCATTGGATGCTTTACTCTGCAGTCTAGATAAATACTCATCAGTCATTTGCCCAAACATGATTGGGTTCAGAAAGGGAATCTTAGGCCAGGTGCAGTGGCTCACGCCTGTAATCCTAGCACTTTGGGAGGCCAAGGCAGGTGGATTGCTTGAGTTCAGGAGTTCAAGACCAGCCTGGGCAACATGGTGAAACCCTGTCTCTACTAAAATACAAAAAATTAGCAGGGCATGGTGGTGCACGCCTGTAGTCCCAGCTACTTGGGAGGCTGAGGCACGAGTACTGCTTGAACCCAGGAGGTGGAGATTGCAGTGAGCCAAGATTGCGTCACTGCACTCCAGCCAGCCTGGGTGACAGAGCAACACTGTCTTTAAAAAAAAAAAGGGGGGAATCGTATATTTCACTTTTTCATTTCTCTGATTTCACAGTCAGCAACTCATGGTGTCAATGATGTCACTAGAGATAGCCTTCATGGGGCCGGGTGTGGTGGCTCATGCCTGTAATCCCAGCACTTTGGGAGGCCAAGGTGGGCAAATCACGAGGTCAGGAGATCGAGACCATCCTGGCCAACACAGTGAAACCCCGGCTTTACTAAAAATAAAAAAATTAGCTGGGCATGGTGGCGCGTGCCTGTAATCCCAGCTACTTGGGAGACTCAGGCAGGAGAATCTCTTGAACCCGGGAGGCGGAGGTTGCAGTGAGCCAATATCGCACCACTGCACTCCAGCCCGGCAATAGAGCAAGACTCTGTCTCAAAAATAAAAAAGAGAGAGAGAGATAGCCTTCGGGGCACAAAGTAAAAGTTGCAAAGACCACTGCACGGGCTCTCTTCTCCCATGTGTTCCCACTTCATGCTCCAGGCCTCTGGGCTGCTGGGAATGCAAGAAGCACTTTAACTGGGAAGTCATCAACCTCAATTTTGCCAACAAACTTAAAGGAGTGGAAAAGTTCCCCATGGCATCACCACCATCATAAAGGAGAGTGCTCCCACCACTTTAGAAAGGTTCTCAAATTTGGTTTTCAGACAAGAGCCCTCAGTCACATACATATATCTCATTAAATAAGCAGATGTTTTACTTATTTAACAGGCATCAAATTTTTTGCTTGAGTCCAGATTTAGTGACTGATCCATAAAGTGGAAACAAAGAACAAACAGTATGATTGTTCAGAAAGCAGGATGAACATTTCTCTCCAATAAGGTACCATTTTGTGAGCTCATAGTCCTTGAATACTGAAAATGATGAAAGGAAAAGGAATATTTTATATGCAAAAAGGTAGCATAAGGAGGTGTTCCGATTAGGTGTGATCGACCTAAAAGATTAATGAAACAACAAACCCATCAAAAACGACTACAATTGACAGAAAGCTAGAAACATTAACGGCGTTGGAAAGCTCAAATGACAGAAGTTCACAAATTCTTAATCATCTAATCCAGGCCTCTCCTCATTACCATTCAGACCACTCACAAAGATCCCATTAAATCAGCTCATAATCAGGTTTACAAAAATAAGACTCCTTAAGAGATGTGGCAATGTGAGAAGTGGAGCACGTACACAGGCACAGCAAATGACTACGTTAGTGAAAACTGTAGGGTTTATCATAAGCAAAATGACAGTGCTCTCCTCCGTGAAAAAGAGAAAGAAATCGGACGGGTCTCCTTTAAGTGAAAATAGAGACTGTGAGAACATAAAGACATTGCTGACATCTGTGTTTTAACATTCCATTTATTTAAGGAAAGAGGAGAAAGAAATGTTTGGAATATAAATAAACCCTTCCCTATAGGAAGGTCAGAAATGTAGAAATACGCAGAAGCTGGTGGGAGCAAAAGCCGATCCTGAGACAAGGATATCTAGAGAGGTAGCCCTGGTCGGGATGTGGGAAGAGGCCTGCGAAGAAACAGCAGAACCAAGGGAAAGAAAGGGAAGAACGTCAGGTCCACTGCTCATCCCGAGCGCCTAGAACTGCGCCAGACTCCTGGCATGCGCACAGGACACTGAAGGAAGGGATGAGCTTTTCGGCTAGCGTATTGTCTTTGAGCGACAGAGCGGGATTCCCAAACGTCCCCGCCGGTCACTCAGCTCCTGCAGTTCATGCCTAGCAAGAACCTTGCGGGCGGTCCGAGGCTGCCATCCTTTCACAGCTGTATTTGGGGGCAAAAATAGGGTAACGAAGCCGGGGGCCCAGACTTACTTTTGCAGCCGGGTGCCATAGCGCCCTCACCCCTCGATCCCGAAAACAATGCAGCCGGTGCCTCCACCTCCCGACTGCACCGCGCGCGACTGAATTCCGCCCGCTCAAGATGGCCGCAAATTTGAATTTGGCGCTTGGATCGGACGTTGACGCCCGCATGGAGGCCGCCATGTTGCCCGGCCTACGCATCGGGGGCGTGGCCCAGTGACGTCACAGCTAAGCGCCTCTGTATCGTCGCGAATCCGTCGCGGAACCTGTCTTCTGTCTTTACCCAGAGCTACCATGAGCAAGCGGAACCAGGTATCGTACGTGCGGCCAGCCGAGCCGGCGTTTCTGGCCCGCTTCAAGGAACGGGTCGGCTACAGGGAGGGACCCACCGTAGAGACTAAGGTGAGCCTTCGCCAGTCGTGTTTCTTCGGAAGCGCAGCCAGCCCGCCACTTTCAACTTTTGCCTCTACTTGGAGGGTGGGTGCTGTCGGGTCCCTCTTTTCACCCGCGCTCGAACCCAATTCCGGTGGAACTCGGACCCCCAGGCTGGTTCTTTTCAAGCGACCACAGCCCCCTACGCCCAGGAAGCTCTGTAGTTTTCAGAGCGCTGCTGTGTTCCTGAAAATGAACTGACGTGTAAACCACCTGGTCCTTGGTAGATGGTAAAGAAAGATCACTTTATTGTCTCTTCTTTCTCACTTGTTTACCTCAAAAGCTGTGAGTTCGCAGGGTGAGTTAGAGTTACAGCGTCGTCCCGTATTCCAGATAAGGACACAGGCCACTCGATCAAATGACCCCCGCCCCAACCATGTCCTAGGACTCGAGTCTGGAACGTCTTCGGAGGAATGTCCTGAATCTGTTTCTATGCTTTGTTAATTAAAAATAAATAAAAATAATATAGAGAAGGTCGGGCACAGTGGCTCACGCCTGTAATCCCAGTACTTTGGGAGGCCTAGGTGGGCGGATCACCTGAGGTCAGGAGTTCGAGACCAGCAGAGCCAATAGCCAATATGGTGAAACCCCCCGTCTCTGCTAAAAATACAAAAATTAGCCGGGCATGGTGGCACATGCCTGTAGTCCCAGCTACTCCGGAGGCTGAGACAGAATCGCTCGAACCCGGGAGGTGGACGTTGCAGTGAGTTGAGATGGCGCAGCTGCACTCCAGCCTGGACAACAGAGCGAGACTCCGTCTCAAAAAAAAAAAAAAAAAGCCGGGCCTGGTGGCTCACGCCTGTAATCCCAGCGCTCTGGGAGGCTGAGGCGGCAGATCACGAGGTCAGGAGATCGAGACCATCCTGGCTAAAACAGTGAAACCGCGTCTCTACTAAAAATACAAAAAATTAGCCAGGCATGGTGGCGGGCGCCTGTAGTCCCAGCTACTCGGGAGGCTGAGGCAGGAGAATGGCGTGAACCCAGGAGGAGGAGCTTGCAGTGAGCCGAGATCGCGCCACTGCACTCCAGACTGGGCGACAGAGCGAGACTCCGTCTCAAAAAAAAGAAAAAAAAGAAGAGTAAGCAGAAGCCGTAAATATCCTGGGTCTAAATAGAAGAAGAGGAGCTTCAGGAAAGAGCCACACCTGACTATTGTTGTCTAGGGCCGGAGGGATCAGTATTGAACACATGAATGACAAGAAAGCAAAACAGCTACATTGCTGATACAGAGAAAGTTTTAGTGGTCTGGATAGAAGAGCAAACCAGCCACAACATTCCCTTTAACCAAAGCCTAATCTAGAGCAAGGCCCTAACTCTTAAATCCTGTGAAGTCTGAGACATGTGAGAAAGCTGCAGAAGAAAAGTGTGAAGCTAACAGAGGTTGGTTCATGAGGTTTAAGGAAAGAAGCCATCTCCATAACATAAAAGTATGAGATGAAGAAGCAAATTATTCAGATCTAGCTAAGATAGTTGATGAAGGTGGCTACACTAAACAGGTTTTCAATGTAGATGAAACAGCCTTCTATTGGAAGAAGATGCCATCTAGGACTTTTTTTTTTTTTTTTTTTTTGAGATAGGGTCTCACTCTGTCGCCCAGGCTAGAGTGCAGTGGTGCAATCACAGCTCACTGCAGCCTTGACCTCCTGGGCTCAAGTGATCCTCCTGCCTCAGCCTCTCAAGCAGCTGGGACTACAGGCATGAACTAACGCATCTGGCTAATTTTTGTATTTTTTTGTAGAGACAGGATTCCACTGTGTTGCCAAGGCTGGTCTCAAACTCCTGGACTCAAGCAATCCTCCCACTTTAGCCTCTCAAAGCCTCTCAAAAACCACTATGCCTGGGCCATTTAGGACTTTCATAGCTAGAGAGAAGTCAGTGCCTGGCTTCATATTTTCAAAGGACAGGCTAACTCTCTCATTAGGAGCTAATGCAGCTGGTGACTTTTAAGTTGAAGCTAATACTTACCATTCCAAAAATCCTAGGGTCCGTAAGAATTATGCTAAATCTACTCTGCCTGTGCTCTAGAAATGGAAAAACAAAACCTTGATGACAGCACATCTCTTTATAATATGGTTTACTGAATTATTTTTAGCCCACTGTTGAGACCTACTGCTCAGAAAAAAAAAGATTCTTTCAATATATTATTGCTCATGGACAATACACTTGGTCACCCAAGAACTCTGATGGAGATCTACAAGGAGATTAACGTGGGGTTTTCATGCCTGCTAACACAACATCCATTCTGCAGCCCATGGATCAAGGAGTAATTTCTATTTTCAGTCTTATTATTTAAGAAATAACAGCCAGGCGCAATGGCTCACACTTGTAATCCCAGCACTTTGGGAAGTCAAGGCAGGTGGATTGCTTGAGCCCAGGAGTTCAAGACCAGCCTGGCCAACATGGTGAGACCCCATCTCTACAAAAAATACAAAATTTAGCCCAGTGTGGTGGCATGCACCTGTGGTCCCAGCTACTTGGGAGGCTGAGGTGGGAGGATTCCCTGACCCCAGGTAGGTTGAGGCTGCAGTCAGCCATGATTGCACCACTGCACTCGAGCCTGGGTAACAGAGCCAGACCCTGTCTCAAAAAAAAAAAAAAAAGTCAAAACCATTTGTAAGGCTACAGCTGCCATGGATAGTGATTCCTCTGATGCATCTGGATATTGTAAATTGAAAACTTTATGGAAAGGCTTCACCATTCTAAACACGTTAAGAACATCCATGATTCATGGGAAGAGGGCAAAATATCAACATTAACAGGAATTTGGAAGAGGTTGATTCCAACCTTCATGGATGACTTCGAGAGATTCAGGCCTTCAGTGGAGGAAGTAATTGCAGGTGTGGTAGAACAAGCAAAAGAACTAGAATTAGAAGTAGAGCCTGAAAATGTGACTAAGTTGTTGCAGTCTCATAAAAATTGAACAGATGAGTTGCTTCTTATTGATGAGCAAAAAAAGTGGTTTATTGAGATGGAATCTACTTCTGGTGAAGATGCTGTGAACATTGTTGAAATGTCAATAAAGGATTTAGAATAAACTTACTTGGTAAAGCAGCAGCAGGTTTAAGAGGACTGATTCCAATTTTGAAAGGAGTTCAGCTGTGGGTAAAATGCTATGAAACAGCATTGCAGCATCACAAAAGAGAAATCTTTTGTGAAAGGAAGACTCAATGCAGCAAACTTCATCGTCTTATTTTTAAAAATTGCCACAGCCACCCCGCCTTTCAGCAACCACCACCCTCATCAGTCAACATCCATCAGCATCAAGGGCAGACCCTTCACTGGCAAAAAGATTAGGACTCACTGAAGGCTCAGATGATTTTTAATGTTTTTAGCAATAAAGTATTTTTAAATTAAGGTAGGTACATCTTCCAGACTCCTGTTAATGTTGATATTTTGCCTCCTCCCATGAATCGTGTACTTAATGGGATCTAGATTTTTTTAGACATAATGATATTGCATACTTAATACTAACTGTAGTTAGTGTATAGTGTGAACATAACTTTTATGTGAACTGGGAAACCAGAAAATTTGTGTGACAATTTATTTTGATACTTGCTTTGTTGTGGTGGTCTGGAACCAAATCTGCGGTATCTTCAAGGTATGCCAGTAGAATGAGTATGTGCTAACCCCATGCACTGTCGCAGGCTCTGAAAGGACGAAGAGATGGATCTCCAAAATGCCATGTTCTTTAACACTTCCTGCCCTATTTTCACAAGTTACCATCTCTCCGAAACCCTTCAAAGCTCTCCAAACAGTTACTCTTTCTGTTTTTCTCTTTACCTTATCCATATCTTATCTATAACATTCATTTTATATTGCAACTACTTGCTTTCCTGTTTATCTTCACCACTAGATTGAACTCTTTAAGTTAGTATCTTAATCCTTCCGTATTTTCCCAGCACCTAGCACAGTGCCTGGCACGAAGTAGTGGGTAACAGTTGTATTTGTTGGTGACTGTGCTGTTATCAGGTTAGACTTCGTGGAGGAGGGATATTTAGATAGACTCTCGAGCATGGTTAGGTCAGCAGGTAGAGATGAAGAGAATGGCATGGGTAAAGGTGTAGAGATTTGAGAGTCATGGACTGTATGTAGAAGTGTTAGAGGGGCTAGTGGAGGTGAGGCCATGTGGACTATTTAGTAAGCAACAGGGAGCCATTTTTTTCTTAGAGGTAACACAGGGAATGACTGATCCCCATGACTAAAAATAGGGATGATGACAAAGAGGGTAAGGTTTGAGAAAAGGGACATAGATTGAGCGATGAGGAGAAGATGAGACCCAGCTTTACCTTGCTTGAGGTCCTGGTGATGACCCTGTATGCACAGTTGACAGCTTGAAGGTTACAGCTTGGAATGCTATCTTAAGAGAACTTCGGGAATCCTTTCCAAGTAATATCAGTGATTTTCGCTTATTTATGTACTCAAGGGAATTTCCCTTAGAGAAGTACGCCATGTTTCAGTGTGAGAACCACTTCATTTTTAATCAGTTTGGCAATATACAGTATTCCCCCATTATGTTCCAAGACCCCCAGTGGATAATACTGAATTCTATATATACTATGTTTTTTCCCATACATATATACCTATGATGAAGTTTACTATATAAATTAGGAATATCAGCAGATTAGTAACTAATAATAGAACAATCATAACAATATACTCTAGTAAAAGTTGTGTGAATTTGCTTGTTTGCTTGCTGTCTCTAAATATTTTATTGTACTGTACTCACCCTTCTTTCATACTACAGTTGACCACAGGTAACTGAAATTGTGGAACATGAAATTGAGGATAAGGAGGGGACTACTGCAGTCAGGATTTTAGTCATCTATTAACAAAAAGAAATGAGTTTCATGGGAAATCATTCCATAATTAAGCTAAATCATCCTATTCACTTTTATTTTTTTTGAGGCGGAGTCTTTCTCTGTTGCTTAGGCTGAAATGCAGTGACTCGATCTCAGCTCACTGCAACCTCCACCTTTTGGGTTCAAGCAATTCTCCTGCCTCAGCCACCCAAGTAGGTGGGATTACAGGTGCCCACCACCACACCGAGGTAATTTCTGTATTTTTAGTAGAGACGGGGGGTTTCACCATGTTTGCCAGGCTAGTCTTGAACTGCTGACCTCAAGTGATCTGCCTGCCTAGGCCTCCCAGAGTGCTGGGATTACAGGCATGAGCCACTGCGCCTGGCCCTATTCACTTTCTTGAGAGTTAATTCAGAAATGTCTCTGAACAGTCATCAGTGGCTACTGCCACTGTCCTTAGACTATTTCTCTTGTTTTCCAGGCAGTCACATTTAAAAAGAAAAAAAGAGAAGAGAGTCAGAATTAATTATTCTCAATTTAACAAACAAAAGGAATGATTTTATTTCACTTTCCCATATTTTTGGCTAAAAATACTTACTACCTATTTGTGGTCATTTATTGGAGACTTTCAGAGAAAAATTGGCAGAAACTGATGAATAATCAGTGAACTAACATAGATACCATTAAAGAGAATGTACTTGTGCAGTGATAGAGCAGACTTGAGAACTTGAGTTATAGTTAAAATGGCACAAGCAACTTGCCAGGGCTTCATGTAGTTCATCATTTTCCATTCTGTTGGTCATTCATGAGTAGATCAACAAATATTTCTGGAAGTCCCTGCTGTTTTCCAGGCTTTGTGCCTCTCCAGAAGGCACTTGCCCAGTGGAAACCAGCAGAAAAACATTGGTACCACAGTGCAATACATGCTACCTATGAGCTATGCACAGTGTAAGAAACAAGAGAAGGTGAGATTTAGGTAAGCACTTCTAGAGGCTCTAAATCTGGAAGGCAGCTTGAGTAGGAGTTGCTCAGGGGCTGTGGGGCTTAATAAGCCGTAGGAATTTGTTCAGAGACAGGGGAAGCAAAGGAGCTAATATATTTATAAATCTCCAAGTACTCAAACCTTGCCATGCCAGAGTCTAGATGCCATGAGAGAGTGGTACAGGATAAAGCTGTGGTTATGGGCTGAGGCTAATTCTTGCAGGGCTTTGTCGCCTTGTTTGGGAGACCAGGAAGTCTCTATGAGAAGTGGAGTAATGAGTGATTGTGTTTGAATAACATATGAAAACATATTTTGGTATGCATACCTTTCAACCCAACAGTTCCACCTCTAGTGAACTGTTAACATTAAAAGTTCTTGCATACAAGTTCCCAAAAGTGAGCAAAAATGGGTGCATGAGGTTTTTTCATAGTAGAAAAAAATCTGGAAACGAGCAAAATTTGTATTTACAAGATGCTGGTCAAATAAATCTTGAGGTGACCATATATGTAATTAAATGCAAGGCAGTGATTTTTTAAAAATCAGATAATTCTATATCTTAAAGTACTGTACAAAGATATTTTTTGAGTTAAGTTGTGGGAGTGGGGCTCTTACGGTGTCTCACATTTCAAAAATCTGAATCAACTGGCAAAATATTACCATCTGTTACACATATACAGGGAGTACATGGTTTCTGTTATGTTATTCTCTGTACTTTATGTTTGAGAAATTTCATAAATAGGGAAAAAGCAAGTCACAGGAATAAGTACAGTGTTGTTGGTATACAAAAAGTTTTATGTACCTACATAGTTGTATAGACGTGGAAAATAGCTGATAGAATATCCACCAAACTGAAGCTATTAGGAGGGGGAAAAGATGAGCAGAGGTGAGAGAGAGAGTACGTTTTACTTGCTGCTTTCTGTACTTTGATGGTGTTTATTTCTTGTCTAACTCAGAGAAGAGACAGGCAAAAAGTGCTGATGAGGAGCAAACAACTGACATGGCACAGTGCTGCCCTGAGTAGGCTAGGAGTGACAGCAGTACCCAAAGCAGAGGGTCCCTCACACTAGTAACTACAAGCTGGGTCCTGCTGAGATGGAAATGAATCCCACCGGACAGGCACTCCAGGCTGAATGGCAGTTAAACCTGTTCCCTTGTGTGGCAAGCTAAGTCTCTTTGGAGTTACCTTAAAATTCATTGCCCTTATTTACTCAATAAAGATACCCTTCTCATAAATAATTACAGTTTCTCTTAGAGGCAGTGGTTCTGTTTGTCTCAAGATCAGTGATCTACACATTGTATTTGTGTTTTTCCCTAGAGAATTCAGCCTCAGCCCCCAGATGAAGATGGGGATCACAGTGACAAAGAAGATGAACAGCCTCAAGTGGTGGTTTTAAAAAAGGGAGACCTGTCAGTTGAAGAAGTCATGAAAATTAAAGCAGAAATAAAGGCTGCCAAAGCAGGTAGGTCTAAAAGTAATCTGGTTTTTCTAACAATTTAAGGAGCCCAGGGTATGAAATTGTTTATTTTATTTAGTAGTGTGGTGTGTTTCAAGGTGGCAGTTCCGGGTTCAAGCCTTAGCTTTGACACTTACCAGATGTGTAACCTTGAGCAAGTTATTACACCTCTCAGCCTCGATTTCCTCATCAGTAAAATGGAAATAATTGTACCTATTGGGTTGTTACCAGGATTAAGTGTGAATTTAAGTAAAAGCATCCTATTTTTTTTTTTTAAATAGATGGTTAGACTTATAAACCAGTCAAAAAAGGTGTATTTCATTACTGCCTGAAGTTTGGTATGATATGTAGTATATTTTTCATTATTTCTGAACATTTACTACATTGCTTTAGGGGAAAATGCTGTAGTTCCAAACAGTCACTTTTCAAACTACTTAAAAATACAACCTGATTGTAATTGGGAACTGACAATATTATAGAATACTTTAGCATGTGAGTTTTTATTAAGTAACTGCATGCCTTGAGGGCAATATAGCTAGAAACAATGGAGAAGACCAGACTGAATCAGATTCAGGGATATCCTTAAATACAATATGAGATTTTCTTATTATTTGCTTCTAAGGTAAAGGCAAAATAATGAGGAGAAGAAAGTTCTTAAAAATTCTGTTTTTGCTCAGATGAAGAACCAACTCCAGCCGATGGAAGAATCATATATCGAAAACCAGTCAAGCATCCCTCAGATGAAAAATATTCAGGTTTAACAGCAAGCTCAAAAAAGAAGAAGCCAAATGAAGATGAAGTAAATCAGGACTCGGTCAAAAAGAACTCACAAAAACAAATTAAAAATAGTAGCCTCCTTTCTTTTGACAACGAAGATGAAAATGAGTAAGTGTAAATATTTTGAATTTAGTCTACTTTGAAAGTATATGGAGTGTTCATTAAAATCACATTTTTTCCTATTATAAAGATACTACAAGTTCTTTATAGAAAGTTTAGGAAATAGAGAAAAAAATTTAATAAACTACATCTATTCATCAATACCCCTCTGACTTAAAATGCCAACTCTATAGAAATTAGCTAGTATTAACATTTTGTTATTTCCCTTGTGTGGTTGTATATATATGTAAATTATATTTTTAAGCAAAATACATTTTTTGTGTGTAAACAAAATTTTATAAATACAACTGTATTGCAAATGTTCTTTGTCCTGCTTCTCACTTGACATTGCATTACGAGTATTCTTCCAGGTCAGTAAATTTCAAAAACCTGACATTAATAGCTACAGATAATTTCATAAACATCTCATTGTATCTTTTTCATTAGCAATAGCTCCACTTTGGGTGGGGGAGATGATAATGTGCCTTGTTAAAAATACCTCCCCAACTCCTGCTAAGGGTGGCCATGAGACTCAGCTCTGGCAAGTTAAGAAATACAGGTGGAATTCTGCTTGATAAAGCTGCTGGGTTTTTTGTTACAAAAGGACAGACTTGGCAAACATGAGCCTTTGCTCTTATCTTTTCATCCTACTTGGAGTGCAGAGATAAAACCTGAGTACCAGAGCCACTTTTAGGCATAAGGAAGGCAGCCATGTGCTTTGGGTCATGTTAGTAAAAAGACTCAGAGCTTGGCTCCTTGCTGACATGCCTGGAGGAGCTGCTACACCAGCTTGGATTGCTGACCTCTGACTTCTTGGTAGTGAGAAGAATAAACACTGTGCTTAATTAGGCCTTGGTCAGGTTTCTTTTATATGCAGCCAAATGCAGTCCTAAGTAATACAATAAATAACTGGTCAAACTGTTACTGGTGGAGGGTGTCCAGGTTCTTGGCATTTTGGACAAATAATTGAACAAAACGCACAAAGCAATGAATATCCTCTAGAGGTTTGCCATTGGTTACTTGGCGTACACCCTGTGTAAATGAAGTAGTGGCCCGTGACCTGTCTGATTGGTGCAGAAAGTGACCAATCAGAGGCTGAAGTGAAGTTACAAAGTTATACTCCTGTGTAAATGAGGACTTGGCCTATGACCAGTCTGATTGGTTGCAGGAGGGGACCAATCAGAGGCACTTTCATTTTTCATCTGCAATGCAGAAAAGGCAAGGGGATTGCAAAGGGAGTAGCCTCTGATCCTTTTGTTACTTAGGTATGGAGAGGTGGGGTTTTCCTTTTGATTCAGTTCTAGGAAGTCAATGTGAATCAGCCTTAGGTTCCCTGTCTCCAGACCCTATTCTCCTGCCTCATTTTCCCCCTGAGAGACGTGATCCTCGTAAATCTTTATGGGAGGCTGAGAGACTGAGGGTCTTTCTTCTGTAACTGCTTCATGCTAACTTGGGACACAGTCCCTACCTATTGGAGATCACGTAACTCTCACCCTGCTTTGTCTAGGGGAGACAGGGTAGCTTCTTGATGGCCGGTGGTGTCTTCTCCTGAAACTGGCTAGAAATCTTGTCACATGATCATCTAACTTGGTGGTCTCTAGGCAAAAGGAAATGGATTTGGTTAAAAGATTTAACAGATATGGTCCAAAAACCAAGGCAAATATAATCATTAATAATGGGCTGGCCAAGGGAGGGAGCCATGAAACCCAACTTAGTGCCCTTTAGGTGCCCCAGCTGTTGTCATATTTTAGAGGCCCAGTCAGCTAGTTTTCAGGTGGTGTCCCTTACTAATCCTGATTGGTTGACATCAAAACAGCATTCTTCTTCTAGGAAAATACATAAGCCACCTGTTTCAGCAGTTAGGAGATCTAGTCCCCTTCGATTTTGCAAAGCGACCACTGCCAAGGAGCCTATCCGAATTTGTAAGGTGACAATACTTTGAGCAATGTTATCCAGGCTTTCCATAAAATCCTTGGACAAGCGTTGGTAATAGGATAGGGAAGTTGCAATCCCGCTAACTCCCATTCCTACCTCTGCTGTTATTCCTAGCCGTTGTGTCTGGTGGTTGCAGTTAAAGGTATAATGAGGGATTGGTTGTTGGGAGCTATATTAATTTAGGGACATACAATATTTCTGTCTCCAGTCTACCACTTCCACCAAAGACAAATCACAGCAGAACCGACCTAACTTCAAAATAAACTGCAGTCCCATATACTGGGCCTGATTACCCACACAAAGTGCAACAAGAATCATTGTCCATATAGACTCTCCTAGATTGGCTTTGCTAGAACATTTCACAAGGCCATTTCAGTCAAAGTCCTGAGAAAGTAACCGGTTTCAATTGTGCCCTATTACAAAAGAAAACGTGGTTATTAACTTTATACAGACAAATGCCATGAATTAAGAATATTCATAAATAGTTTACAAATTCTGGAGAAATTAGAATACTCAATACACTTAAAGTGTATTTCAAGGCTATAAATAGCTCAAAATAAAAAGATTATTCAGACTCTGAAAAAACAAAAAGAAGTAGCAATATTTCAAACAACAAAAGCCATACAAATTATTTCAGTCTTCCATTAGTTCATTTCAGTCCATGTAATCAACTCCTGCTCTACTTCATATTCATCTTTATGAACACATCAGCCTTTCAATTAGTGCCTTGGAAGTTTTCTGTCTAATCCAATGGCACACTCTCCAAAGTTACCAGAAACCTGCATTCAAGAGTTCTTTTCATGAACTCCAAAGAAGTAAGCCTTGGACTGTAGCTGATTATAAGTCACTTTTTTTTTTTGAGAAGGATCAGAGCAAAACATCAATTATGGATGACAAAAGTCTTAAGACAGCCATAAAGACACAGTTGACAAATGTGGCTATTTCTGTGGCTTACAACAATTTAACATAATCATTACAACATATATTAAGACATATCAGAATTTTAGAACTCTCATACAATCCTGGAACACATATTAACAACAAATCTCTATCAGTATAACCCAAAGGAAGCTAAACACCACCTCACACTTGACAATGTTTCCTGTATAATTCAAACATTACAAATAAGCCTAATATAAGCCTAATATGTCACTCTTGAACTTCAGGAAGCCTAATATCCAAAAAGTTAGTTTAAGGTCAAAAGTTTTTGAATTAACTTTTTTCCATTAGTATGGTCATATCTTTCTTACTAATTTGTAAGTTATGTAATTTATCAATTTTTTTTTGTTGTTCTGTTTCCCAACCTCTATGTCAGATAAAGAATCACCCAGGCCAGACACAATGGCTCATGCTTGTAATCCCAACACTTTGGGAAGCCAAGGTGGGAGAATTGCTTGAAGCCAGGAATCTGAGCCCAGCCTGGGCGACAAAGCAATACCCCTATCTCTACAAAAAATAAAAAATAGCCAGGTGTAGCGACACACACCTGTAGTCCCAGCTGCTCAGGAGGCTAAGCAGGAGGATGGCTTGGGCCCAGGAGTTCAACGCTGCAGTGAGCTATGATTGCACCACTGCACTCCAGCCTGGGCAACAGAGTAAGAACTGTCTCAAAAAAAATAAAAAATAGAAATAAATTTTAAAAAAAGAATTACCCATATTCTCTTTGTTTTTGTTTATTCACATTAACCTTTATTCTATCTGGAATTTATTAGAGTATACTTTTTTCTCAAATAATCAATTGTCCTAGAACCATGTGTTTCTCATTTATTTGAAAGGCCATCTAGTGAGAGATTTCTCCAAATGTTGGGGTAGGGAAGGGAGGGGAAGCACTTTAAAGTCTGAGCCTTTAGAGGTGATTCCTCAAGACCCTGCTTAATCCTAACAATTTTCCTCATTAGTAAAAGTCAGCCCAAACTGGGGGCTTGTTAAGATCCTTACCAGCCACATCCATCTGAAATTATGAATTTCAAAGTATCTTACAAATTTGGTGCCACATTATCTTTTTTAAGTTTGTTTTGTTTTGTTTTTTTGAGACAGAGTCTCGCTCTGTCACCCAGGCTGGAGTGCAGTGGCGCGATCTCAGCTCACTGCAAGCTCCGCCTCCTGGGTTCACACCATTCTCTTGCCTCAGCCTCCCAAGTATCTGGGACTACAGTCGCCCGCCACCACGCCCGGCTAATTTTTTTGTATTTTTAATAGAGACGGGGTTTCACTTTGTTAGCCAGGATGGTCTCAATCTCCTGACCTCATGATCCACCTGCCTCGGCCTCCCAAAGTGCTGGGATTACAGGCAGGAGCCACCGCGCCTGGGCCTTTTTTTAAGTTTTAAGTACCTATAAAGAACACTGAAAGGTGATGTGTGTGGATGAGCTAGGAAGACCTGAAATAGGCTCTCTCTAAATTAATCAAATTAATCCTGAAGCCATTCTGCAATACTGTCTTTAATGTATACTCACTTGTTATAGAAGCCAGGGTTTTTTCCCCTAATTTGTATCATTGCTATATGTGTTATTGTACCAAACTACACTGTTTTAATTGCTGTAAATTTTAATATGTCTTAGTATCTGGGTGTGGGAATCTTGAAAGCATGGAGTTTGTGTTATTCACCACTGTATTCTCAAATATCAGAAGAGTATCTGGCCTACTAAGTGCACAATAAACATAGTTAAAATGAATGAGAGTGTTGTCTGTAATTTTCTTTTTATAGATGAGTAGGTCTCATGTGTAGACCCTGTACCATCAGCATCAGAACCCCTTAGAAACCTAAAAATTAAAATCTTGGTCCTTGCCTGCTGAATCAGAAACTGTATGTAAGGCCCAGTAATCACTGTAACATGCCAGCCAGGTGGTTCTGATATTCACTCACGTTTGAGAACCACTGATAAAGACTATAGTAGTCCTCCCTTATCCATGGGGAATACATTCCAAGACCTCCAGTGGATGCCTGAAACCACAGGTAATACTAAACTTTATATGTAGTATGTTTTTTCCTATATGTACATACCTATGGTAAAGTTTATAAATTAGGCACAGTAGAGATTAACAATAATAATACAGTAGAACAATTATAACAATATACTATAATAAAAGTTATGTGAATGGTTTCGCTTGCTAACAACAATAAAATAGAACAATTATAACAATATACTATAATAAAAGTTATGTGAATGTGGTTTTGCTCACTCTCTCAAAATATCTTGTTGTACTGTAACTTGGGTATAAACCACAGAAGAAAAACCATGGAAGACTACTCTATTAGAACTATAATAAAAAATGAAATGGGCCAGGTGCAGTGGCTCACACCTATAATCCCAGCACTTTGGGAGGATGAGGTGGGGCAATAGCTTGGGGCCAGGAGTTTGAGACCAGCCTAGCCAACATGTTGAAACTCCATCTCTACTGAAAATACAAAAATCAGCTGGGCACAGTGGCTCTTCCCCGTAATTCCAGCTATTCAAGAGGCTGAGGCAAGAGAATCACTTGAACCCAGGAGGCAGGGGTTGCAGTGAGCCAAGATCACACCACTGCACTCCAGCCTGGATGACAGGGTAAGACTGTCTCAAAAAAAAAAAAAAAGATGAAAAATGTAAACAAGGAATATGAAAAACGTTTAAAAGTTCTTAAATCTTGAAACACATCATATTGGTGAAGGCTTTACTGCAGGTGATATTTCTAGCAATGTAAACATAAAAGCTATCAGCCAGGAAGCACATCTTGTTATGAAAGACAAAGACCAAGACATGGTGGCACCTGAGATGTGCTTACCATCCTTAGGGAAACTGCTTCCTAAGAACAGTGGGTTCTGTTAACTGCAAGATCTATTTTGCTAAGAGTGGTGAGTTTGGAGTCAAGAGAAGAGAGGCTCAAAGAAGAAAGACGAGGCCTGTTTCCTCATGCTGCTTCTAAGCAATGTTGAACATGTATTTGAAGCTCCAGAGTAAAAATAGTAAATTTTGGTGATGTCCACCTGCTAATTCTGCAGGCTTGCAGGAAAAAAAAAAAAAAAAAATGTGATGTTTGCCAGCCTCCACCAAAATTTCAAAGGATGGCTGCCCAGGCAGAGACTTGTTGCAGGGGTGGAGCCGCCCCCAAAGAGAGTGCCCCCAGTAGAGCAACACCGAGCAGAGATGTGGAGCTGGAGCTACTGCAGAAAGTCCCAACCAGGGCAATGCATCGTGGAGCTGTGGAAGCAAGGCCACTACTGAGAGTCCTCACTAGGGCCATGCATAGTGGAGCCATGGGAACAGAACCATCACCAAGAGCTACAGAATCACAGGCAGTATGCAGCACCTGCTGGGGAAAGCTGCAGGCACCAGACTCCATCCTGTAGGAGTAGCCATGTGGGCTGCACCCAGCAATGCCATAGGGGTGGGCTTGCCTGAGGCTTTGGCGGCCCAATCCCCGCCCCAGTGTGTCCAGGAGGAAGCACATGGAGGCAAAAGGGATTATTCTCCAGCTTTAAGATTTGGCCAGGTGCAGTGTCTCATGCCTGTAATCCCAGCACTTTAGGAGGCCGAGGTAGGAGGATCACTTGAGGTCAGGAGTTAGAGACCAGCCTGCCCAACATGGTGAAACCCTATCTCTACTAAAAATACAAAAATTAGCTGGGTATTGCTGGTGCATGCCTGTAGTCCCAGCTACTCCGGAGGCTGAGGCAGCAGCGGCAGAATCACTTGAACCCTAGAAGCGGATGTTGCAGTGAGTTGAGATCACACCACTGCATTCCAGCCTGGGCAATACAGTGAGACTCCGCCTCAAAAAAAAAATAATAATGTCTACCCTCCTGGGTTTCAGACTTCCTTAGGGCCTGTTACTCCTTTCTTTTTGCCTATTTCTCACTTTTAGAATGGGAATCTGTCTTTTTCCTGTACCACCAATGTATCTTGAAAGTAAATAACTTGTTTTGATTTTATAGGCTCATAGATGAGACTCTGGACTTTGGACTTTTGAGTTGATGCTGGTTGTTAAGACTTTTGGAGTTACAGGGTTGTACGTGAGAAAGACGTGAGTTTGGGGAGGCCAAGGATGAAATGCTATGGTTTGAATATTTGTACCCTCCAAAATCATGTTGAAATTTAATCCCCAATGTAGCCTTTAAGAGGTTATTAGGTCATGAGGGCTCTGCCCTCATGAATTGATTAATTCATTCATGCATTAATGGGTAAATAGGTTCATGGATTAGTGGGCTCTCATGGGAGTGGGGCTAGTGGCTTCATAAGAAGAGGAAGAGAGACCTGAACTAGCATAATCAGTCCCCTCACCATATGATACACTGCATCAGGACTCCAGAGAGTCTCCACCAGCAAGAAGACCCTCACCAGATGTGGCCCCTCTACCTTGGACTTCTTAGCATCCAAAACTGTTAAGAAGTAAATCCCTCAGACCAGGTGTGGTGGCTCACACCTGCAATACTAACATTTTGTGGGGCTGAGACAGGAGAATTGCTTGAGCCAGGAGTTTTGAGACCAGCCTGGGCAACATGACGAGACCCTATCTCTACAAAAATGAAAGCATTAGCTAGGCACAGTGATGTGTGCCTGTGGTCCCAGCTGCTTGGGAGGCTGAAGTGGAGGATCACTTGAGTCCAGGAGGTCAAGGCTGTAGTGAGCCATGTTTGCACCACTGAACTCCAGCCTGGGCAACAGAGCAAAACCCTGTCTCAAAAATAAATAAATTCCTCTTTTAAAATAAATTACCCAGTTTCAGGTATTCTAAGTAACAAAAAATGGATTAAGACAAGCTTGAACTGCTCATTATAAACTTTCTTTTCAACCTTTAACCTAATAGTTGGACATCCAGTTCTTTTTTATAAAACTCCTTATGTGATTCTTATGTATAGCTAGGTGTGAGAAACAGAGCCACTAATACCCAAACCACACCTACATTAATTAAATTGGAAACTCTGGTGGTGGAACCAGTAGTTCTGAAAGCTCCCAGTGATTTCAAATTGCAGCCAAGAGTGTGAACCACTGCCCTACAACCTAGGAGACTCTCACTTTTAAGAGGAAAGATGCTCTTTGCTAAGCATGAGGCAGGCAAGCCAAAGGCTAGGCAGGGAGGCAACTTTAGGAAATCCCATGAGAACTGGGCCATGTTAGTGTACAGTATTTCCCTTTTTTTGTGGCCCTCAAACTGGTAAAACCTTATCAAATGTGACAGTCAAGATTTAGCTAGTCTTTGGGAATTAAAGGTAGTAGCAAGGTCCTAGGTTGGGGTTGGAATTGGATAGGAGAGATATGAGCTCCCAGTGTTTATAACACTGATGGTGGCGGCATTGCTTAGAGAGTTTCTAAAGATCATTCTCCAAAAAGAAACTAGGGTTCCTTGGAGAAATAGTTGATTCTGAGGGCTAAAGTGGAGATAGTAAAAACTGATCCTGGAACCTCTTGTGCCAAAAAATTAGGAGGTGTTTAAAAAATGATGAACGGCTGGGGGAGGTGGCTTACGCCTATAATCCCAGCAATTTGGGAGGCCAAGGCAGGTGGATCACTTGAGCCCAGGGGGTCAAGACCAGCTTGGGCAACATGGCAAAACCCCATCTCTATAAAAAGTACAAAAATTAGCAGTATCTAGTGGCGCACACCTGTAGTCCCTGCTACTTGGGAGGCTAAGGTGGGAGGATTGCTTGATCCCAGGAGGTTGAGGCTGCAGTGAGCTGTGATCACAACACTGCAGTCCAGTCTGGGAGACAGAATGAAATCCTGTCTCAAAAATATAAAAATGATGAAGGCATGTCAAAAGGATACAGGAGCCAACTAGCAGGAGTTACCAATGGCCAAATCTGGGGCAATTTGAACAAGGAATTAATGATAGTAGATAACAACTCATAAAATTCTTATTGATATAAACAATATATATATATTTTGAACACATGAGAAGGGCTAGGTCTTCCTTATAGTAGAATTTTAATAAAGTTAGGAGGAATTATGGAAATAGAAACAGTATTTGGCAAATTCCACAGTAAAAAAATTTAGCGGGCTGAATGATGGTCCCTAAAGACAACGGGTCTTGATCCTGGAACTTGTGAATGGTAACTTACGTGGTAGTTTTTGCAAAAGTGATTAAATTAACAATCTTGAGATAAGTGGATTATCCTGGATTATATAAGTGGGTCCTAAATGCCATTACACTCACACCTTTCCTTATAAACGACAGATAGAGGGAGATTAGGCACAATAGGAAATGTGAAGATGGAGGCAGAGACTGGAGTGATGTGGCTATAAGCTGAGGAATACTGGCTGCACCAGAAGCTGGAAGAGACAAGCAATGGATTCTCCCCTAAAGCCTTTGGAGAGAACATGGCCCTGCCAACATCTTGATTTGAGCAGAGTAGCTGATTTGAAACTTCTGGCATCCAGAATTCTGAGAGAATAAATTTCTGTTGTTCTAAGCCACCAAGTTTGTGATAATTTTTTATAGCGGCCATAGGAAACTAATACACAAGTGCTGTTGGAAAGACTCATCAAAGGATGCCAAAATTAGTGGCCAAAATTATGCTCAAAACCAGAGTATTTTCACAGTCTCAAAGTATCTCCCCACAAGACACTAATTACAAAAGAAAAACTAGTGACCAGGCGTGATGGCTCATGCCTGTAATCCCAGCACTTTGGGAGGCTGAGGCGGGCGGATCACAAGGTCAGGAGATCGAGACCATCCTGTGAATGGTGAAACCCCATCTCTACTAAAAATACAAAAAATTAGCCGGGCGTGGTGGCGGGCGCCTGTAGTCCCAGCTACTTGGGAGGCTGAGGCAGGAGAATGGCGTGAACCCGGGAGGTGGAGCTTGCAGTGATCCAAGACTGCACCACTGCACTCCAGCTTGGGGGACAGAGTGAGACTCTGTCTCAAAAAAAAAAAAAAGAAAAGAAAAGAAGAAAGAAAAGCTAGTAACATTACAGTGGAGAAACTAGGCAAATGTCACCTTAACTGCCTGATCAAAGTTAATATTACCAGTAATAAGTCATACTGATGCCAGACTCACGCCTGTAATCCCAGCACTTTGGGAGGCCAAGGCAGGTGGATCACCTGAGGTCGGGAGTTTGAGACCAGCCTGACCAACATGGAGAAACCCCATCTCTACTAAAAATACAAAATTAGCCGGGCATGGTGGCACATGCCTGTAATCCCAGCTACTTGGGAGGCTGAGGCAGGAGAATCGCTTGAACCTGGGAGGCAGAGGTTGCGATGAGCCTTTGCATTCCAGCCTGGGCAACAAGAGCAACAGTCCGTCTCAAAAAAAAAAAAAAAATGTCATACTGACATCATGACCTACTGATATGCACTGAGAAGGACACCTCACTCCCAAAGGCCACGAAGATCCTGCTAGGGCCTTCCTGATGTCCTTTTCAAGGATAGGGCACAAGGGCAACCGATGTCCAGTACTAAAGAGGCCAGAATCCTAGGGTATGGCAATGGCACATAAATGCCAATACAGACTCCAGGGCTTGTCTGGGGTCAAAAGGGTCAGTGTAAAGGTGTCAAATTATCCTCTCTTCTGAACGAGTCCTTTATTCTGAGATTATATCTTTCTTGTTTCTTTGAAGTTAAAATATACTTTATTTTATGAAATAATGATTTTGACAGGTGGTAGTTTATTGTACTTACTTTGCCAAAAGGTTGAAAAATCTATACCAGCGTCCAAAAAATATGTTGAAATTTACTGTCTGGGACTTCCAAACATCAAGTCCAAGTGTTGTCCAATAGAACATTCTGCCCTAGCCACCTATGGCTATTAAGCACTTGAAATGTGGCTAGAGCAACCAAGGAACTGAATTTTTCCTTCTACTTAATTATTTAAATTTAAATAGCCACAAATGGGTCGTAGCTACTGTGTTAGCGCAGTTCTAGGTATTAGTGGGATTTTTTTTTTTTAATTGTTAGGAGTCCTGCAGCCCACAAGGGATTCCCTCCCACTTTGTAAAGGTCAGAGGTGTTCTGATGTTTGACACAAAACAGCACAACATACAGTCATATCTGGCTGGATGGCTCAAGACAACCAGGGCCAGACAGTCACATTGGGAAGGAAGACACATGTCTGAGTTTCCAGGCGCCTGTTTCTGTGGCCCTTTCCCCACTCCTGGGCCTGCTCTCTCCCCCAGAAAGCAATAAACTCTACTATAGAAACTATCTTTCAACTGACACCTACTCTCACCAACCTATGGCTTCTCCCAGATCATGCATGGAGTCTTTCAGGGAGGAGAAAGAGCAGACAGAAGGCATCTGTCCAGGTTTGACGTTAGGAATCCTCCCCATTGGCCCCACAGTCATTCTTAGGCTAATGGCAGCTCTAGGTTTAATATGACTTAGGCATATATGGTCCTAGAAGCTGGGGTAGAAGGGACCATTTAGTATCATCAATTTGAATGTTGTCTTAGAAAGTGGCAATGGCTAAGACAAGCCTGGTCCCTGGAGCTGTTGAGGGACAGCTGACTAGGTTCTTTAGCTACAGGATGAGACCCTGAACTTTGTATTTTTAATCATTGTTTCCCCAAATTCTCCCATGCATAGCCATAACTTTTCTCGCTACTCAGTTGATCATAGCCTCTATTTTCTCCAGAGCCTAGATCCTTCTTAATCTGCGGTGTAGGGTCCTAGAATGCAAACCATCTTCCCAGTTGCTCTGAGACTCTCAATCCTTACCAACCTTCTCCATTCTGCACCAATCCAGCTGGACCAGTCCACTTTTCCCCTCACACCCTGTGCAGATGGTGGCTTGGCATCAGTTTTCCCTTTGCCCTTGCTTCTCCCTGAGTCATCAAGTCAACCTGAGTCTCTGGCACAAATGCAGCAGGACCGTCTGCCTCTCAGAGGAGATTCTCTGTAACCCCATAAGCAACGGAAGCTGGACTTGGCAGAATGGAAATGGTGATGGGCAAGGCAAAAACGGAGCTATGGCCTGGGCTTTGGGGCAGGTAAAGGATTTAAGGAATCCCAGCTGCAGGGGTATAAGCTTGGTGTCTTGACTTCTCCCTGTCACCTCATGTATCTAGTTACTGCTGTGCCTCTTTTGCAACTCAACATGTTCCCTGTCTGGCCTTGCAACTTCTGCCTTTCTCTTTCCAAATATCATCCTATTTTACTGACCTGGCGAATCATCATCCAAAGTTCTAGCTTTCTTTAGTAGCCGCTCCCATACAGTGAGAGGGTCTACAACAAATGACAGACATTTGGATTGGTTCCATTTTCTGGCTATAACAAATAAATTTGCTATGAACATTCACGTGCAAGTCTTTTTCTAAACATGTTTTCATTTCTTTTGGGTAAATGCCTAGGAGTTGAATATTGGATTGTATTGCAGGTATATAATCTTTTGAAAAACTGCCATTCTTTTCCAAAGGAATTGTACAATTCATTTTGCTTTCTGCCATCAGTGTATTAAAATTATTACTCTCCAGGTGGAGGCTCCATCTGTGAATAAGTTGTGAGATTTCAAGTTCCAATACTTACTATCATAGCCTTTTAAATCTATAAGAATATATTTAAACTCATTTAATCCTTAGAAAATGTTCATGGTGAGGCATAATATAAATTATTGCATGTGAATTATAATGATATAATTAACATATGTATCTTTGGTGTTCAGTTTGGTAAGTTTTGACAGTTGTGTTTACCTGTGTAGTCACCACACAAACAAGAAACTATAGAACATTTCAATCATCCCAGAAAGTTCCCACGCTGAGTGTGTATTGGTAATTTTATTGCTGTGTAATACTTCATTATATGAATATAGCATAATTTCTTTTTTTTTTTTTGAGATGGAGTCTCACTCTGTTGCCCAGGCTGGAGTACAGTAGCACTATCTCCGCTGACTGCAACCTCCACCTCCCAGGTTCAAGCAATTCTCCTGTCTCAGCCTCCCGAGTAGCTGGGACTACAGGCGCACGCACCACTACACCTGGCTAATTTTTGGATTTTTAGTAGAGACGAGGTTTCACCGTACTGGTCAGGCTGGTCTCGAACTCCTGACCTCAGGTGATCCACCCGCCTTGGCTTCCCAAAGTGCTGGGATTACACATGAGCCACCATGCCCGGCCATGCATAATTTCTTTATTCACCTATTGACAGACATTTGGGTTGTTTCCAGTTTTTCACTATTAGAATAAGGCTGCTATATACATTCTTCTGAAAGTTTATTGTGAACATGTTTTTATTACTCTTGGGTAAATAAAGACTAGAACTGCTGGATCATAGGCTAAATGTATGTTTACCATTTTAAGAAACTACCAAATAGTTCTTCAAAATGATTATACCATTTTATTTTATTTATTTATTTATTATTTATTTGAGACAGGGTCTTGCTCTGTCACCCAGGCTGGAGTGCAGTGGCATGATCTCGGCTAACTGCAGCCTCTGCCTCCCAGGTTCAAGCGATTCTCCTGCCTCAGCCTCCCAAGTAGCTGGGATTACAGCTGTGTGCCACCACACCCAGCTAATTTTTGTATTTTTGGTAGAAACGGGGTTTCACCATGTTGGCCAGGATGGTCTCGAACTCCTGGCCTCAAGTGATCTGCCCACCTTGGCCTCCCAAAGTGTTGGGATTACAGGCATGAGCCATCATGCCCGGCCAAAATGAGTATACCATTTTAACTCCCATAAATAATGTTTGAGAGTTCCAGTTGCCACACAAATTCACCAATATTTGGGGTTGTTAGTCTTTGTTTTAGGGATTTAAGAATGTATGAGATGTATCTTGTTTTAATTTGCATATCTCCCATGACTAAAGATGCTGTATTATCATGCATGGTTCTCCACAGAAACAGAACCCATAGATGGGGATAGAAAGAGAGAGAATGATACACATTGATTTTATTTTAAGGAATTGGTTACATGCTTGTGTGGGCTGGTGGCTGGCAAGTCCAAATTCTGCAGGGCAGGCCAGCAGGCTGCAGGCCCAGGGAAGAGTTGTTGCAGCTCAAGTCCCAAGGCAGTCTGGAGACAGTTCTTTCTTCTTCAGGGGACGTCAGTCTTTTCTCTCTTAAGGCCTTTAACTGATTGGCTAAGGCCCATCCATATTATAGAGGGTAATCTGCTTTACTCAAAGCCTACTGATTTAAATGTTAGTCACATCTAAAAACCACCATCTAGACTGATGTTTGACCAAACATCTGGGCACCATAGCTTACTTAGTCAACTTGATACATAAAATTAATCATCACAGACACTGAGCATCATATTCATGTGTTAATGGCTAGTTGTATATCTTTGTTTAAATGTCTCTTCAAGTCTTTTGCCCATTTTTAATTGGGTTGTTTATATTTTTATTTTTCCTTAGTAGGAGCTGTTTATAAATCTTGGGTACAAATCCCTTGTTAATATATGTTATAAATATTTTCCGTGGCCGGGCACAGTGGCTCACACCTGTAATCCCAGCACTTTGGGAGGCCGAGGCGGGCAGATCACAAGGTCAGGAGATTGAGACCACGGTGAAACCCCGTCTCTACTAAAAATACCAAAAATTAGCCGGGTGTGGTGGCGGGCCCTTGTAGTCCCAGCTACTCGGGAGGCTGAGGCAGGATCGTGTCACTGCACTCCAGCCTGGGCGACAGAGCAAGACTCCGTCTCAAAAAAAAAAAAAAAAAAAATTTCCCCAGCCTGTGGCTTGTCTGCTAATTTTCTTAAAGGTTTCTCTTAGTGACAGAATATTCTTCATTTTCATTAATTTATTGATTGTATGAAATTATTATATTTTTAATTTTATGGCTAATGTTTTCTCCTGTCCAACAAATCTTTGCCTACCTAATGTTTGCAAAAATAATGTTCTAAAATTTCATTTGGAGTTTTATGGTTCTGGGTTTTATGTATACATCTAGGATTCTTGTGTATTTCTTTTTTACAGAAGTCCCGGAGTATTATTAATAGTATCTCATTTCCATTTTACAAATAAAAGGGGGCAATGTTCAGAACTTTACCTAAGGCCATACTTCTAGGGCTCAAACTCTAGTCTCATTATAGCACATTTTCTGCATTCTCTAATATATGCCATGAAGCGTTCACTAAGCCCCCATCAAACCCAATGCCCTACAGAGTTTTTTTGAGACAGAGTCGGACTGTCACCCAGACTCTAGTGTGGTGGCAAGATCACAGCTCACTACAACCTCGAACTCCTGCACCCAAGCGATCCTCCTACTTCAGCCAGTCAAACACTGGAATTACAGGTGTGCACCACTGCCACCAGCCTACACAGATATTTTCATAATACCACCTTTACTACCCTAAAATGAAAATCCTAGGAAATATAAACCACCTACATATATACATTATTAAAAATTAATAAATCACCTAGCTTAATATGAAAAAGTCTTAAAAACAACATAATTTATAATAAAAACGATATATATTTCAGTATGTACAGGCTTGGGCATGACTGCAATAGAACACATAGGGAGTAAAATGCTTGATCCTATGCAGAATCACTAAGAATGTGACAACTACATTGCAAATGGATTCAAGTGTGTTATGCTGGTTACTCAGATAACAGGTGGAAATTTTTTATTTTTATTTTTCAATTTTTGTAGGCACATAGTAAGTGTATATATGTATGGAATAAATGAGATATTTTGATACAGGCATAAAATGCATTAAAATCACATCAGGGTAAACAGGTTGTTCATTTGTTTTTGAGGTCTTGCTTTGTTGCTGAGGCTGCTCTCGAATGCCTGGGCTCAGTTGATCCTCCTTCCTCAGCCTCCTAGCTAACAGGTGGAAATTCTGTCAACAATGTGGGGTGAGTTGGAAATTCAAAAAAAATTTTTTGGTACCAAAGAATTGTTGAGCAATTGTTTATTTGCTTTACTGAGCACACCTCTCATCCATTGTTAGTGGATTAACTAAACATCTGGGAGGTCACACTCTCTATCAAAGCTACCAAGGCACATACTTCTTCTTCTTCTTTTTTTTTTTTTTAAGACGTAGTCTTGCTCTGTCGCCCAGGCTGGAGTGCAGTGGTGCAATCTCAGCTCATTGCAACCTTCATCTCCCAGGTTCAAGCAATTTCTCCTGCCTCGGCCTCCTGAGTAGCTGGGACTACAGGTGCCCTCCATCATGCTGGCTAATTATTTTTGTATTTTTAGTAGAGGTGGGGTTTCACTATGTTGACCAGGCTGGTCTCGAACTCCTGACCTCAAATGATCCACCCACCTCGGCCTCCCAAAGTGCTGGGATTACAGGCATGAGCCACTGTGCCCAGCCTGAGAATTACCTTATAAATATCTTGCACATGTGCCTAAAGACAAGGATGCTGTATATGCAGTTTTGCTTACAACAGAAAAATAAAAGCCATTAAGTGTCCACCAATAGGGAACTAATAATGGTCTATTAAGACAATGACACACTGGGCAAGGGTGGGGGAAAGATCTTTATTTACTGATACAGAACAATCTGTGAGATGGTTTAGTCTTTAAAAAATGGACAACTGTGTATATTATGCTACCATTTCTTTAAAAAAAGAAAAAAGAAAAAAAAAGTAAAGAGAAGGAATCAAGGATTGAGAAAATAAGCCACAGCCTGGGAGGAAAATATTTGCAAAAGACCTATCTGATAAAGGTCTGTTATACAAAATATACAAGGAACACTTAAAATTCAACAATAAGAAAATGAGCAATCCAATTAAAAATGGGCAAAACCTCTAACAGATACCTCACCAAAGCTATACAGATGGCAAACATATGAAAAGATGCTAAATTCATATATTATTGGTGAACTGCAGATTAAAACAATTAATACCACTACATACCTATTAGAATAGTTAAAATCCGACCAGATGTGGTGACTCACACCTGTAATCCCAGCACTTTGGGAGGCTGAGGCAGGCGGATCACTTGAGGTCAGGAGTTCGACACCCACCTGGCCACCTGTGTCTGGTTTTCACAGATTTGGCATCTCACACCAACAGGAAGGTTCAATGGTGGGAAATTACCTGTATGTGACTTTGGTATTATATAAACCAGAACTGCAAATCTATAAAGATATAGATTTGAGATTCAATTCTGACATTACCTGCTTGACTTTGAGCAAGTCAAACATCTTCTCTTTTTCCTTGACTCTAGGATGTGAATAGTAACTCCTACCTTTCTTGCAAGGGTGCTTTTAGCGTTAGAGGTGCTTGTTTACATTAAAAGGCTTAGCATAGCCTAAAGCTCCATCAAAAGTATTCTTTGATTTCTTTGCTTTTTCATGGCTTTTAATGAGCCATTAGGCACTCCAACCCATCAGCATCCCCAAGACACTGTTCTCTCCTTCCTCTGACAAGTGGCTAGTTGTTAGTCAGTGGCATCAGTTGCTGGAACCTGGGATCTTAACATCTTCTACCCTCATCTTCCCTTAAGAGACCACATTTGGTGCTGTGCTCCTAGAACTCAAAACAAATACAGCCACATCCTCATCTACATGCTTATATTCTCCTCTATATTCCAGTCCTCTCTACTGTCATATGCCTTCTCCTAATCACCTGCTGCCAACCCTAAACACACACAGAAGTCCCACAACATGAGGTTTTATTCAGTTAATGTCAGGGAGGCTTTCCGTTTAATGGAAAAGTGAAACTTAGAGCTTAAAATCAAATTAGATCTAGTAATAGAAAGTATCAAAATTTAAATGAAGATCTTGAGGGTATCCAGAAATACACCCCACAATGTCCACTCAAATCCCAATCAGTACATTTTTCTCTGATTAAATCTGAAATTTCTCAAGGACAAACCAGTCTTAGATTGTATTATCCTATTTAAACCAAGACATTATAGTTTAAATAGACGTCTGTAGATCATAAAATCATAGCCCAATTACAAAATGTTCTTAAGAAACAATACATTATGAGAACCAAACAACAATGCTGATTTACTTGTCAGATTTTGATATTGTAAATAAACTTTTAGAACGGCTAATTAATTAATGGCAGTTAACTGTCACACAGAACTCATTTTATTCTCAGGACAACCCTAGGAAATATCCCCATTTTTCTATTGGGGGGAATGGGGAAACTGAGGCTCAGAAGGGATAAGGTTACACCCACTGAGCAGCAGATAAGGCATCAAACTCCAGACTAGGACACATTAGGACACAACATTTCTTGTTCAAAATACAAAATATTCATACTAGCTACAGATTGAGTCTTACATTCCTAGGAATTTAGGAGAAAAAAAAGGTGCTTCCATACAAATCTTCCCATACTCATTATATTCCAAATTTTACTCTCCAGCATGAAGCCTCTGATGTCGAAGAAGTGCTGAACTGTGCCTAAAGGATTTCCCACATCCAACACACTCATAAGGTTTTTCTCCAGTATGAATTCTGTAATGCTCACTAAGGTGTGCTTGTTTGCGGAAAGTTTTTTCACACTCACTACACTTATAAAGTTTCTCTCCAGTGTGAGTCCTTTCATGTTCAACAAGGGAAGAGTTCTGAGTGAAGGCTTTACCACATTCAGTGCATGTGTAGGGCTTCTCTCCTGAATGAATTCTCTGATGCTGCATGAGACATGCACTCTGATTAAAGGCTTTCCCACATTCATTACACTTAAAAGGTTTATCTCCAGAATGACTTCTCTGATGACGAGTAAGGCATATGCTCTGACTGAAGGCTTTGCCACATTCTGTACATTTATATGGTTTCTCTCCAGTATGAATTCGCTGGTGTTTAATAAGGGATGGGCTCTGACAAAAGGCTTTTCCACATTCATTGCATTTATAGGGTTTCTCTCCAGTATGAATTCTCAGATGCTGAACAAGAATTGCTTTTGTTTGAAAGGCTTTCTCACATTCATTACATTTATAAGGTTTCTCTCCGGTATGAATTCTCAGATGTTGAGTAAGATTTGACTGTTTACGGAAACAACTTCCACATTCACTGCACACATAGGGCTTCTCTCCTCTGTGAATCCTCTGGTGCTGGGTAAGAGATGATCTCTGAGTAAAGAACTTCCCACATTCACTACACTTTGAAGGTTTCTTCTGCATGTTAACTCTCCCATGTTTCATTCTGAGTGATATTTGGCTGGAATTCATGCTGCTTGTAACACCAAATTCATACTTACAAGTTTTTTTTCCTCAAAGGTGATTATCATTAGAGTAATACAGTTCTCCTAGGAAAGGTTACTGTGTGTGTGTGCTCACACACATCACACATGCATTGCTGTCCTCTCATTCATCCCTGCAGGATTCCCCTTCCTCTTCCTTGTTCAGCCTGCATTCTCAACTTCTCTGAAAGTGAACCCCTGATGATCAGCCTCTCTGAAGAGATTAAGTAGTGACAGGTATTAGGAATTCTATAAAATTCCATATCACAATTGATTCTGAAACAATCAAATACTAAAAACTAACCCAGGTAATTTGGGATCATCCAGATTTGCACCCACAGTGATAAATAACTGGAAAATATGAAAGGAATAAGTATCCTAGACTTGGGCATATAAGTGTTACGGAAACTTACTGTCCACTTAGTCTCTACTGCTCAAAAAACAGAGGAATAATAACTCTATTTCTTTAGGTTACCTATAATCATGGCAGGCTAGTGATAGTCAAAGAGTTTCCTTTCTAAAACTTCAAATGTGATCCAGGCTGTAACTTTCACTAGGCCTATCTCACCAATCCTTCTTCATTCAGTCACCTTTACAGGTGCCTCATTGGATCTCTCTTTCTCTCCAAAACATTCACCATCTATAATTCTCTCCCTAGGCCCAACTGGAAACCTATAGGTTTGAAAACTAGAGTCCTGCTTACTGAAAGAAAGTAAGATATCACTGTTTTGTTTCAGGAAAATTAGAGAAGTGGTCCTTAAAGAAGAAGGTTTAATTGGACAGTAACTTGACTACAGCATCATGGTCCAGGTGCTGGCCCTCACCTTTGTAGCCAAAGAAATCTGAAATATACTAATCAGATTTATAAGGGGAATGAGAGAGAAAATAAAGTCACTTCATTTATTTACAATGAAAAACTTCTGTGCTTAATATAGAGCTGGTTAACATATTCTCTGGACTTTAGAAAAACAGTATGTGAACCAAATCACTGTCATTAGAGCACTCTTTGGGAAACAAAGAACTGGAGAAAGAACAAAATATTTAATTGATCATAACTAAATGATTATCAAATTTTGAAACCCTGGTGCCCTAAATAAGCCACACAGAATTAAAGAATGAATATTCAGGTGCTGCACGTCAGAGCAATCTCTTCCCTAGTTGGTGCTGGAGACACTAACACATGCTTCTTCTCTGAGGCCCATTTTTGTCTGTTTTCTAATCATGTAAATTACACAACTATATATCCTCACTTTAAAATATTTAGATAATATGGAAGTATATAAGATAGGCCAGGCATGGTGGCTCGCACCTATAATCTCAACACTTTGAGAGGCTGAGGCAGGAGGATCACTTGAGGCCAGGAGTTTTAAGAGCAGCCTAGGCAACATAGTGAGATGCTGTCTCTACAAAAAATAAAAAATTAGCTGGGTGTGGTCATGTGCACCTGTAGTCCCAGCTACTCAGTAGGCTGAGGTGGGAAAATCACTTGAGCCCAGGATGTTGAGGCTGGAGTATGCCATGATCATGCCACTGCACTCCAGCCTAGTATACAGAGCAAGACCCCTTCTCTAAAAGAAAATTTTTGTTAACAAAATAAACCTATTCCTTTCCCCAGAGATTATCAAGTTTGAAGTATCTTCCTTCATTCCTTTTTTCTTCACATTTTTCTATACACATATATCACTTGATTCTCTTTAAATAAATGAAATTGTTCTACAGGTTCTGCTCTGCAATTTGCTTTTATTTCCCACTAAAAAATGTGTCTTAGAGATCACTTCATGTTGGTACATATGGATCTATTGGGGCTGAGAGTCAAATGATACACACTGCTATATCTGTACAAATTGTTCACGACTACCTGCTTGGGCAATGCCTGTACCATACTGTTTGTTAAATATGTGGACTATCTTACCTAAACCTATCTTTATCTGATGTATTAACTTACAACATGGATATGCTATATACAAAAACAAACTCCAGTTGGTTTAAGCAACCAGATGTAAAACCAAAACTCTAAGCACATTTTTAATTCCTTTACTCTCATTTTTCCAAAATAAAAAGGTTTTTTTCTTATCATACAAAGAATGCATGCTCATTCTATTAAATGGTCAGCTACTCCGAAGAGGAAATCACTTGAAACCCAGCCACAGAAAATAATAGTATTTTAATGGACCTTCTTCTAGGTATCTCTTGATGCATATAAACATAAATACGTACATAAGTGTACATATATTATGCATACATATTAAACTAATCCAAATTCTTCAGGACACAGTCATATTCTCTTCACAGAGTTCCCATAACCTAAGAATACAATTTACCCAGAATTATTTTACTGAGTTTGACAGACACCCAGGCTCCATGTTGCCTTTTGATTGCCAGTGACAATGTCAGCTGCAATAACTTAAGCTCTTGTTCTAAACATGGCCAGAAGCCCATTCCATATTCTCTGAGGAAATACCTAATCACATTTGCAATGGGTTTTCCAATAATTTACTACCCATATTCCTTGATCCAACCACTACACCATTAAGGCATCATACTGAGCAGTTCAATAAGTGGTTTAAAGATGTGCTACCAGATGACTGTAGAGTCTTCAGTTCAGGTACTCTGATAAGAACTTAGTGCACTCTAGGACCTGTCCCATAACCAATTATTCCATAGCCGTTTTCACAGTGGGCCACCCTCACTGATTTGAGTAAAATGGTATCCATTTCTGTGTGGTCCTGCATTTTCTGCTGGGTCCACATTTAGTGGACATTGGTGGGTCCCACCATAGGTCTGCCATCACTTCTGATGGTAGTCTCACAACCACCACCATCCTGGGCTCTCTAGTTAGAGTTAACTTACCAAGAGACAGGTTGTTAGGAGCACAAGCAATACTGGCTTTTCTCCTGGGGGCTCTTCTCTTGAGGAAAGGCAGGAATTTGAGGCACTGAGGGAGGAAAAAGAGCCACTCATAAATTGCCAGCCTACTTCCTACACCTTCTAGATTCAGGGTAACTCAAGAACATCCCATCTCTAACCAAATGACCATTTTAAGTTCAAATGAAAGAATATCGTTATTATCCTAGAGGAGTATCTCCAGTGACAAAAATTAGTGAGTTGGCAGACTTCAGAGAGATGTGACAATGTACAAAGAGGGCAGGTCCTTCCTAGGACTAAGCATCTGGGCGTAAAAATTTCTTTATACGACATCAGGTTGGAGCCCAATGGCTCCCCTAAGTCTACTGGAAAAGCCATTGATTTCAAAAGTCAAATGCTGCAGGGCTACAATAGAGGGCAGTAGGACCAGTAATGGACTCAGTCAAGAGGTGTGGATTCTAGTCTCAGCTCTGCCACCAATTTGTTCAATGACCTAACACAGGTCACTCAGTCTCATCCATTTCTTATTTGTTAAATGAAATTGAAAAGCTAGATAATATTTAAAGCTTCTTGTAATATCAACATTCTACAAAGCTTTGATTCTATATACAGATGGGAAAAGAGCAAAAACCTCAAATCAAGCCCTTCCAGTCCATCTTTGATTGAATCTGTTTATTCATTTATTTGAAAAGTACTAAATGAGCTAGCCGTGAGGTGAATGGGTCTTGTTAAGAACGGGCTGAATCAACAGCAGGGAAACTTCCTGTCAGTTATCCTCCTACAATTAGAATTGGGGGAATTTCTCGAAAATAACAAGAGGATTGCCTTTGTGTAAGGAGTATCTGCTGTAAGATGTTAAGGACTCTTCATAAGGGAAAGGTTTCAAGAACCCTCCTAATGCAAAGAACACTGTATTCAAAGGCAGGAACCTGGTTTCCTGTCTAATACATCCCAATCCACTAGCATCTCTTAACTGACACTGAACAAACTGTTTAATTATTTTCAAACGTCTCTTTTATTTCCTCATTTGGTCAAATAAGCCAGCAATTATTTTCAAGCTTGCAGTCAACCTTTAATATTTAGCTCAAATGTGAAACTTCACACCTCTTCCTTGTGGGAAAATTTTGACTTTTCCAAGGCCCTTCCTCGTCTACATTCTCAAAGAATTTTACAAGTTTCTACTGTAGGACTTTCTAGTCTGATTACATTCTGTCTTCCACCAGCAAACTTACAAGTATGGCATGGGCTCCAGGACTAGGACTTTTGAACAAGTTACCTAACCTTTTTTTGCTCCAGTTTTTTCAACTGTTAAATGGAGACGATACCAGTAACTACTTTATAGGGTTGTCGTAATGAATAAGTGGGTTACTACATGGCAACTACTTAGAAGAATGCCAGCTGGTAAGCATTCAATAAATAGTGCCTGCTGTTAAAGTATTGAGTCTACATGTCTTCATACGGTACCTATTTTGTTGTTGTTAGAGAAGAATAAATAATGAAGGGAAGGCACTAATTCTTGCATATACTTACTTCAACCCGCACAACTTTGGGAAACGGCAAGGCAGGAAACAGTATTTACTTCTGGAAATCAGAAAACTAAAGTGCCCAGAAGTTCACTGACATGCTTAAGTATGTATAAATCGAACCCAGGTCCTCCGACTCCCAGCCTAGGGCTCTCGAACAGCCTCTCCTTTCTTCATGGCAAGTTTGCCCTAGGCCTCGGGCCTCCGCTCCACAGGCCCTCCAGGAAGAAAAACGCCCTGCTTCCCGAGGGAGGAGCTGGAATCGACCCGCGGCAGCCGGGCACAGCAGAAACCGCTCACCATGCGCTTCCCGCGGCGCTCCCCGCGGCGCTCCCCTCTCGCACCTTGCAACACTCAGGTCCCTGGGTGCTGCCCTGCGGAAAGGAGTAAGTCCCGGACGCGCCCAGCCGGCGTGACGTCAGCAGTCCGCGCCTCGGCTAATAACCACTACCGTCTCCTCTCTAGGAAGGTGGGAGCGGCTTCCGCTCGGTGGTTCCTTCCCGCACGCAGCTACGGGTTTCGGTGCTGCGCCGGTTAAGCCGGCACCAGAAACAACCTGCGACCCCACCTGGCGTGCGTCTTCCAGCACAGGGAAACGGGATGGAAGTCAGAAGGGTCGACCACAAGGAGCTCTTACTGTGCATCAGTTCATCCTGCAAGTCCGCCACATTTAGCTTCCTATGTTACTGTCCTTTGGGGATTCTCAAGGCTTTTCACAAAACTGGCTTCCACCTTCCTCACACACATCCTCATCTGGAAGAAAACTGACCTCTTCACAGAAACCCCTGACACCTTACTGACCCAGGATCTTTGTTCAGGTGGCCAAAAGAAAAAGTTCTGCAGGCCAGGCGCGGTGGCTCACTCCTGTAATCCCAGCACTTTGGGAGGCCGAGGCGGGCGGATCACCTGAGGTCAGGAGTTCAAGACCAGCCTGCCCAACATGGAGAAACCCTGTCTCTACTAAAAATACAAAAATCAGCCGGGTGTGCTGGTGGGCGCCTGTAATTCCAGCTACTCCGGAGGCTGAGGCGCGAGAATCACTTGAACCTGGGAGGGGGAGGTTGCAGTGAGCAGAGACTGAGCCACTGCACTCCAGCTTGGGTGATAGAGTGAGACTCTGTCTCAAAAACAAAACAAAACAAATCAAACACTGCTTTGGGCTCAAATCCCTGATTCTCAGTGTATGAACTTTGCAACTTTACCTCTCTGTGCCTGCTTCCTCACTTACCAGGTATAATAATGGTACCACAGGGTTGTTGTGAGGATTAAGTGAGGTTAATACGTGTGAATTACTAAGAACATCTAGTATTTTTTAAATCTTCAGTAAATGTTAGGACTATTGTCTGTGTCTCAAATCCCAGCTCCAGTACCTATTGTTCTGCCCTGACTTCACTGACCTTTCAGGGCCTCAAGGTAGCACACCCATCCCTTTCTACAAAACTTCAGATCTTGCTGGCTCTAACTCAGGAAATATTTGCACACATGGGCTCATCTTGACAGGTAAAGTCCAGAGATAAAGGCATGAGTGGAGAGTACCTTATTCACTTCCAAGCATTCCTACTGATCTGCAATCTCAGGACAATAGGGCTGTGTGCACACCATCATATCCCTAGTGTGCAGCATATAGAAGTGAACACTTGCTGTATAAATTAATGAGATGCAGCAGAGAAATTATCCATTCCAGGCCAGGCATGGTGGCTCACACCTGTAATCCCAGCACTTTGGGAGGCCATGGGGGGCGGATCACGAGGTCAGGAGTTTGAGACCAGCCTGACCAACATGGCGAAACCCCGTCTCTACTAAAGATACAAAAATTAGCCGGGCGTGGTGGTGTGCCCCTGTAATCCCAGCTACTCAGGAGGGTGAGGCAGGAGAATCACTTGAACCTGGGAGGCGGACTTGCAGTGAGCCGAGATCATGCCACTGCACTCCAGCCTGGGTGACAGAGCCAGACTCCATCTTAAAAAAAAAAAAAAATATCCATTCCAATCTTCAGATTGGCTGTTTTCCCAAAATGGAGTCCCTTTTGGACACAAATCAGGAATGCTGGTGCCACAGACTGAGGCCATCGCTATCTTTGGCTAAAAAGTGACCCTTTGTAAAATTGTCAGTTGACATGCCATGTAACAATAATGTTAAGTTTCCCTCTCCAGGTGTCACATTCTCAGCACTTCTTTGGAATCAGATAGCAAGTTCTTCCCTCCAGCCCTAACATCTCACAGGCCAGAGACCCTAGGTCTAATTATTCATTCCCCAAACATTAGGCTTCAAAGAGTCTCCAAATCAGCAGGGTGTAGTGTGTGGAGGACATTAAGTCTGGAGGGAGGCACCTGAGGTTACTAGAAACCGTAATCTGGAGTTTAATAGCAGTTTGGGCTGAGCTTCTTTCAATGAGGTGGAAAACGGATGGTAGGGATGGACACCAAAAACGTTCCAAAACACTAAAATAACCTTAGCCCTGATGTGGCCACTGGATAAATGAAACTAATGCCACATATCGTCAAGATTAGGTTTCTACCTTATGTAGAAAGTAGGGGTCAAAAGGTATCATCAACTTACTTGTCACCCTCACACTCAGGAAAGTCTGAGATTTTGAGAACAAAAAGCTTCTCAATCTTATACAAGTGAGCTCCTCACATCCTCAGGATAAGGAAAAGATTGGAGCACTAAGTGGTCAATTCTAGGCTGGATGCAGTGGCTCAGGCCTGTAAGGGAGTCCGAGTTAGGAGGATCATCTGAGGGCAGGAGTTAGAGATGAGCCTGGGTAACATAGCAAGAATCTGTCTGTACCAAAAAATAATATTAAAAAACTTTTTTTTGAGACAGACTCTCACTCTGTCACCCAGGCTGGAGTGCAGTGGCATGATCTTGGCTCACTGCAACCTCTGCCTCCTGGGTTCAAGCAATTCTCCTGCCTCAGTCTCCTTAGTAGCTGGGATTACAGGCACGCGCCACCATGCCTGGCTAATTTTCATATTTTTAGTAGAGACGGGGTTTCACCATGTTGGTCAGGCTGGTCTCAAACTCCTGACCTTGTGATCCGCCTGCCTTGGCCTCCCAAAGTGCTGGGATTACAGGCGTGAGCCACCGCACCCGGCCAGAGAATACTTTTTAAAAATTAGCCAGGCATGGTAGCTCACGCCTGTAGTCCCAACTGCTTGGGAGGCTGAGGTGAGAGAATCGCTTGAGCCTGGGAGGTCTAGGCTACAGTGAGCTAGGATCACGCTACTGCACTCCAGCCTGGGCAACAGACCGAAACCATCTCAGAAACAAAAAAAAGTAGTCAGTTCTATAAAAAATAAAGAGGCATATGGAATAGAGGTATGACCAATACAGGGAAAAGTAAATGAAATGCAAGGACACTGCAGTTTAAACCTCATCTGACACTGGTTGTGTGGTCTTGAGCAACCCCAACATCTTTTCTCTTTTGTTCTGAGGATCTGACGTGGCTCCATCTGTGTCCTTCTAAAGTCATGAATTAAATTTCAGTGCACAATAAGCAAGACACTCAAATTCTTTATCATCCCAGGGCCCAAAATCTCAGGAAGTGCTTCCACTTTGGTACTTTTTTTTTTTTTTTTTTTTTTTTTTTTTTTTTTTTTAAGAGAGAGGGTCTCACTCTCTGATACGCAGGCTAGAGTGCAGTGGCATGATGCTAGCTCACTGCAGCTCCCAACACCTGGGCTCAAGCGATCCTTCCACCTCAGGCTCAGCATCCAGAATAGCTAGGACTACAGGCATGCACCACCATACCTGGTTTATTTATTTATTTATTTATTTATTTATTTATTTTTTTTAGACAAGGTCTTGTTATGTTCCACAGGATGCTCTTGAACTCCTGGCCTGAATCAATCCTCCCACCTCAGACTCCTGAGTAGTTGGGATTACAGGTGCAAGCCACCATGCCTGGCCCAGTTTGGGATTTGTAAACTGCAAATGCCCTCCTGCTAGGCCAGCATTACTCTTCAGTTCCTGCTATTTCATAGGTATTCCAGTTGACACAGGTGTGTTTCTGCAGTTGCATGCATTTTCCTCCTGTTGACCCTGACATCAATATAATTGAAAGCGTTTAGTTAAATTGTGATAGGACTTTTAAATCTCTAATTGAAAAATATTGTTTCTTATGGGATCTTCTGTTTAATACAATCTTAGGGAAAGTTTCAGAACTGTTGCTCCTGGCAGACACTTCGTGGACACGCATACTCACCATGCCTCCTTCCTGCTGACAACTGGGGACTTAAGTCACAACCTGCAGACTAGCACAGAGAAATGTCTGACTCTTCAGTTGAGTTCAACAAATGCTTATTGAGCACCTCCTAAGTACCAGGCACTGTTGATACAAAGGTAAAGAAATTTCACATTGTTCCTTCCCTAGCAAAGCTGACAAAGGGAAAGATGTGTGAACAAACCATTATAATGTAACATAATAAAATGATGAAAAATACAAGACAGAATAAAAAATACATGAGGTTAGAGACAGCTTTGAGATATTGCCTGAGCACACTCGTAAGTGAAAAATGGGAGTTTTGCAGGCAAGCAGAAGCAGGGAAAAGGAACTGAGGCAATAGGAACACTATGTGCGGAAGTGCCAAAATAGAGTCCAGAGGTGATATTCCAGAATCACAGGAATTTGAACTATGGAATAGAACATGCCAGGCAAGGAATGGCAGCTAAGGATGGCAATTCAGGCATGGGTCAGATGAGGGGCCTCACCTGCCTCTTTAAAGGACTAGTGCTTTATTCCGAAAACAATAAGCAGCCAGTTATGCTTATAAAGATCAAGAAGAAATGTGAAAGATGGCCTAGTGGGGCAAGAAACTGGAAGACTGGTAGATAAATTTTAAAATAGGAAGTCCAGGCACAGTGGCTTATGCCTATAATCCCAGCACTTTGGGTGGCTGAGGCAGGCAGATTGCTTGAGCCCAGGAGTCCGAGACCAGCCTGAGCAACATGGTGAAACCCATCACTACAAAAAAATATAAAAATTAGCCAAGGATAGTGGCACATGCCTGTAGTCCCAGCTATTTGGGAGGCTGAAATGGGAGGATCGCTTGAGCCTGGGAGGTGGGGGTTTGCAGTAAGCAGAGACCATGCCATTGCATTCCAGCCTGGACAACAGAGTGAGATCCTGTCTCAAAAAAAAAAAATTAAAATTAAAAATAAAATAGTCTAGAAAATAAATTAGGGAGTAGGGGACTGGACTACAATAACTGCAGTGGAGATGGCTTCCAGAGATAGGAGATAACTTCAACAGGACATAGTGGTTGAATGGATATGAAGATTGAATAAGAGGGAAAACTGAGGGTGAGGGCAATGACTAGGTTTGGGGCCATGCTGGAGAGACTAGGTACATCATGGGCCAGCAACTGAGAGAAAATCGGGAGCACATAAGTCCAAGTGTAAGAATATGGGGTCAGGGTAGTGGAAAGAACAGTTATTTAACTGTTTCCCCAGAAGGTAAAAACATGCCATATTTTCTCAGCCTGAGAAAAATTCAGGATCAAGTCTGTTTCACTTGAGAAAATCTTTCCCACAAGAACTTATGGATATCATTTTTTTTTTTTTTTCTAGAAAAAGTCTCACTCTGTCTCCCAGGCTGGAGTGCACAGGCACAATCTCGGCTGGCTGCAGCCTCCACCTCCCAGGTTCAAGTGATTCTTGTGCCTCAGCCTCCTGAGATATCTTTAAAGTTTTCTTGTTTCTTTCTTAAGAAAACTCTCCCTATTCTAATCTCCACTCATAATTCTCAAGATGGTGTACAAATATTGCTATAAATAACTATTCATCAGGAAGTTCCAAGAAAGGTTCTGTTGGGCAATAGTTGATATAACTCATGAAATAAATATTTACTGAACATGTATTATGTGCCAGTAATTAATTATGCAGTTTTTATCTAGGAGGTATAAATACATTTTTGCTTTTGGTAAAATAATATTTTCACAAACATATTTAGAAAGGTTTTACAGCATTATTTTTACCCATAGTGTATTAATTTTCTCAATTATGACTTCACTGGTGGTAGGTTTTAAGAACATAATCTTCATAGAAAGTGAAAAAGATATATATTTATACCATACTCCCATTAATGGTAATTCATGGCCCAAACCTATCCCTACAAGGCAACTGCTCTAGAAAAAAAAAAAAAAAACAAAAACAAAAAAAAAAAACGATGAGTTCCAAATAACCAAGCATTCCAGAATCAACTTAGTGTTTTTAATAGCCATACTTTAAAAATGCTATAAGCTTCACAGCTTAGAAATTATTTTAAATACCAATCAAAGGCTATCCTCAATCTTCTGAAGCTCAATTTCTGGGTAGCAGTTAAGAACATGAAAGGAATTTGGGAAATAAAGGGAAAACTATGTCATTTCTCTCAAAAGAATAAAACACTGTCACAGTCAGTAGCAAAATGTGCTATCCTGATTTTCAGGGATTTGAAAAAGATTCTTTTAGAAGTCTTTCCAAAGTCATTCCACGACAAATGTCAACTTTCTTAAGAGCCCCAATGTCCAACCAAGTGAAAATTCTTTCTTCTTTCATTACTAATGCTTTCTCCTAAAGACCAACAAACTAAGTACCATTTTGTTAGGACATTGTTAGTCCTAGTGTGTCTCTCTCCTCTGGTCTCTGTACACCAACAGCCTAGGCAAACTTACAATAGACAGGTGTACACCTTAGTACAGGCAGGGTTATGTAGGTGACTTGCTCAGTCACATGCAGGCTTCCTGTTCTGAGTCTTATCACTCTAGCAGACCATTTCTTTCCTGGGTAACCATATTTCCTCTGAGATAGATATTGAGTCTTCCTGGTTCTCTGAACAGGTATGACTGCCTCCCCATAAACCAGTATCATGAATTCTAACTTGGTCTCCTATTTCATTCTTAGCTCTGAGTCACCTCAAAGCTTGGAAGAATCAGGAAAGACCTTCACCCTGATAATGAAAGAAAGCCTTCTTTACTGGCAGATCTATAGAGGTCAGCCCAGTTGTTGCTTTATATCTCATTTTTTTAATGAATGGATATGGATTTTTTTTTTTTTTTTTTTTGGCTCTTACTTGTTTCTGTCTCCTTTTCACAGGACCACTTCCACAGGTTGGGAGCCTCCCCCATGGTAGCATGGTCAGGGCTGCCTCAAATCTGGAGGCTAGACTTAGCACTACATCAGAGCTGTGCCACTTCACACTGACAGGCAGTGTTTAAGAAAAACATCTCAACCTGCCAGCCAACGAAAATGGGTGACAAGTCAGAATGTGGGGCAGGATGTAGTAAAGTGAACAGAAGTGCTAACAAATGCCTCCTCAAGCTGTAAGAGTCACATGGGGAGACAGTGGCAATGTGTAGGCTTTATCTGAAAAGCAGGAATTTCTTTCTACCCTGTATTCCCAGATGCCCACCTCAAGTAGGCTCTGCATTCCCTAAGCTCCCACCTCCATTTCTGGAAACATTCCTCTCAGAGTACAGTAGCCAAGGCTCCTTCATCCTTCCCTCCAGGAACTCTACCTGCCCCTCTACTCCCAGTCAGATTCGTAGTCATCCTCGCTAGAGAAACTGTCATAACCTAAATGGCAGCATTAGTCACCACTGTGAAGTTTCTGATGTCTGAAAAGGACTGAACTATGTCTGAAGAACTTTCCACACTCAATACACTCATAAGGCTTCTCACCAGTGTGAATTCTGTAATGTTCACTAAGGTGTGCATACTTGCGGAAGGTTTTCTCACACTCACTACATTTATAGAGCTTCTCACCAGTGTGAGTTCTATGATGTTCAGTAAGAGATGAGCTATGAGCAAAGGCTTTCCCACATTCTTTACATTTATAGGGCTTCTCTCCAGTATGAATTCTCATATGCTGAGTGAGGCAGGTGTTCTGATTAAAGCCCTTTCCACATTCATTGCATTTATAGGGTTTTTCTCCAGTGTGACTTCTCTGGTGCCGAATAAGGCAAATGCTCTGAATGAAGGCTTTACCACATTCACTGCATTTGTAGGGTCTCTCCCCTGTATGTATTCTCTGATGTTTAGTGAGTGGGGTGCTCTGAGTAAACGCTTTGCCACATTCTTTACACTTATATGGTTTTTCTCCAGTATGAATTCGCTGGTGTTTAATAAGAGATGGGCTCTGACAAAAGGCTTTGCCACATTCTTTACATTTATAGGGTTTCTCTCCACTATGAATTCTCTGATGCTGAGAGAGGTTTGCCTTTGTTTGGAAAGTTTTCCCACATTCGTCACATTTATGGGGTTTTTCCCCAGTGTGAATTCTCTGATGTTGCGTAAGATTTGAGTGTTTTCGAAAAGAAGAGCCACATTCACTGCATATGTAAGGCTTCTCACCAGTGTGAATTCTCTGATGATGAATAAGGTGTGTATTCTGATTGAATGCCTTCCCACACCTATTGCATTTATAAGGTTTCTCTCCAGTGTGAATTCTCTGGTGTTCAGTGAGATGTGAGTGATTGCGGAAGGAATTCCCACATTCATTGCATTTATAAGGTTTCTCTCCAGTGTGAATTCTTTGATGCTGAGTAAGAAATGATCGACATCGAAATGTTTTCCCACACTGCTCACATCCATATGGTTTCACTCCAGTGTGAATTCTTTGATGTTGAACAAGGAATGAACTACGACTAAAGGCTTTCCCACATTCCTCACATGTGTAGGGTCTCTCTCCAGTATGAGTTCTCTGATGTTGGGTAAGGGATGAGCTCTGAGTAAAGGTTTTTCCACATTCATTACATTTCCAAGATTTTTTCTGTGTGCAGAGAGTTGGACATTTACTTTGGTCTGAAATATCATTGGTTTGTATATTACTTGTTTCCCACTGATGCAGACTCTCTTCTGTAGAAACCCTGAGACGTGTAACAAGGCTTGAGGTCAAAAGCAAGCTTTTCTCAAAATTATATCCTTGACTAATAATTTCAGGGGGTGCTTCTTTGTGGATGAAAGTTATTCTCCCAAAACCTCCTTCCTGGAAAAGGCATGATTCAGCAATCTCCCTAGGAGAGTTTTCCTTCATGCCCTCACATGCATATTTTTCTTCAAATGTAGAATCTTGGTATTCATCCTCTTGGAACCTCTTTACTACTATCCCTGATGAGTCAATTTTACAGACATCCTGCTCCAGAGCAGGCTTGTTCTTGTTTACCCAGCCTGAAAGAAAACAGCAGAATGAATATCTCCTGTACAGGGCAGAGTGAAGGCCCCTGAAACTGTAAGACCTTAACTTTTGGCAGACCTCAGTAATGGCCTATGATGAAGGGCCAGTAACAGCAAGTGTGGCAAGTAAGTTAGAGTTGTAACTGGTAGAAGAGATATGCATTAGGGTAATGTGATCACCATTAACGAGGAACTCCCATGGAAGGGGTAGCTACAGACACCCAAGGAGCAAGAGAATGAGACAATAGAGATAAATGAAAAACAACACCCAACACACAGGCTGAGATTAGGGCAAGACAGGAAACATGAATGGTTTGTATCCAGAGTGGAGAGTGGGAGAATGTAAACAGGAAAATGCTAGAAATGAGAATGATAAAATTAGTACTGGGGAAAAGTTGGCCCCAGACATGTTCACCCACCCCTGTCCCCAACATCCCTATAAGAGACAGTTATTTTATCTCCTGAGCCTCACCCAGCTTGTCCTCTAAAATTTCCAAAGGCTTCCTATTGGCTGACTATTTCTCCCACTGCTTGTCCCTTGCTCACTCACCTGGACAAGTCTCTCTTCTAATGTCTCTCTCTTCAGCTCCTTGCATATTCAACATCCACAGATCGTCTCTTCGCTTTGATTGGAAAACACTTCAGGTCTGGAAAACTGGGAACCCTGCTCATGGGGAGAAAAGGTGCAGGGAGGGAGGGAATATTACTGTCCCAGTAAACAGAACGAAAACAAAGAGCTGTTGCCTAGGGACACTATCTAATAACACACACAATAACTCTCAGGATAACAATGTGGAAGCATCCGCAAAAATCAGCATTGGCTTGTAGCCTCCTAGGTTCACACCCCATTTGCCAGCTGTTCAAGAAGTGGTAACATCAGACTAACATACTATCAAATATTTAAGCACTTGATAAGTAAATCAGAATGTTATTCATTACCTTTTTATAATTATAAAGATTAAACGAATAGGAATATTCACATCAATTAGTACACTCTGGCCATCATACAATAATCTATATGAAAAGCCAGTTAATATAGTTAAAAGTTGTATAGCAAAATGTCCTCATAGCAAAGCTTGTGCATTAAGTCTGATTTACCCACTTCTACCAAATGCCAAGGAGCTGAGATAGTGTTAGGGAATGCTATCTACTTGATACAAACTAGAGACACACTGATTGTCCCTTCTTCAAGATGTCATATCAATTAAACAGTTTTTCTTCAGGTATAGCTCAGTGTCAGAGAACAGGCTGCAGTTAAAAAGAAACAGAAATAAATTTAACTGTGAAATAAGTTTTGACTTACAAAAAAGTTGCAAAAATACCAGTTTCTGTAAATGCTGCTTCTTAAAAATATCAATACCAAAACTGTTCACTCAAAAATATCTCTCCATTTAACCTTGAAGTGAGAAGCAGAACTGGCAGCATTATTCAAGGAAAAAGGGAAGATCCAGATATGATTTTACCAGAGTCAAGAACTTGGAAGACATGAAAGAATAAAATAAGTCTGCTCAAGTACATAATAAGCTTGGTCTTGTGGACTTCTTAGTGAAGTCTGTGCTTCTGCATTGAGTTTTAAAGATTTAAGAAGATCCTTGGCCTGGAGCAGTGGCTTACGCCTGTAATCCCAGCACTTTGGGAGGCTGAGGCAGGCGGATCACCTGAGGTCAGGAGTTTGAGACCAGCCTGGCCAACATGGAGAAACCCTGTCTCTATAAGAATACAAAAATTAGTTGGGCATGATGGCAGGTGCCTGTAATCCCAGCTACTCGGGAGAATGAGGCGGGAGAATCACTTGAACCCAGGAAGCAGATGCTGCAGTAAGCTGAGATTGCGCCATTGCACTCCAGCCTGGGCGACAGAGCAAGACTCCATCTCAAAAAAAAAAAAAAAAGAAGATGATCCTACCTGGTTTTCCTGATTCTGATTCTCATTCACAGGAAGAACATAAAGGAACCTGTAAGCTACTATACAATCCTACAGAGACTCAGAGACTCATGCAAGCAGAGTTGCATTTGGGTGACTAATCAGTGCTAGACGCTGGAAAAAGAAGCCAGACACCCTATCTGGCTCCAACTTGTGTCATAGCTGGACAAAGACATTAAATGAATCATTTCAAATATGGGAGTTACAAAACTGCAAGTATGGGGTGCTACAGAATGTAAAGCACAGGGGACCTAATATAGTCTGGGTCCCCTTTAGACGTGTGAAAGGGAAAAGAAGAGAGACAAAATGAACATACAAAAGGAATCAAGCTCAGTACTTTGGAGGAATAAAGGAAACATAGTAATGCCCAAGTATTAAACACCAGAAATGAGACATAAAAGCCTGAGGCAAGCCAGTTCAAACAGAACCCTAAAAAACATTTTAAGGACTTTACCCTAAAGTGAAGAGAAAGCCATAATAAGGATTTGAAACAGTTTGATAGAATACATGACATGATTAGATCCACTGTTTTAAGGAAACATATTCCTCTGTCTACAGCAACAGATAATCTGCGTAGTGGTGAGGAGTGGGAGGGCAAGGTGAAGGCTTGAAGATCCCTTGTGAGGCTATTTCAGTAGTCCAGTATGGGGACTGGATTAAGAGAAAGGTTCAACCAGAATGAATGAATATTGGTGGGAAGGGTGAGAGAGGGAGATGTCAAGGATAATTAGGCAGTTTTGGGAGATGACAGTGATCTTTAGTGACACTGGTACACTGGTCTGGAAAGGAATAAGTTATCTTTAGTCTCAAATATCCAAACAGAAAGTAGAACAGGGCATACACAGCTGAAAGAGAGGAGAGAGGTGTGGCCTGAAGAGTTTTAGACATAAAAAAAGTACTTGAAATCACAGGAGTAACAGATAAAATCTTTAAAGCAATGTGGCTAGGAAAACTCCAACAGTGAGTCTAAACACTTAAAAGATCTCTAATCCCAGCAAGGTGAGGTAGCTCACACTTGTAATCCTAGCACTTTAGGAGGCCAAGGTGGGAAGATCACTTTAGGCCAGAAGTTTGAAACCAGCCTAGGCAACATAGAAAACTTCACCTCTACAAAAAAAAACAAAAATTAAGTTGGGTGTAGTGGTGTGTACCTATAGTCATAGCTACTAAGGCGGGAGGATCACTTGAGTCCAGGAGTTCGAGGCTGCAGTGAGCTATTAATATGATTGCATTGGCCGGGTGTGGTGGCTCATGCCTGTAATCCCAGCACTTTGGGAGGCTGAGGCAGGTGGATTACTTGAAGTTGGAAGTTCGAGACCAGCCTGACCAACATGGAGAAACCCTGTCTCTACTAAAAATACAAAATTAGCCAGGCATGGTGGCACATGCCTGTAATCCCAGCTACTTGGGAGGCTGAGGCAGAAGAATCCCTTGTACCCGGGAGGCGGAGGTTGTGGTGAGGATGGATCGTGTCATTGCACTCCAGCCTGGGCGACAAGAGCGAAACTCCATCTCAAAAAAAAAAAAAAAAAAAAAAAGATTGCATCACTTCACTCCAGCCTGGGCAACAAAACAAGATCCTGTCTCAAAAATAAATTAATTAAATAAAATATCTCTAATCCTCTAAGAGATGTAAATAAAAATAATTTAATATATGATAAAAGCAGCATTTCTAATCACAAAAAGATAGATAATTCATAAATCAAGTTGGCACCATTGCTAACTACCTGGAAAAAAAAGTGCGATTACTATATCATGCCACACACCAAAATAAACCCAAACCAATTAAAGGGTTAAATAAAAAAAGTAAAACCACAAAATAAAGTATGACCAATAATTCATTCTAGGGTTAGCACTTTCAAGCATGATGCAAAATGGATAGGACAAAAATTGATAAATCTGACCACATAAAAACAATACTCTGTATATCCAAAATACAAAGAAAATGAAGAAAAACAAGCTTTAAAAAAGTATTTTTCAGTTATATATCAAGGGATAGACAGACCTAATAAAGACTTCTTACAAATGAGTAAGAAAAAAAGATGAACTGAGAGAAAAATGGAAAATACAAAAAATACACCAAGAATTACAACAGGCCAGTAAACATATCAAAACAATGTTCCATCTTTATGGTAAACAAGGAAATGGAAACTGAAAGAATGAAGAATCAATTTTTACATCAAACTGGAAAATCTATCTTTAATGCTACACTCAAGATTCACAAAGGTACAGGGAGTTTCTCACATACCGGTGCGAATGTAAGTTGGTACCATCTTTCTGGAGCTAATCTGGCAATATACATCAGGTGTGAAAGTTGTAGCTTCAGTTATAGTTAGGATGCTGTGATCAACATTTTGTGGATACAGGAATTCAGAACAGAATGCTCATTTTGTATATACACCACCTGTAGTGTACCTCAGAGTCATCAGTATGCCATAAAAAATGACTATATTCGGCTGGGCGCAGTGGCTCACACCTGTAATCCCAGCAGTCTGGGAGGCCAAGGCAGGTGGATCACCTGAGGTCAGGAGTTCGAGACCAGCCTGCCCAACATGGTGAAACCACGTCTCTACTAAAAAATACAAAAAATTAGCCGGGCGCAGTGGCAGGCACCTGTAATCTCAGCTACTCAGGAGGCTGAGGCAGGAGAATTGCTTGAACCCAGGGGGCAGAGGCTACAGTGAGCCGAGATCACGCCACTGCACTCCAGCTTGGGCGACAAGAGCGAAACTCCGTCTCAAAAAAAAAAAAAAAAGACTATATTCTTTGACCTAGTAATTCTACAAATAGAATTTTCTCAGAAAGAAGTAAATTTCCAGAGAGAAGAGAAACAGAATTCTTCTGTTACTTGTAAAAATATCCCCTGAAATGTACATGGAAATAAAAGTTTTTCTACTGGTGGACACTGAGGATTAGCAAATTATGGTACTTCTAGTTGGTGAAAATTATTTAGGCATTAAGATCATTAAAAATGAAAATATGTGTTTATTGGGAAAAATATTTATGCCATATGTTGAAAAAATCCAGTATAGTAAAATTTCAAGTAGTAATATAATGTAAAATATATGTTTGTTAAAATATACATGTGTCGTGCTTGTGGTTTCAGCTACTCAGGAGGCTGAGGTGGAAGGATCACTTGAACATGGGAGGTAGAGGTCGCAGTGAGCTGTGATAGCACCATTGCATTCCAACCTGGGTGACAGAGTGAGATCCCTCTCAAAAATTAAAAATTAAAAATACATCTGAATAAGATCAAGAAGGAAAAATAATCATCACTGTGGTAAAATAATGAATTGTGAATAATTTCCTCAAATGTCCTCTATTATCTATATTTTGCTCCACTTTAAAAAAAAAACAAATCTATAAGAATATATAACAAATTATTTATTGTGATCATATCTGAAGAATAAAATTATGGTAAACTTTTGCCTTAAGGCCTATCTTTTTGTAATGTTTGAAAATTTTCCCATAGGAATAACTAACTTCTGTAATCAAAGAAAAAGTGAAAAAGCATAATCAGAGATGGCCAGAGATTTATGTACAAAGATCACACTATTACTACAATTGTTAAATAAACAGGCAAATAAACATTGATAGACTAGCAAAGATAGCTTATGAAGGTATCAAAAATCATAATTTCAAAGAATATTCATGAGAAAATATAATATGTTAAAACAGGAAGATACAAAACACTAAAAAACAAGAAATATGCACACATATACTGGCATTAAGCACTCAATAAACAGAAACTATTGTTAATAAACAGATAAAACACACACATTTAAAAAAGACATAAAGAAAACCCACCAAAATATTAACACATTTATCTCTAGGTCAGTTAATGGGTCACTTTAGTTTGTCCTTTATACTCTTCTATATTTTTACTTCTCCTTCAATAAACATATATTACTTTTATAGGTAGAAAAAGTTACTTTTTAAAAACCCAGAAACAAAAACAAAAACAAAATGCCAGATCCAATGGCTATGGTATTGGCCTCCCATTCACAAGATGATAGTAGACTGGATTGGGACTCAGGAAAGTTTGCTCTGCCAATAGCCCATGTGAGTGGGCCTACATGACAGGCTATTTATCTGAAAAGGGTGACAAATTAGACAATATTTACGGGTCATTCCAGCTCTGATAATCTGTGAATCCTTGATGAGTTAATTCACATAAAGCATTCAAAAAGATATCTACTCGATGGCAGGCACTCAACAGGGGTTAGATGCTATTATGGTTGATACTAAAACCTACGGAGAAAGAAAGACATCTTGGTGATGACCACATCCTTCCAATCATGGATCATCTGAGCTGTCAGCAGTTTGTCAATGTCAAGGGTCAGCAAACATTTTCTGTAACAGGCCAGAAAGCAATTTTTTTTAGGTTTAATGGGTTAAATGGAAAATATAGTCTCTGTCTCAACTATTCAACTTTGCCTTTGTAGTCTGAAAACAGAAACAGACAATATGTACTGAATGAGCTTGCCTGTGTTTTAATAAAACAGTTTTACCAAAAAAAGTGGCAGACCAAATTTGGTCCATATTTGCTGACTCCTAGGTCTATAAGTTGCCCAGAAAGTAATGTACAGGTGCTTCTACAAATGCCTATTGTGGAATAATCTGGCTGTTAGTGATTTTAAGATGCTAAAAAGATCCCTCTGCAGATCTGGGGAAAGCTGAGTATTATGGTGAAAGGTAAAAAGGAAACAGGCTCTTAATAGCCCTATCCTGCTAACCTATTAGAGAGCTGGCTTCCTCCCTCTACCTTGTAAGCTTTTCCCCAGATGCCACCTCCTTACCCCTCAATAATTAGCTAAAAGAATCTAAGCAAGCTAGATGAAGTTTTTCAAGAATTTTTAACAATCCCTCCAACGAGACCACATTGAAATGTACTCCTCTCTGAAGCCCTTCTTGGTCTGCATTTTGGCACCAAACAGTGCACTCACCCAAGCTGTGGCAGTACACTTTATCTCTTATGCAGCCTTGGGTCACTTAGCAATGTGATCTGGGACAAGTTTTCTGTTCTCTCTGTACCTCAGTTCCCTCACTTAAAAACTACACATAGGCCTGGCGCGGTGTTTCACGCCTATAATCCCAGAACTTTGGGAGGCCAAGGCGGGTGGATCACTTGAGGTTGGGAGTTCGCGACCAGCCTGACCAACACTGTGAAACCCCGTTTCTACTAAAAATACAAAATTAGCCAGGTGTGGTGGCGCATGCCTGTAATCCCAGCTACTCGGGAGGCTGAGGCAGGAGAATCGCTTGAACCCGGGAGGCAGAGGTTGTGGTGAGCCCAGATCACCCCGTTGCACTCCAGCCTGGGCAACAAGAGTGAAATCCCGTCTCAAAAAAAAAAACAAACCAAAAACCAAAAAACAAAACTGTACACGCAATACGCTGTTGTGAAGATTAAATCAATTAGCACAAATGCTTCAAATAGTGCCTGGTATACAGTAAGTGCTAAATAAATGTAGTTTAAAATATTACCACCAAAATCTGCTTATGCCCTTATCGTCCTAAACAAGACTGGAAGCATCTTTACATGTGGCAGTCTCCGATGTCACTCTTTTGTAGCCTAGCCACTAAATTCGGGGTAATGTTTGGCATATAATGGATAGTAATCCTTCATTGGGAGGCATTAAGGTTTGCATACATGCTATCACATACAAGCTGTCAACTGAGCTTTGTGAAGAAGCAAGGAACAGACTTCTAGACAGTACTTTAGAGATTTCTGTACCCTCCAGAATTGTAACTCAGGTCTCAAGACTCCCAACGAGTGCACTTTACGCTATTTGCCGTCTCCTATAAAAACAGGCTCTAAACAAGTTTCGGAGCTACAGGATCAGCCGGGGGAAGAAACTGGTATCTGATCCCCAGGACCTCGTTTCCTGACATGGGTCCTAGGTCTGTCTTGATCATCTATCCATCACTCATTCACTCATTCATTCATTCACTCCGCCATTTTCCTAGGCATCTCCTCTGTGCCGGGCACTGTGCTGGGCCTTGGAGTCTGCAGTGCTGAGGCTGCAGGCTGGGCGGGCCGAGCCGCTAGGAGTGCCCTACGTCCGGGCAGCACGCGTAGGCAGCAACGTGGAGAGGACCGAGGCCGGGGCTGACTTCCCAGATAACCCTCCAGCCCGCCGCCCCAGCAATGGCTCGCCGGGGTCCTCTCTTTTCCCCTCCCTGGGTCCCAACTCGCTCACTGTGAGATCCACGGACTCTCCGCGGAGCGGCGCAGGCGCTCCCAGAGGTGGACTGGGGCCAGGACACCAGCCTTAACTTCTGAAACCGGAAGAATGGTGGCGCGGCCGGTAGTGCGTCAGCAGCGAGCTCGCGCATCCATTCTCTGATTCTCTAGGAAGCGGGAGGAACATCTCTATGGGACCCTAGAAGAAGGCATTCCCTCCAAACCCAGCCTGTAACTCCAGCTTTGTTTCCCGCCAAGCCCAGCCTGTAACTCCAGCCTTGCTTCCCGTCAAGCCCAGTCGCGTTCCTGATATCCCATTAACAACTATCTTGGCCTGAAACACAGTGGCTACCTCAACCCTCAGGAAAACTGTAGAGGGAGACGTTAGGGATGGAAAGGATGCTGGGTAGGAGCCGGAATGGGCCATCTCAACAAGAAACTAGTATATTCTACCTGCTTAAAATAGTCTCTATTAAGAACCTTGAGTGATCCCCTGTTATGTTAGAATAAAGGACAAACTCCCAATCTAGGCCCACACAAACTGACCTCAATATCAACATCTCTTATTTGGCTATCATATACATTCTGCTCTAAAGTTACTGAATTCCCATTGGCCCCCTGAAATCCCTTGCCTCTTCCTGACTCTAGATCTTTTTCCCAGGATTTTCCCTTTGGAATACTCTCCCTTCCTTCTACCTGCTCTCCCTAACCTCAGCTATCCAATTTATCCTGGTTCTTCAAATCCCAATGCCAATTCTCACTTGACCACCTAGACTGTTGCCCTTATGGGTCTTTACACTCACATATCACTATTAGTTATTCTAGCTCTAGCTAGCCTTCTATTCAGTGCCCCCCTAAATGCATACACTTGTATTTCTTTCGTAGGTATTGTTAGGAAGATACACACAAGTAGCATCCCACCCAAGGACAACTGTGAAAGACCCAATCAGTTCATTTTTATACAACTCTAATCAGCTATATGGAGCTATTATTTATCATTATATCTCAATGTTTAGCACAATGATTGGTAGAGAAGGCATTCAATAAATACTTGTTGAATTCGTTAATCAGAAACAGGTGAAATTTAGATTATTGGCATTTTTGATAAACTGAAAAATGAGGATACCATAGATTAAATCCAGAAAGCAAGCTCTCTGCACATCTGAAAGGATGTACCACGTAGCTGGCATATTCCCGTTTCTTTGGCTCACTCTATCCAATTGTTATCTCCCTTGGTAGAATGTAAGCTGTATGAAGGCAGGGGCCTTCTCTGTTTCATTCATACTATATCCCTAGCACCTAGAGCATGGCTGACATACTAGGCATTCAATCAGTATTTGATGAATGACTAGGTCACCATCAACTTCCAACAAGTTACAGGAAATAGTTACTCCACATAGATGTATACTGCTTGTTTGAGAGCTAAAACTGCTGGAAAATTATCTTTCTTCCCCCAGATTACCTAAAGTGTACATTCCAGAGATGAATGTTGCTTCCCTGTGAGAAATAGAAACTCCTTCTAAATTATATTTACCTGACCCCCACCAAAAGAGATTATATGAAGGTATTTTCCATTCTGGGCGGCGGGGTCGGGGACGGGTTGAGAGGAGAGGGAAGGGGAAACCGGTGCAGAGGGGGAGGCACCAGGGAAGGTGGTAGGGGCCTGGTGGGGGCATCCGGTGGAGCTGGGGTCCCCAGGCTCAGTCCGGAGGAAGCGAGGCTGCGCTCGCTGGGCAGTCGGAGGGGACGGGACGCACCAGAGGGTGGGTGGACTCGCCCTGTAGGTGACTGCGCCGTCCAGGCCCGTCCTGCCTGGCCTTAGGTGTCCTGGATGAGGCTGCCCCGTGCGCCCCCGATGATTTTATAATCAATGGATAAAGTGGGGAAAATGTGGAATAACTTCAAGTACAGGTGTCAGAATCTCTTCGGTCATGAAGGAGGAAGCTGTAGTGAAAATGTTAACATGAACTCCGACAAATGTCTGTCTGTCAAAGAGAAAAACATCAGCATAGGAGACTCAACTCCTCAGCACCAAAACCGTCCCTTAAGAGAAGATGTTGCCTTACAACTGGGATTAAGCCCTTCAAATAATTCTTCAAAGAGAAATCAAAATTGTGCCACCGAAATTCCTCAAATTGTTGAAATAAGCATCGAAAAGGATAATGATTCTTGTGTTACCCCAGGAACAAGAGTTGCACGAAGAGATTCCTACTCTCGACATGCTCCATGGGGTGCGAGGAAAAAACATTCCTGTTCTACTAAGACCTAGAGTTCATTGGATACTGATCAAATGTTTGTTAGAACTCGAAGTGGACTTCAAAGGAGAGAGAGGCGCTATGGTGTAAGTTCTGTACACGACATGGACAGTGTGTCCAGCAGAACTGTAGGAAGTCGCTCTCTGAGAAAGACGTTGCAGGATACTGTGGGCTTGTGTTTTCCCATGAGAACTTACAGCAAGCAGTCAAAGCCTCTCTCTTCCAATAAAAGAAAAATCCATCTTTCTGAATTAATGCTTGAGAAATGCCCTTTTCCTGCTGGCTCAGATTTAGCCCAAAAATGGCATTTGATTAAACAGCATACAGCTCCTGTGAGCCCACATTCAACATTTTTTGATACACTTGATCCATCTTTGGTTTCTACAGAAGACGAAGAAGTTAGGCTTAGAAAGACAAGACGGCTTAGTATTGAAGAAGGGGTTGATCCCCCGCCCAGTGCACAAGTACATACATTTGAAGCTACTGCACAGGTTAATCCATTATATAAACTGGGACCAAAGTTAGCTCCCGGAATGACTGAAATAAGTGGGGACAGTTCTGCAATTCCACAAGTTAATTGTGACTCGGAAGAGGATACAACCACCCTGTGTTTGCAATCACGGAGGTAGAAGCAGCGTCAGATATCTGGAGACAGCCATACCCATGTTAGCAGACAAGGAGCTTGGAAAGTCCACACACAGATTGATTACATATAGGTCTCGTGCCTGATTTGCTTCAAATTACAGGGAATCCCTGTTACTGGGGAGTGGTGGACCGTTATGAAGCAGAAGCCCTTCTTGAAGGGAAACCTGAAGGCACGTTTTTGCTCAGGGACTCTGCACAAGAGGACTACCGGAAACTCTGTGAGTTTCCGCCTCTACAATAGATCCCTGCATGCCCGAGTTGAGCAGTGGAATCACAACTTTAGTTTCGATGCCATGACCCGTGTATATTTCATTCCTCCACGGTAACTGGACTTTTAGAACATTATAAAGATCTCAGTTAGTGCATGTTTTTTTGAACCATTGCTTGCTATATCACTAAATAGGACTTTTCCTTTTAGCCTGCGGTATATCTGTCGCACAGTAATCTGCAGATGCACTACGTATGATGGAATTGATGGGCTCCCTCTACCCTCAATGTTACAGGACTTTTTAAAAAAGTATCATTATAGAACGGGTGCGGTGGCTCACGCCTGTAATCCCAGCACTTTGGGAGGCCGAGGCGGGAGGATCATGAGGGAAGGAGATCGAGACCATCCTGGCTAACACGGTGAAACCCTACTAAAAATACAAAAAAAAAAACAAACATTAGCCATGTGTGGTGGCGGGGGCCTGTAGTCCCAGCTACTCGGGAGGCTGAGGCAGGAGAATGTTGTGAACCCGGGAGGCGGAGCTTGTAGTGAGCCGAGATTGCTCCACTGCACTCCAGCCTGGGCGACAGAGCGAGACTCCATCTCAAAAAAAAAAAAAAAAAAAAAAAAAAAAAAAAAAGTATCATTATAAACACAAAGTTAGAGTTTGCTGGTTAGAACGAGAACCAGTCAAGGCAGAGTAAACTCTCCTGTCCCCAAAGGGTGTTAACTAGGTCCGCTTTCATGTGCATCAGGCAGTACACCTACAGCAAACACACGTAGCAGTGTTAGGCTTTTTCATACAGTATGTAAGCTTAGTGTTAGTGTCTGTCAGATGCGACCTACTGTTATTTGTTCAGATAAACATGGTGCCTATTGGAACAACAGAGGATAGAGCTACAGGTGTTCAGTAAGACTACAAACACATTTTGCCGATTTCACTAACAATTTGGTTTTTAATGGCTGTAGTATTTGAGTGAGGCAACACTGGGGCATTTGTTATGAAGAATTCTATTTCTTACTGAGGAACAAATTATTAATACTGAATGAGTATTTCAACAGTGTGACTAATGTTTGAAATTATTTTTTCTAAGAGTTTTTCTACAATCTTCCAAACGTAATGATGTTTGTATTTACTATAAATCAAGCTTTGGAAGTCGAAAAAATAAATAAATAAAAGACTGCCTTCATTTTAGAAAAAAATGCAATTTTCTGGCCACAAGGGCATAGTGCAGTTCACTTAACTGTTGATGTAGTTTATAATCAGACGCCTTTTCTCTTCTGCAAAAGGTACTGTTAAGAAAACCAGATTTTCTAAATAGCCATTCTTAAAATTTCAGACTTACAAAGCTAGTAGTAGAATTTTATTGAAAGGCCCTAGGTTTTTTTTTTTTAATGAGTGCTTTAACTTAAAACAGGCATTTGAAATACCTGTTGCAATGCAGTCTTGCGTGTGATTTTTTTTCAGTTGATGTACAGTCTAATTGTTTCATAAAAGTTGGATCTTTTCCTATGTCCAGGATGATTTTGTGAACTATGAAGTACATGAGACTAGAAGATGCCCAAGCAAGTCAGATAATAGTAACTACAATGGTTGCTGGTTGCTGATATTGAGGTTATTGTTGAACTGTAATTAATAATTTGGATGGCAGTATTTATCTCTTTTTTGTAAACTCTCATACCTGAATTGCTTAAGTATAATTTATAGAATTTCAGTGCAGTTAATTCTTTTTTTTTTTTTTGAGACGGAGTCTCTCTCTGTCGCCCAGGCTGGAGTGCAGTGGCGCGATCTCGACTCACTGCAAGCTCTGTCTCCCGGGTTCATGCCATTCTCCTGCCTTAGCTTCCCGAGTAGCTGGGACTACAGGCGCCCGCCACCACGCCCTGCTAATTTTTTGTACTTTTAGTAGAGACGGGGTTTCACCGTGTTGGCCAGTATGGTCTCGATTTCCTGACCTCGTGATCCACCCGCCTCAGCCTCCCAAAGTGCTGGGATTACAGGCGTGAGCCACTGCGCCCAGCCCAGTGCAGTTAATTCTTAATGGAAAATCAGAAACCTAAATTGCAGATTTAAAAGGTACTGTACAGCCATTATATCTGTAAATAACTTAGCACGTTTTTGTCACTTAGAATAATATGTGCTACTACGTGAGTGAGCTCTTTTGGAAGTTATATCAAGTTCTAGTGTTTGTTTCTTAATAACTGAACTGAATTTGCAGTCCTAGACATTTTGCACTAAAGTAGCCGAATCCATTCTTGTGCCTTTTTGTTAATGTGCTCTGTATCACTGGTGAGTGCTTCATAGTTTCCTTACCTGCTGCTACAGAATGTTATTTTACATCTTTATGGCTATCGCCAAGGCTGCAAAAAAGAAAAGCTATATTTGTATACAACACTAACCCTTTGACTGCTAATGTATGTTTTTGCTTGCTGTGCCTTGTTATGACTGCTTTTTTGTGCTAATAAAGTATGTTTGGTGTAAAAAAAGAGATTATATGAAGAATATGCCATAGGGAGGTCGGCTGTTTTTCTATGCAAGATGTAACTATTAGTAAGTTTGCATTTGCTTATCCAATATCCATTCTCCCTTTCTTTCTAACATTCCATCGCCATCTTACAGACAACGGTAACAGGCTTATAGAAGTTAACTCAACCATCCCGGCTAAAACGGTGAAACCCCGTCTCTACTAAAAATACAAAAAATTAGCCGGGCGTAGTGGCGGGCGCCTGTAGTCCCAGCTACTTGGGAGGCTGAGGCAGGAGAATGGCGTGAACCCGGGAGGCGGAGCTTGCAGTGAGCCGAGATCCCGCCACTGCACTCCAGCCTGGGCGACAGAGCGAGACTCCGTCTCAAAAAAAAAAAAAAAAAAAAAGAAGTTAAGTCAACCAGTGTCACACAGTTTGTACATTACAGAATCAGGTCAGAAAGCTAGAACTTTGAATTCCAAGCCCAGTGTCCCTTGAAGGCTACAGCAGACAATCCTCTTTCCTTTTCATCATTTCAGTTGTCCTTGTCTAAATTTTCTCCTTTTTCCCCACACCATCTGTAAGCGAGTCAGAACTATATCCATGAATTTTAGATCCACTGGCCACCAGTTTAGCAAGGATATCATGGCAAGTACTGCAAGTTGCCCACAAAATATCTATTCTCCTCATCCTCCTTATAGCCAAACTGAATTTTGTTCAGAGTGGCACTGTGCCCAGATTTCTCAAGTTCTTTCTCAGCTAAAGCTGGCCATATGATACATCTCTAGCCTAGAACATATAAATGGAGGGCCAGGCATGGTGGCTCATGCCTGTAATCCCAGCAGTTTTGGAGGCCGAGGCAGGCAGATCACCTGAGGTCAGGAGTTCAAGACCAGCCTGACCAACGTGGCAAAACCCCATCTCCACTAAAAGTATAAAAATTAGCTGAGCTAACTGTTGTCCTAGTTACTTGGGAGGCTGAGGCAGGAGAATCGCTTGAACCTGGGAGGCAGAGGTTGCAGTGAGCAGAGAATGTGCCACTGCACTCCAGGCTGGGTAACAGAGCAAGACTCTGTCTCAAAAAAAAAAAAAAAAAAGAAAAAGAAAAAGAAAAAAAAAAGAAAAAGAAAAGAAAAGAAAAAAGGAAAGAAAGAAAATATAAATGGAGAGCTTATAGCTTATAGATGGGCCCTCCAGGAATGTTGCTTTTTTCCTAATTAGAAAGAACAGACTTAATTGGAAAATGTTTTTTGTCCTTTGCACTTTCTCCTTCTCCTTTTCTGGAACACACTTATGAGCCTGCTGATGCAGCAGCCATCTTATAATCAAGAAGTGTCAAGCATGAAACTACTAAACATATTGTAAGGTGGCAGGACTTGAGGAAAAAATGAGCCTGGTTCTGGAGCTGCTATAGCAGCCCTCAACTGCCTCCCCTGGGAACCTTGTTAAATAATAAAAAATAACCTTTGGACTATCCACCAAGTTGGATGCTAAATGCTTTCCCACCTGATTACCTCTCCAAAGGGAATATATAAAAAGGGACATTCTACAGACATGAAAGTTGTGACTTTAGGAGAGCTAAAACTGCTAATAATTCATCTTTCCAATCCAACAGATTATAGGAAATACAAAGTCCATACGAGTGAATTTCCCTTCTTTTCTTTCTTTCTTTTTTCTCTCTATTTTTTTTTTTTTTTTCTGAGATGGACTCTGGCTCTGTCATCCAGGCTGGAGTCTAGTGTCATGATCTTGGCTCCTTGCAATCTCTGCCTCCCAGGTTCAAGTGATTCTCCTGCCTCAGCCTCCTGAGTAGTGGGGATTACAGGAGCACATCACTACACCCGGCTAATTCTTGTATTTTTAGGAAAGACGGAGTATCACCATGTTGGCCAGGCTGGTCTCGAACTCCTGCCCTCAAGTGATCCACCCGCCTTGGCCTCCAAAGTGCTGGGATTACAGGTGTGAACCACTGCACCCAGCCGAATTTCCCTTTTCGGTGAGATACCACTACTGGAAACTCAGTTTTTCACTCCAGCAGATTACATGAAGAAAAGATTGTTTAGAAATATATATTATTAACCTAAGTGATAAATCCTTACTAATAACTCATCTTTCTTCTCCATGAAGGTAACACAATTTACAGAGGCAGTGCAAGATTAAGATTTTTTGAGGCTCTAAATATGAAAAATGCAGTGAGCCACCCGAACTTCATTACACAATTCAAAAGAAAATAACCATACGTTTAAGGAATTCAATCAAGTTTTGAATTTTCTCCTACTTCAAAGCATTATTAAAAATACTAAATTCTTTTTGCTTTTCCTTTTTCTTTGGGTTCCTGCTTGGTTTATAGCCAAAAAACATGCTTGATCTACTTTTTTTTGAGCAGTTAAGCACTGAACACAATGCACTAAGAAGAATATTGCTTTTCTGGGTGAAATGGAATTCTTCACAACTTGGCATTTTTCCCATGAAAGTTGTAAGAGTTACACACTCCACAAAGCTATGTCACTTCTCTGCATGAGACAGAAATACACCTAACTTTATTCCCCTCTGCAGATTATGTAAAGAAAGCAAGGCCCAAAGTTGTATGTTTAATCTCTGACAAACAAGTATTTTTATCTTTGTCTTCTTACATCGGGGTACACGTAGTGCCCAATGCACAGTAGTGTATTATTACCTTTCTCCAGGAAATACAACTGCTGGTAACTCAGATTTCCTCCCCAAGAAAATTATATGAAATGTACAATACAAATGTGTACATTGGGTGACACCTGATTGCGTGAACTACACTCTGTACAGCATTGCACATTGCTTCTCTGGTTGATGGATTGGCAAACTGTAGGTCAAATCCAGCCCATTGCTTGTTTTTCAAAAAAAAGTTTTACTGGAACACAACTATGCTAGTTTATTTCCTTTCTTTCTATTGCTACTTCCACACAACAATGGTGGAATTGAGTAGTTGTGACAGAGATCACATGACTCTCAAAACCTAAACTAATCACTAGCTTTCTGTAAAGGGCCAACCCCTGCTACTGTGAAATCCAAGTTTTGGTAGCTCAGCTGCCCTCCCAAAGCATACTACAGGACACACTCACTACACAGAAATATATGTTGGTTCCTATGCCTAGTCCTTCTAATGGTAACTTTGTTTTCCTTCTTAAAGAAGCAACATAAAGTTTGGTGTAGAGTATATTTAGTGAATTAGTAGTTGCCAAATTCAACAAGCATTTTCTCCCTCTTTTTCTTCCTGTCAAAACCCCATTTTGTTTTGACAAAACATGGCTTCTTCCATGCAGCCATGGTCGTCATGGAAACAACTTAATCCCAACTCCAAAGGGGTCTCTTGATTCACTTAAGAGTAATGCAATTCCCCTTGCCTATGACTGCCTCAGAAATGGGCATATATCAGTTAGCTTTTGCTTCTTAACGAACCACTCCTAAACTTAGTGGCTTAAAATAACAAACATTTATTACTTCTCATAATTCTGTGGGTCATCTAAGTGGTTTTCATATCTGGGCTGGCTCAAAGTCGGTTGTTTAGGACAGCATGGCCTCATTCTCACATCTTGTTGGTTGGTGAGGGTTGGGGTGGGGGGCAGTGCTCAGCTGGGATGTCTTGTTTCTGCTCCACATGGTCACTTGTCCTCCCTCAATCACAGGCTTCTTAACATGGTAGCCTCAGAGTTCCACAGATCAGCAAAAGATGGCAAGCTCCAATGTACAAACACTTTTTAAGTCTCCGCTTACAACAAATTTACTAATGTTTCACTGGCAAAAACAACTCACGTGCTGAGACCATGTTCAAGGGGTAGAGAAATAGACTCTACCACTTAATGGGAAGAGCTGCAAGTGGCATTCCAGAGAGGCGGGGGGAAAATGTATAGTGGTTTTTGTCATCTGTCCAGGATGTATGACCCATTTTGGGCTAGGGAGAGAGAAAGGAGGCACCTGAAAAAGATTTTTTGGCATTCTGAGCAAGCATACAGAAACAGTTCTGTCTTGTAGGGGACAAAATTGTGAGTGGCTATCAGAGACAGAACACCATAATCATGTTGCTCTCTGCCTGGGGATGAAGCCAATACCTAGAGGAGGGCAGAGCAAGAAATTCAAAGTGTAACAGAGCCAGAGTTACTGGCCTTAGCTAACCCTGAAGCCCACCCTCCCTTGGTTGTTCAGTAACCCATACCAAAACATTTCCTTTTTCATTAAGCCATTTTGAGTTGGGCTTTCCATTTATCAAAGATAGCATTCTCTAAACTTTCCACTTTCAATAGCACTTGCCTAGGACTGTTTTTTCTTAAGAGACAGAGTCTTGCTCTGTCACCTAGACTGGAATGCAGTGGCACAATCATAGCTTACTGCAGCCTCCAGCTCCTGGGCTCAAGGAATCCTCCTGCCTCAGCCTCCTGAGTAGCTGAGACTGCAGGCATGTGCCACCACACCCAGCTAATTAAAAAAAATTTTTTTTGTAGAGGTGGGGGTCTTAATATGTTGCCCAGGCTGGTATCCAACTCCTGGACTTAAGCAATTCCTGGCTCTTGATGAGTTGACAGATGTTACTGATACTGCTCTACTGATCAGTTGTTGATATTCTAGAAGTCAGTGCTGAGTTTGAAGTGACTAAAGAATTATCCTTTATGAGTAATACGCACATAACAACTGCAGGTAAGAATATTTTCAACGAAGCTGAGAAAACACCAATTCAGTACAACCTAAAGTAGAATCTGCTAAGAGTGATACAAATGACAGTAAAACAAAACAAAAAAAAAATGTGTGAAGCAGGAAAGTCTTAGTCGATAAATGCACAAGGCTTGTGAGCATGTAGGTTGTTAAAAACACATGGTTATTCATAGAAGATAGTGTGTGGAAATGCCTTAGATATGTTGTTGAACCAGTAATGTCAACAGTGAGCTTCATTTGCTCTTGTAGACCAAATCACTGTCAGTTCTGTATATTTTTGTCAGAAATAAAAGCTAGATATCCCAACTTGCCCTACTATATGCTAGTTGAATGACTTAGGAGTGATAAAGTTTTATTATGATTTTTTGAAATCAGAACTAAGATTGAATTTTTTCTAAATAAGAACCATCTTCAACCATTATCAAAACTGAATGGCAGCTGGGCGTGGTGACTCACGTCTGTAATCCCAGCACTTTGGGAGGCTGAGGCAGGTGGATCACGAGGTCAGGAAATCGAGACCATCCTGGCTAACACGGTGAAACCCTGTCTCTACTAAAAATATAAAAAAATTAGCTGGGCGTGGTGGCGGGCGCCTGTAGTCCCAGCTACTTGGGAGGCTGAGGCAGGAGAATGGCGTGAACCTGGGAGGCGGAGCTTTCAGTGAGCCGATATTGCGCCACTGCACTCCAGCCTGGGTGACAGAGTGAGACTCTGTCTCAAAACAAACAAAACAAAACAAAAGAAAATGGCTTTGGAGGCCGGGCGTGGTGGCTCACGCCTGTAATCCCAGCACTTTGGGAGGCCGAGGCGGGTGGATCATGAGGTCAGGAGATCGAGACCATCCTGGCTAACAAGGTGAAACCCCGTCTCTACTAAAAATACAAAAAATTAGCCGGGCGCGGTGGCGGGCGCCTGTAGTCCCAGCTACTCGGGAGGCTGAGGCAGGAGAATGGCATGAACCCGGGAAGCGGAGCTTGCAGTGAGCCGAGATTGCGCCACTGCAGTCCGCAGTCTGGCCTGGGCAACAGAGCGAGACTCCGTCTCAAAAAAAAAAAAAAAAAGAAAATGGCTTTGGAAACTGGATTTTTGTTGTAGACTTGATAATGTTTCCCAATGAATTACAAGGCAAAACAGTTCTTATATGTGAAACTTATACTGTAGTAAAGTTATTCTGACAACTGACATAGTCTGAATCACAAGCAAAATCAAGCTGCTCTATATGCTTTTTTTGGCTATTGAAAGTTAAAAAAAGAAGTGAGATCTTCACTCCTATCCAAACTGGCTGCAGGCATGTTTTTTGAACTCAAATCACAGTTCCAGAAGTAGTTTTCAGATCACAACTTGATGCAAGTGCAAAGGAAATAAGAAAATTTCCTTCCTCCCTCCCTCCCTTCCTCCTTCCCTTCCTTCCTTCCTTCCTTCCTTCCTTCCTTCCTTCCTTCCTTCCTTCCTTCCTCCCTCCCTCCCTTCCTTCCTTCTTTCCTTCTTTCCTCTCTATCTCTTTTTCTTTCTTGCTTTGTGGAGACCAGGTCTTGCCATTTTGCCTAGGCTGGTCTTGAACTCCTAGGCTTAAGTGATTCTCCCTCCTCAGCCTCCCAAAGAGAAATTTTCATATTTACAAATCCATTTAAGAGGCAATTGAAAAAACATTTAAATTTTAATTTTAAAAAAGAGGCAGTGGAGTGGCCGGGTGCGGTGGCTCACGCCTGTAATCCCAGCACTTTGGGAAGCCAAGGGGGGCAGATCACGAGGTCAGGAGATCGAGACCATCCTGGCTAACATGGTGAAACCCCGTCTCTACTAAAAAAATACAAAAAAATTAGCCAGGTGTGGTGGTGGATGCCTGCAGTCCCAGCTACTCTGGAGGCTGAGGCAGGAGAATGGCGTGAACCCGGGAGGCAGAGCTTGCAATGAGCTGAGACTGAGCCACTGCACTACAGCCTGGGCAACAGAGCGAGACTGCATCTCAACAACAACAACAAAAAAACGCAGTGGAAAAGTTTCCACAAACCTTTGTTGGGGAAATATAATTAAAAACAAATCCTTCTTCCAACCCAGAAATTCTCTCTACAAAGGTAGCAGGGAAAGAATACACTATTAAAGAAGCATTAAACTAGAATGTAACACATATCACAGGCAACCTACAAAGAGATTGAAAAGGCAGAAAGAAATCTCGCCTCCTTATATAGCCGAACAGATACAACCCATTACATACATGCTTTCAAGATAAACAATAACTAGTCTTCAAATAAGAGGTCTTGGCAGCACCTTTTGTCACATGGTTTTTCCCAACTTTATTGTGGTAATTGGAGTGACCATCTATGTTAGCTAATTGGCTTTATCCAGAGGAAAATCTTCTCAACTTTTTATGGCAGAGGTAGTTTTGCAACTTCAAGCAGGGCACCCACCGAAGCTAAGCTCTAATTTTTGCTATTCAAAGAGATGGCTTTCAGGTCCTCGAGAAAAACATTCCTTGGTCATGGAGCTGAGAAAAGGCCAGTTGGCAAAAGTCCTGCCTAGTCTTCAAAAGCCTATATATACATATGTATTTCAAAGAAAAGAGAAAATACTTACAAGTTTTCTAAGGTAAATGTCCTGAGAAAAAGGAGGGGAGGGAAATCTCTTCTCCTGTTTTCACCAGAGTAAATTGAACCTCTTATTTTTAATTTGCATTTGCCCTTATATTTTCTATGTGAAAACACATTTTCTTTTTTCTTCTCTTTTCTTTTCTTTTTTTTTTTTGACGGAGTCTCCCTCAGCCACCCAGGCTGGAGTGCAGTGGCATGATCTTGGCTCACCACAACCACCATCTCCTGGGTTCAAGTGATTCTCCCATCTCAGCCTCCCGAGTAGCTGGGATTACAGGCACCCGCCATCATGCCCGGCTAATTTTTGTATTTTAGTAGAGACAGGGTTTCACCTTGTTGGCCAGGCTGGTCTTGAACTCCTGACCTCAGGTGATCCATCCACCTTGGCCTCCCAAAGTGCTGGGATTACAGGTTTGAGCCACCGTGCCCAGCCAAAACACATTTTCTGGTTTGTTTGTTTTTGTAATTTAAGACCAAATAATTTATTTTGGGAAATTTATTGTGAATAGACATTAAAAATAGGTTCATTTGTGCAAAGTAATCTAAACAATGAATGTTTGTGCATATATATATATATATATATATATATATACTGATATATATATACGCACATATACACATACATAACACAATTCTGTATGGGAAATTCATTAAACAACGAGTAGAGTCAACAGTTTGAGTCTCTCAATAACTTAGTAAAAAGCAATATTGATCTTTATAAAAATAATTTTAAAACTTTTTTCTGTTTGTGAAAAATAAAATATCAATTTGAAAATTACTGTCAGACCATGAAGGCAAATAAGAAGTAATATAATCTATCTTCATTTATAGATGAGGAAGAAAGTGACTCCAGAAAAGTTAAATAAAACTTTCTTAAAATTATGTAGGCAGTTATAGTGGCAGAGCTGGGTTATTAATCTGTTACTCCTCACTTACAGTTCAGTGGTTTGGTTTTTTTGTTTGTTTGTTTTGTTTATTCTGCTCCTACTGTTTCCATCTCAGCCTTAACATTTCCTTTTATTCTTCATTTGAGCTAAGCATTCTTTTCTTCTAAAGAAGACCATCGACTTTATTTGAATCATAAGTCACACACACAAACACACACACACACACACACACACACACACTCCTGCAGAACAATCTGGAAAATCTGAACACACTGGATATCTGACGACAATAGGAATGATTATTAAAGATGTGAAAATAGGGCTGGTCGCGGTGGCTCATGCCTGTAATCCCAGCACTTTGGGAGGCCGAGGCGGGCGGATCACGAGGTCAGGAGATCGAGATCATACTGGCTAACACGGTGAAACCCTGTCTCTATTAAAAATACAAAAAATTAGCCGGGCGTGGTGGCGGGCACCTGTAGTCCCAGCTACTCAGGAGGCTGAGGCAGAAGAATGGCATGAACCCGGGAGGTGGAGCTTACAGTGAGCCGAGATCGCGCCACTGCACTCCAGCCTGGGCGACAGAGTGAGACTCCATCTCAAAAAAAAAAAGAAAAAGTGGAAATAGAATTGTGATTTCATTTTTTTTCAATAGGTTTTTGAGGAACAGGTGGCATTTGGTTACATGAGTAAGTTCTTTAGTGATGATTTGTGAGATTTTGGTGCACCCATCATCCAAGGAATGTAACGGTGCCCTATGTGTAGTCTTTTTTTTTTTTTTTTTTTTTTTTTTTTGAGACGGAGTCTCACTCTGTCGCCCAGGCTGGAGTGCAGTGGCGCGATCTCAGCTCACTGCAAGCTCCACCTCCCGGGTTCATGCCATTCTCCTGCCTCAGCCTCCTGAGTAGCTGGGACTACAGGCGCCTGCCACCACGCCCGGCTAATTTTTTGTATTTTTGTATTTTAATAGAGACGGGGTTTCACTGTGTTAGCCAGGATGGTCTCGATCTCCTGACCTCGTGATCCGCCCACCTTGGCCTCCCAAAGTGCTGGGATTACAGGCGTGAGCCACCACGCCCGGCCCCAGTGTGTAGTCTTTTATCCCTCACCCCCTCCCACCCTTTCCTCTAAGTCCCCAAAGTCCATTGGATCATTCTCATGCCTTTGCATCCTCATTGCTTAGCTCCCACTTATGAGTGAGAACATACGATGTTTCATTTTCCATTTCTGAGTTACTTCACTTAGAATAATGGTCTCCAGTTCCATCCAGGGTTGCTGCAAATGCCATTATTTCATTCCTTTTCATGTCTGAGTAGTATTCCATGGTATATATATCACATTTTCTTTATCCACTCATTGATAGCATTTGGGCTGGTTCCATATCTTTGTAATTGGAATTATGCTACTATAAACATGTGTGTGCAAGTATCTTTTTCATATAATGACTTCTTTTCCTTTGGATAGATACCCAGGAGTGGGATTCCTGGATGAAATGGTAGATTTACTTTTAGTTCTTTAAGAAATCTCCACGCTGTTATCTATAGTGGTTGTACTAGTTTACATTCCCACCAACAATGTAAAAGTGTTCTCTTTCACCACATCCACGCCAACATGTATTATTTATTATGGCCATTCTTGCAGGAGTAAGGTGGTATCACATTGTGGTTTTGATTTGCATTTCCCTGATAATTAATGATGTTGAGCATTTATCCATGTTTGTTGGGTATTTGTGTATCTTCTTTTGATAATTATGTATTCAAGTCCTTAGCCCACTTTTGGATGGGATTGTTTGTTTTGTTCTTGCTAATTTGTTTGAGTTCCTTGTAGATTCTGGATATTAGTCCTTTGTCAGATGTATAGATTGCAATGATTTTCTCCCACTCTGTAGGTTGTCTGTTTACTCTGTGATGAGTTCTTTTGCTGTGCAGAAGCTTATAGTTTAATTAAGTTCCATCTATTTATCTTTGTTTTTGTTTGTTGTGTTTGCTTCTGGGTTCTTGGTTATGAAGTCTTTGCCTAAGCCAATGTCTAGAAGGGTTTTTCCAATGTTATCTTCTTTTTTTTTTTTTTTTTTTTTTTTTTTGAGACGGAGTCTCGCTCTGTCACCCAGGCTGGAGTGCTGTGGCGCAATCTCAGCTCACTGCAAGCTCTGCCTCCCGGGTTCACGCCATTCTCCTGCCTCAGCCTCCCAAGTAGCTGGGACTACAGGTGCTCACCACCACATCTGGCTAATTTTTTGTATTTTTAATAGAGACGGGGTTTCACCTTGTTAGCCAGGATGGTCTTGATCTCCTGACCTCGTGATCAGCCCGCCTCAGCCTCCCAAAGTGCTGGGATTACAGGCGTGAGCCACCGTGCACGGCCCCCTTTTTTTTTTTTTTTTAAGACAGAGTTTCACTCTTATTGCCCAGGCTAGAGTGCAGTGGCACCATCTCGGCTCAATGCAACCTCCACCTCCCAGGTTCTCCTGTCTCAACCTCCTGAGTAGCTGGGGTTACAGGTGCACACCACCATACCTGGCTAATTTTTTGTATTTTTAGTAGGGACAGGATTTCACTATTTCACCCAGGCTGGTATCTTCTGGAATTTTTATGGTTTCAGGTGTTAGATTTAAGCCTTTGATCCATCTTGAGTTGATTTTTGTATAAGGTGAGAGATGAGGATCCAGTTTCATTCTTCTACACATGGCTTGCCAATTATGCCAGCACCATTTGTTGAATAAGGTGTCCCTTTTCCACTTTATGTTTTTGTTTGCTTTGTTGAAGATAAGTTGACTGTAAGTATTAGACTTTATTTCTGAGTTCTCTATTCTGTTCCATTAGTCTATATGCTTGTTTTTATACCAGTACCATTCTGTTTTGGTGACTATGGCCTGATAGTATAGTTTTAAGTCAGGTAATGTAATGCCTCCAGATTTGTTTTTGCTTTTGTTTTTTGTTTAGTCTTGCTTTGGCTATGCGGGCTGTTTTTTTGTTCCATATGAACTTTAGAATTGTTTTTCTAGTTCTGTGAAGACTAATGGTGGTATTTTGATAAAAACTGCATTGAATTTGTAGATTGCTTTTGGCAGTATGGTCATTTTTCACAATATTGATTCTATCCATCCATGAACATGGGATGCGATTCCATTTGTTTGTGTCATCTATTATTTCTTTCAGCAGTGTTTTGTAGTTTTCCTTATAGAGATCTTTCAGCTCCTTGGTTAAGCATATTCCTAAGTATTTTTATATTATGTTATTGCAGCTATTCTAAAAGGGGTTGACTTCTTGATTTGATTCTCAGCTTTGTTGCTGTTGGTGTATAGCAGGGCTACTGATTTCTGTACCTTAATTTTGAGTCCTGAAAGTTGGCTGAATTCATTTACCAGTTTTAGGAGCTTTTTGGATGAGCCTTTAGGGTTTTCTAGGTATAAAACCATGTCATCAGCAAACAGCAACAGTTTGACTTCTCCTTTATCAATCTGGATGCCCTTATTTATTTATGTTTTTTTCTCTTGTCTGGTTGCTGTGGCTAGAACTTCCAATACTATGTTGAATAGAAGTGATGAAAGTAGGCATCTTTGTCTTGTTCCATTTCTCCGGGGGAATACTGTCAACTTTTCCTCATTCAGTATAATGTTGGCTGTGGATTTGTCATAGATGGCTTTAATTATTTTAAAGTATGTCCCTTCTTTTTATTATTATTATTATTATACTTTAAGTTTTAGGGTACATGTGCACAATGTGCAGGTTAGTTTCATATGTATACATGTGCCATGCTGGTGTGCTGCACCCATTAACTCATCATTTAGCATTAGGTTTATCTCCTAATGCTATCCGTCCCCCTTCCCCTCACCCCACAACAGTCCCCAGAGTGTGATGTTCCCCTTCCTGTGTCCATGTGTTCTCATTGTTCAATTCCCATCTATGAGTGAGAACATGCGGTGTTTGGTTTTTTGTCCTTGAGATAGTTTACTGAGAATGATGATTTCCAATTTCATCCATGTCCCTATAAAGGACATGAACTCATCATTTTTTATGGCTACATAGAATTCCATGGTGTATATGTGCCACATTTTCTTAATCCAGTCTACCCTTGTTGGACATTTGGGTTGGTTCCAAGTCTTTGCTATTGTGAATAGTGTCGCAATAAACGTAAGTGTGCATGTGTCTTTATAGCAGCATGATTTATAGTCCTTTGGGTATATACCCAGTAATGGGATGGCTGGGTCAAATGGTATTTCTAGTTCTAGATCCCTGAGGAATCGCCACACTGACTTCCACAATGGTTGAACTAGTTTACATTCCCACCAACAGGGTAAAAGGGTTCCTATTTCTCCACATCCTCTCCAGCACCTGTTGTTTCCTGACTTTTTAATGATTGCCATTCTAACTGGTGAGAGATGGTATCTCATTGTGGTTTTGATTTGCATTTCTCTGATGGCCAGTGATGATGAGCATTTTTTCGTGTGTCTTTTCGCTGCATAAATGTCTTCCTTTGAGAAGTGTCTGTTCATATCCTTTGCCCACTTTTTGATGGGGTTATCTATGACAAACCCACAGCCAATATCATACTGAATGGGCAAAAACTGGAAGCATTCCCTTTGAAAACTGGCACAAGACAGGGATGCCCTCTCTCACCACTCCTATTCAACATAGTGTTGGAAGTTCTGGCCAGGGCAATTAGGCAGGAGAAGGAAATAATGGGCATTCAATTAGGAAAAGAGGAAGTCAAATTGTCCCTGTTTGCAGACGACATGATTCTATATCTAGAAAACCCCATTGTCTCAGCCCAAAATCTCCTTAAGCTGATAAGCAACTTCAGCAAAGTCTCAGGATACAAAATCAATGTACAAAAATCACAAGCATTCTTATACACCAATAACAGACAGAGAGCCAAATCATGAGTGAACTCCCATTCACAGTTGCTTCAAAGAGAATAAAATACTTAGGAATCCAACTTACAAGGGACGTGAAGAACTACAAACCACTGCTCAATGAAATAAAAGAGGATACAAACAAATGGAAGAACATTCCATGCTCATGGGTAGGAAGAATCAATATTGTGAAAATGGCCATGCTGCTCAAGGTAATTTATAGATTCAATGCCATGCCCATCAAGCTACCAATGACTTTCTTCACAGAATTGGAAAAAACTACTTTAAAGTTCACATGGAACCAAAAAAGAGCCCACATTGCCAAGTCAATCCTAAGCCAAAAGAACAAAGCTGGAGGCATCACGCTACCTGACTTCAAACTATACTACAAGGCTATACAGTAACCAAAACAGCGTGGTACTGGTACCAAAACAGAGATATAGATCAATGGAACAGAACAGAGCCCTCAGGAATAATGCTGCATATCTACAACTATCTGGTCTTTGACAAACCTGAGAAAAACAAGCAATGGGGAAAGGATTCCCTATTTAATAAATGGTGCTGGGAAAACTGGCTAGCCATATGTAGAAAGCTGAAACTGGATCCCTTCCTTACACTTTATACAAAAATTAATTCAAGATGGTTTAAAGACTTAAATGTTAGACCTAAAACCATAAAAACCCTAGAAGAAAACCTAGGCATTACCATTCAGGACATAGGCATGGGCAAGGACTTCATGTCTAAAACACCAAAAGCAATGGCAACAAAAGCCAAAATTGGCAAATGGGATCTAATTAAACTAAAGAGCTTCTGCACAGCAAAAGAAACTACCATCAGAGTGAACAGCCAACCTACAAAATGGGAGAAAATTTTCGCAACCTACTCATCTGACAAAGGGCTAATATCCAGAATCTACAATGAACTCAAACAAATTTACTAGAAAAGTATGTCCCTTCTAAGCCAATTTTGCTGAGGGTTTTTTTGTTTTGTTTTGTTCTTTTGATATGGAGTTTTGTTCTTGTTGCCCAGGCTGGAGTGCAATGACCTGGTCCCGGCTCACTGCAACCTCCGCCTCCCAGGTTCAAGCAGTTCTCTTACCTCAGCCTCCCGAGTAGCTGGGATTACAGGCGTGTGCCACCATGCCTGACTAATTTTTCTATATTTTTAGTAGAGATGGGGTTTCACCATGTTGGCCAGGCTGGTCTCAAACTCCTGACCTCAGGTGATCCATCCATCTTGGCCTCCAAAAGTGCTGGGATCACAGGTGTGAGTCATCATGCCTGGCCTTGCTGAGGGTTTTTAATCATAAAAGGATGCTGGATTTTGTCAAATACTTTTTCTGCATCTATTGAGATGATCGTGTGATTTTTGTTTTTAATTCTGTTTATGTGGTGTATCACATTTATTGACTTGCCGATGTTAAACCATCCCTGCATCCCTGGTATGAAACCCACTCGATCATGGTGGGTTATCTTTTTGTTATGCTGTTGGATTTGGTTAGCTAGTATTTTGTTGAGGATTTTTGCATCTACGTTCATCAGGGATATTGGTCTGCAGTTTTCTTTTTTTGTTATATCCTTTCCTAGTTTTTGTATTAGGGTGATACTGGCTTCATAGAATGACTTAGGGAGGATTCCTTCTTTCTCTATCTTTTGGAGTAGTGTCAGTAGAATTGGTATCAATTCTTTGAATGTTGGATAGAATTCAACTGTCCATCTTTCTGGTCCTGGACTTTTTTTTTGTTGGTAACTTAATTACCATTTCAATCTTGCTGCTTGTTATTAGTCTGTTCAGAGTTTCCATTTCTTCCTGTTTAATCTAGGAGGGGTGCATATTTCCATTTCTTCCTGGTTTAATCTAGGAGGGTTGCATATTTCCAGGAATTCATCCATCTCCTTGGTATTAGTCAGAATATCTCCTGTTTTGTTTCTAATTGAGCTTATTTGGATCTTATCCTTTATTTTCTTTGTTAATGTCACTAATGGTCTATCAATTTTATTTATCTTTTCAAATGACCAACTTTTTGTTTCATTTATCTTTTGTATTTTTTTTTGTTTCAATTTCATTTTGTTCTGTTCTGATCTTGGTTATTTCTTGTTTTCTGCTGCATTTGGGTTAGGTTTGTTCTTGTTTCTCTAGCTCCTTGAGGTGTGACCTCAGATTGTCTGTTTGTGCTCCTTCAGACTTTTTGATGAACTTTGCTCTTAACACCACCTTGCTGTATCCCAGAAGTTTTGATAGGTTGTTTCACTATTATTGTTCAGTTCAAAGAATATTTTAATTTCCATCTTGATTTCACTGTTGACCCAACAATCATTCAGGAGCAGGTTATTTAATTTCCATGTCTTTGCATGGTTTTGTGGGTTCCTTTTGGAGTTGATTTCCAGTTTTATTCCACTGTGGTCTGAGAGAGTACTGGCTATAATTTCCATTTACCTATATTTGTTGAGACTTGTTTTGGGGCCTATTATATGGTCTATCTTAACGTTCCATGTGCTGGTGAATAGAATATATATTCTACAGTTGTTGGGTATCTGTCAATATCTGTTAAGTCCATTTGTTCTAGGATATAGCTTAAGTCCATTGTTTCTTTGTTGACTTTCTGTCTTGATAAGCTGTCTAGTGCTGTCAGTGGAGAATTGAAGTAATCCCACTATTATTGTGTTGCTGTCTATCTCATGTTTTAGATCTAGTAGTCATTGTTTTATAAATTTTGGAGCTCCAGCGTATATATGGGGATTGTTATATTTTATATATATGTTAGGATTGTTATATTTTCCTGCTGGACTAGTCCTTTTATCATTGTATAATATCCCTATTTGTCTTTTTAAATTGCTGTTGCTTTGAAGTTTGTTTTGTCTGATATAAGACTAGCTACTTCTGCTTGCTTTTGATGTAAATTTGCATGGAATATCTTTTTCCATCCCTTTACCTTAAGTTTATGTGAGTCCTTATGTGTTAGGTGAGTCTCTTGAAGACAGCAGATACTTGGTTGGTGAATTCTTCTCCATTCTGCCATTCTGTATCTTTTAAATGGAGCATTTAGGCCATTTACATTCAGTGTTAGTATTAAGATCCAAGGTATTATTCTATTCATTGTGCTATTTGTTGCCTGAATAACTTGGTTTTTTTTCATCATGTTGTTGTTTTATAAGTACTGTGAGATTTATGCTTTCAGGGGACCCTATTTTGGTGTATTTCAAGGATTTGTTTCAAGATTTGGAGCTCCTTTTAGCAGTTTTTATAGTGCTGGCTTGGTAGTGATGAATTCTCTCAGCGTTTGTTTGTCTGAAAAAGATTGTATCTTTCCTTCATTTAGGAAGCTAAGTTTCACTGTATACAAAATTCTTGCCTGATAATTGTTTTGTTTAGGAGGCTAAACATAGAACCCCAATCCCTTATAGCTTGTAGGGTTTCTGCTCAGAAATCTGCTGTTAATCTGATAGGGTTTCCTTTATAGGTTCCTGATGTTTTTGTCTCACAGCTCTTAAGATTCTTTCCTTAGTCTTGACTTTAGATAACCTGATGAGTGTGTGCCTAGGCAATGATCTTTTTGCAATGAATTTCCCAGGTGTTCTTTGAGCTTCTTGTATTTGGATGTCTAGATCTCTAGCAAGACCAGGGAAGTTTTTCTCAATTATTACCTCTAATATGTTTTCCAAGATTTTAGATTTCTTGTCTTCCTTGGGAACAACAATTATTCATAGGTTTGGTCATTTTACATAATCCCAAATTTCTTAGAAGTTTTGTTCATTTTTTAAAATTCTCTTTTCTTGGTCTTTGATGAACTGGGTTAATTTGAAAGGCTTGTCTTTGAGCTCTGATATTCTTTTCCTTCTTGTTTGAGTCTATTGCTGAGACTTTCCAGTGCATTTCCAATTCTCTAAATGTGTCCTTGATTTCCAGAAGTTGTAATTTTTATTTATGCTACCTATTTCACTGGAGAGTTTCCCCTTCATATACTGTATCATTTAAAAAATTTTTTTTAAGTTGGACCTCATCTTTCTCTGATGCCTGCTTGGTTGGCTTAATAGTTGACTGTCTGAATTCTTTTTCTGGCAATTCACAGATTTTGTCTTGGTTTGGATCCATTGCTGGTGAGCTGGTGTGAAAGTAGTGAAAGTACAGCTACACCATAGACAAAGTAGGGTGTCCCTGAAAGTAAGAGGAAGAAAGTGTCCACCCTAGGTGCAATGATCATATATATGGGGAGATGTGCTCTGTCTGCTACAAGGGTTTGTGATGTAGGATTAATTTTTTAATTACTATATTTTGCAAGAAAGGATATTATTATTATTATTACTATTTTCAAGATAGAGTTTCACTCTTATTGCCCAGGCTAGAGTGCAATGGTATGATCTTGGCTCACTGTAACCTCCGCCTCCTGGGTTCAGGAGATTCTCGGCCTCAGCCTCCTGAGTAGCTGGGATTACAGGTGCACGCCACCACATCTGGCTAATTTTTGTATTCTTAGTAGAGACAGGGTTTTGCCATGTTGGCCAGTCTGGTCTCAAACTCCTGACCTCAGGTGATCCATCCACCTTGGCCTCCCATCATGCTGGGATTACAGGTGTGAGAAAGCCACCATGCCCAGCCTTTTAAGGGAAGGTTTTTTTTTTGGTTTTTTGTTTGTTTGTTTGTTTCTTTTTGAGACAGAGTCTCACTCTGTTGCCCAGGCTGGAGTGCAGTGGTGTGATCTTGGCTCACTGCAACCTCTGCCTCCCAGGTTCAAGATTCTTCTGCCTCAGCCTCCCAAGTAGCAGGACTACAGGCGCGCACCACCATACCCAGCTCATTTTTTTTTTGTATTTTTAGTAGAGACAGGGTTTCACCATATTGGCCAGGCTGGTCTCGAACTCCTGACCTCGTGATTCACCTGCCTCGGCCTTCCGAAGTGCTGGGATTACAGGTGTGAGCCACTGCACCCGCCAAGGGAATGTTTTATGGCCTGCTTCAGGGGAGAATCATGGGAGAAGGTCAGAGAGACCATCTTGCTTCTGCTGTTTTCTCAAATGGCAAGGTGCCATATTTTATGATAGTGTTTCATGAATCCTATCTCAGCCAACGAAGAATAGATAACCTAATTTTCCCCAAGAGTCTGAAAATGTTAAACTTTACCTGAGTCTGCTCTCCTGGAAAACAGTGACAATTAAAAATCCCCACACCCTTTAGTGTTCTAGGAAATGACTTCCTGCAAAGAGCCATCCTTCCCCATATGACTTAGATGAGACTCACAGATAGCCCCACCCCCTTGTTTGTCTAGACACAGACCCTCCAGATGATTTGCTTTACAAGTGATTAACTGAACTGTTTGTACCCATGACCAATTTGGACAGCATACCTGCTAATTTAACTTGACCAAGCTTTAGTTAAGCTCCTCTCCCTCCCCTAGGTCCTTAAGTTTTGACCTATCTTCGGCCTGAGCCAGTAATGAGATGTAGAACAACCCCTCCTTATTATAAGAACATGTGATGGTTAATTTTAGGTGTCAACTTGACTGGGTTAAGGAATACCCAGATAACTGGTAAAGCACTATTTTGGATGTATGTCTGTGAGAGTGTTCCTGGAAGAGATTGGCATTTGAATCTGTGTTCTGAGTAAGGAAAATGTGCCCTCACACAACATGGGTGGGCACCATCCAAAGGGCTGAGAGCCCAGGTAGAACAAAAAGAGAGAGGTGAATTCACTCTCTCTCTCCTGGAGCTGGGACACCCATCTTCTCCTGGACCTGTGAGACAGGAGTAGCACTGGGTAGTCACAGGAGTATGGAAAAACCTGAACAACAGTTAAAATAAGAACTAGGCAAAGAAACCACAGGATAACAGAAAACTCAAAATAAGGGAGAGAAAATGGCCAAAACCCTGGTCAGGCTGACATGTCCATGACTCTTCTTGGCAAACCCAAATAAGGGAGAAAGGGGGTGGTAATGGGGGGAATAGGGGGCTGGGAGGAGTCTCTGAAATCCCTTTCTTTTCCAAAATACTGAATGATTATTCCACCCCATAATTAAAGAAACACCCATAAAATTAGAAACTCGTTGTGTGTGACTCATTCTCATGAGCACACTCACACTTCTCTCTTAAGTGTGTACTTTTGTTTTGCAATAAAAGCTTCTTGCCTTTCACTTCATTCTGACTTTTCCTTGAATTCTTACTTGCAATGGTGTCATGAAGCTGGAAACCAGCTGGAGCTAGGGTCTCACTGGCATCTGGAGACCCTACTAAGCCCTCCAGCAACACTAGGACATTAGAACTCCAGGTTTTTCAACCTTCAGACTCTGGGACTTGCACCAGTGGCCCTCTCAGTTCTCAGGCCTTCAGACTTGGACTGAGCTATGCTACTTGTTTCCCTGGTTCTCCAGCTCACAAATGGCATATCGTGGGATTTCTCAGCCTCTATAATCATGTGAGTCAATTTCCTTAATAAATTCCTCTTATATATCTACACATCCTATTGGCTCTGGTTCTCTGAAGAACTCTGGCTTATGTGCTCACTGGTAATCAGCTGACTTCAAGGAAAGACATTTCCTGATTAACTATCCAATTATGACACTGGCTCATTCATTCCCTTACACCAGTCTGCTCTAACCTAATTTATTCCTACCTATCAGACATACACACGAGTGTGTCATGTCAATTTACCATTGCTATGGCAACACCCAGGAGTTACCGCACCTTTCCACGGCAATGACCCAATGACCCAAAAGTACTACTCCTTCCCTAGAAAGTTCTGCATAAAATTCTTTTCTGCCTGACCTTCGAGATTGTGAAAGTCGTCAAAATCAAAATGGAGTCACTTGTGTCAAGCCCTAACAAAAAAAAAAAAAGAAATAAATAAAACCAGAAGGTTAAGAAGGGAGGGTCCTCATGCACATATGCCTATGTTATGAAATATTACAAGAACTTTCTATGCATAGGTGCCCATAACAAGAACTTCTGACAAGGGCTTTCTAAGCTGCAGCTTGCTACGTGAGTAAAAGGAAGCTACCTGGATGCACAAGAACACTTGCTTGACACACTCTCTCTGTTAATAAACTGGCATCAACCCCTCTGATAAGTCTTGTAACCAATATTCTCTTTGTTTCAAAACAAATTACGTATGCTTCCTTTTTGCCTTTAAAAACTTTTCCTTGCTTCAACTGATGTAATGCAGGTCTCAATTAATTGAATAACTGTCTTTGTTTTTTGCTTCTGTAATACGTTTTTCCCTGCACAGATTTTCTCCTGCCCCACGAAATGCTTAAAAGGTAACTTAACATTTTGTTCAGGGCTCAGCCTTTGGATGTTAATCCAACTGGGCCAGTGCACCTAAATAATAAATATCCTTCTCAACCCCATCGGTCTCTCTAATTTTTTATCAATCCCGCTACACAACCTCTTTGGATATGCCAATGGTCTGCATAGCCCCCATATACTGGATTTGTGAATCCCCTGTGCACTCCTGAATAAACACCTTATCTTTAGAGAGTCTGTCTGTTATTTGGGTTGACAAGATGTTTGTGGATCTTATGGTCTAAGCATTCTCTCTATTGCAATAGTCCTCCTCTCCCTATTGTAGTAGTACCTTTCTCCCATTTGCAATTGTCCTTTTGAATAAAGCCTGTCTTATCTATGTCTGAGTTTGTTTTTTATTTGACAACTCAAGTAGCTTCACGGTTATGCAAGTCAGGCAAGCCCCAAAGTGGAGCTTAGCCCACAAGGGTTCCTGGCTTTGCCCAGGAAAGACTTCAAGGACAAGCCAGAGGTAGAAGAAAAAACCCCTTCAAAGAGGCGGTGTTACAGCTCTGTAACTGCTCCTGCAAAGGAGGGCTACCCTGTAGGCAGACAGTAGCAGCTCAGGGCAGTTTTGCAGTCATATTTATATCCATTTTTAATCGCATGCAGATTAAGGGGCGACTTATGCAGAACTTTCTAGGGAAGGAGTAGTACTTTTGGGTCACTGCCATGGAAAGGTGCAGTAACTCCGGGGTGTTGCCATGGCAATGGTAAATTGACATGGCACACTGGTGGGTGTGTCTGACTGAAAGCTGCTTCCACCTGGCTCTGTTTTAGTTAGTCCTCAATTTGGTCGAGTGTCTGACCCGGCCTCTGGAGTCAAGTCCTGCTTGCTACCTCAGCAGTTCCATCCCAATCCTACTGCAACGGGTTGGAGAGCATTGACTAGAGAGAATTTTCTAACTTGAATCTTCTAACCTGAATCGTATCTTCTATAAGCACCTCTCAAAAATAAAGGAGCTGTAGAGAGACACTTTTACATTGTAAAAGAAGTAAAAGTTAAACATGTCAATATCTAAGACTTTAATTTTTTCCCCAACATTCTCTGAGGCCTTTGTGTAGATAGTAGATTGTCCTCCCACCCCTAAACACATTGCAGATTTTTAATTGGAATGGATAGGTCAGATGTAGGAGACCCAGGTAAGGAGGCGTCGAGGTCAAAAGACCTCCGAGATTCCTAGAGCGGTCGGCGAGGGGCCTGCAAGTCGCCCCGGCCGCACTTCCGGGACGGCCCATCTTCCTTGGGTACTGAAGCTCGCGAGAGGATCCTGGGGGCAGGCGCGTCGCGGTGGCAGTGTTTCTTGGGTGTGCGGGGCCGGGCGCCCCGTAGCCTCTGGTGAGCGAAAGAGACCGGGGCCGAGCGGGCGCAGGCTTGCCGGGGCTGCGGGCTGCGCTGGCGGCGGGGCCGGGTGGCGGTAGTGGCGGGAGTGACTGGCGGGAATCCCCGCGGCCCCGGCGCTTGGGCTTACTGTGCACTTGATGTAAGGGGAAAGTCGCTCGTCAACTGCTTGAAGGGCAGTTTTGCGGTCATATTTATACCCATTTTTAATCGCATGCAGATTAAGGGGCGGCTTATGCAGAACTTTCTAGGGAAGGAGTAGTACTTTTGGGTCATTGGGTCACTGCCATGGAAAGGTGCAGTAACTCCGGGGTGTTGCCATGGCAATGGTAAATTGACGTGGGCACACTGGTGGGTGTGTCTGAAGGGCTTGTTGTTAGGGTGAACTGGGGACTAGAAATGGGATGCGGGCGGGAGGAAAGTAGTGTAGGTGCAGGTGGCAGTCATAAGTGTCCCATAAGTCTGAATGTCTGAATGTCTGAACTGTGTAGATTTAAGGAGCATTAAAGAGGCAAAATAATAGCAAGTGCTTGTGTAATGCTTAGCGTGGGCCAGGCACTGTTCTAAATGCTTGTTTCATTTAATCCTGACAGCAACCTTATGAGGTAGGTACTATTATTCCTATTAAGAAAAAATGAGAGGGGTTAATCTGCCTAAGCGCAAACAGCCCCTAAGTGGCAGAGCCAGCATGGAAATTCAGGCCCTGAGGCTTTTTTCAGGCTGTGTTACCAGCTCTTCCTCTCAAAGACGACTTTGAAGAGTAAGGGAGAGAGAGAAGGCAAGGAGCATTCAAAAATTGGGAAGACAGTTTGAATATTCATCAGAGAGATCCTTCCAGGGAGATACTGAGGACGAGGACTAGAAATATAAGGCCAGCAGAAATCAAGGATGTAAAAATCTCCCTAGAGAAGAAAAGCCAGAAAGGTAAAGAATTTGATAACTTCTTTAATCTAAGCTCAAAAAGTATTTCACATTCGAGAATTCACAGGGAGAAGAACAAGGGGCCAGTTTCAGAAGTCAAAATACAAGTCACAACTTACGAAAGGCTTCAGAGTGTAGCCCCTCTGGCAGCCAGGTTTAGAGAAGCCCTAGCGGGGAAGGGAAGTGCAAAGAGGCATCAGGGAAGCCAGGCAGGACCCAGAGCAAGGAGAAGGAAGAGAGTTTCCACAGGTGTTGCCTTCAGAGACAGGAGTGCCCTTGACAAGGAAAGAGGGCAACAAAACTACCCAGGAGAGAAACCCTTTATCTGTAAGGAGTGTGGAAAAGCCTTTGGTCAGAGTGCAAGCCTTATCGTGCACCAAAGAATTCACACAGGGGAGAAACCTTTCCTATGTAATGAATGCGGAAAAGGTTTCAGACAGAGATCACACCTCATACGACATCAGAGGATCCATACTGGTGAGAAACCCTATGAATGCCAGGAATGTGGGAATACCTTCAGCCAGAGCTCAAATCTCATAGTTCATCAGGGCATCCACACTGGAGAGAAATCTTTTGAATGTGGTAAGTGTGGGAAAGCCTTCAGCCGGAGTTCAGGCCTCACTGTCCCTCAGAGGATCCACACGGGGGAGAAGCCATTTGAGTGTAATGAATGCGGCAAAGCTTTCAGTTGTAGTTCATACCTTATTGTGCATCAGAGAATTCACACAGGGGAGAAACCCTATCAGTGTAATGAGTGTGAAAGAGCCTTTGGCCAGAGCTCCCATCTTATTCTCCATCAGACAACTCATGCCCAGAAGAAACCTCAGCTGGCTACTTGGGTTAGGGCCCACTGTTAATGGGGCAGAGTTGAATGGTCATGTTATATGCTTGCCTTCAGCCAGGCCAGCATCTCATAAATACTAGGAAGTATGTGAGAGGTCATGGACTGTTCATTGCTGGAAATCTGGGTCCACAAACTCACTCTGCTTGTATGGTGTTTTATTCACTTGCCTTGTTTTTGTACATGTGCCTCCAGTCAGATTTGGAGTTCCAAGAGGTAGATGCCAGGTCCTGTCTTCCACTTTGATTGACAGGAAACTGAGGAGCTCTTCATTTCTACAAAGTTGATTAAATTTTAATTCATTGAGAACTTCCTCTTATCAAGAAACTCTTAATCTGATAATCTTGCAAGATCTCACCTGCTTTGAAGATTTGTAATTTTTCCAATGTAACTCCAGCACATTAAAGCTTACTTACTTTTCATTGTTATTTCAAAGCTTTAATGTGCTAGAGTTGGGAAGCTTAGAAGGCCCACTGTGAGCAGTACTAAAATTTAGAATGTCACATCCTCATTCAAATGTAGGCTGCCTTTAGGAGTGACCAAAACAGCGAAGGATACATAGGATGATAGAATCATGAATCAAAGGAACCCTACCAGACCAGAACTGCAGACCAAAGTTAACAAGATGAAGTATTAAACCCTGTCCATAGGGCTAAGGAGTCTGAGCCTCTCAGAACAGAAGTGTTCTGTCAGAAACACTGCAATCCTTGACCATTAGACATGCTAGAGGGGTGTCTTTAAAAATATCCTTCTCTCTCATCTTCAGTTGCTAGCTGCTCAGGGATGAGATCCTAGTCTTAAGGCCTGTTCTCTTCTCTCTAGACCATAGAGCTTGACTTTTCCTTACAAGGAAATAAAACAGATCATGTGTGTGTATAAAATTAAAAAGTAATATCCTAATCATCTGCCACTTACACAAAAAGAAATTTATTACCTTTAGACTAAAGGAAAAATATAATAGGAATGCAATATGTCTCGGTATGTGCAGTCATGTGCCACATAATTATGTTTTGGTCAACAACAGACCACATATTTGATGGTAGTCTCATAAGGTAATGGAGCTGAGAAATTCCTATGGCCTAGTGACTCTGCAGCTGTCATAATGTGGTAGCACAATGCATTACTCACATGTTTGTGGTGATGCTGGTGTAAAGCTGACCATGTTGCCAGTTATATAAAAGGATAGCACATGCAGTTATGTACAGTGCATAATACTTGATAAATAAATGACTGTGTTACTGGTTTATGTATTTTACTGTGCTTTTCATTGTTATTTCAAAGTGTGCTCCTTCCACTTATTTTTTCAAAGTTTACTGTAAAACAGTATGCTGTGTTTGACCAGCAGCAGCCTCATCTATCTCATGTTTACCACATCTCTTGACTGCATCATTTCCTCTTGTGCTTGATTTAATCTCATGTTTTGTTCATCATGTCTCCTAAGCATTCAAAATCCATGGCTAATTTTGCCAGTAAGAGGCCATGCTGAGTAATTGACCTGGAAACAAAATTAAAAGTGATTAAGGACTGTGAAGGTGGAAAATCAGGGATGGTTATTGCTCACCAGTCAGGCATGTCCCGTTTTACCATAGCTGCCATCCTAAAGAACAAGAGCAAAGTGATAGAAGCTGTTAAAGGATCTGCTTCATTGAAGGCAATGAGACTAACAAAAATTTGAGAAGGGCCAATATCAGATATGGATAATATCTGATATTGACCTAGATTGAAGACCAGACACACAAGCATGTCCCTCAGCACCATGACAATCACAGCTAAAGCAAAAAGCTTGTTTGTTACGTAGATAGAAAAGGCTGGACCTGACTATATTGTTGAATTTATTGCTAGCTCTGGGTGGTTTAAATGATTCGAGAATTGTTACTCATTACACAATTGTGAAAGTGAGTGCTAAGTCTACAAGTGCTGATGTGAAGGCAGCTGAATAATTTTTGGAAACTCTAGATAAGCTGATTGTGGGGGAAAATTACTTGCCAGAGCAAATCTTTAATATGGATCAAGGCTCCCTATTCTGGAAAAAGATGCCGGAAGGGACTGTCATCCATAAAGAGGCCAAGTCAGTGGCAGGTTTCACGGCTTTGAAGGACTGGCTAACAATGTTTGGGGGCGATGTTGCTGGCCACAAATTAAAACCCTTTGTGATTTGACACAGTGAGAACCCCAGGGCCTTCAAGCATATCAGTAAGCACACACTGCCGGTGTACTACATGAGCAATAACAAGTCATGGATGACCCAGCTTCTCTTCCAATATGCCCTCCTGAATTGCTATGCCAGTGAAATGGAGAAGTACTGTTTGGAGAATAACATACCTTTCAAGATTTTGCTTGTTGTTGATAATGCTCCTGTACATCCTTTTATTGGTGATCTTTGTTTTAATATCAAACTGGTGTTTCTCCCTCTAAACATCAACTCTTTGATCCAACCAGTGGATCAAGGAGTTAGAGCAGTTTTTAAGGCTCACTACCTAAAGCGGACGTTGCCCCAGGCTATTGCTGCTATTATCTGAGGGAGACACTGAGAAGACACTAATGCAATTCTGGGAGGATTACAGCATCTAAGACTGCATCAAGAACCTTGCTTAGGCTTAGGGTGATGTCACCAATGAGTGTATGAATGGCATCTGGAAGGAGACACTCGAGGTTTGTTCATGACTTCAGAGGATTTGCCATGGATGACCAGGTTGCAAAAATCCACAAGGCTGTGGTTGAGATGGCAAACAGCTTTAACCTGGGTGTGAATGAGGATGACATTGAGGAGCTCCTAGCGGTGGTTCCTGAGGAATTGACTAATGAGTTGTTGGAAATAGAACAGGGACACAGCTGAAGAAGAGGCAAGAGAAAACAAAACTGCAGAAAACCACCATCAAGAAAATTTGCAGTAGGGAGTTTAGCAGAAGCTTTTGCAGACCTCAAGAAACTCCTTAAAAAGTTTGGGCCGGGCGCGGTGGCTCACTCCTGTAATCCCAGCACTTTGGGAGGCCATGGTGGGAAGATCACGAGATCAGGAGTTCAAGACCAGCCAGACCGACATGGTGAAACTCCATCTCTACTAAAAATACAAAAAAAAAAAAAAAAAAGCCTGGGTGTGGTGGCACGCACCTGTAATCCCAGCTACTAGGGAGGCTGAGGCAGGAGAATCACTTGAACCTGGGAGGCAGAGGTTGCAGTGAGCCGAGATCGTGCCACTGCACTCCAGCCTGGGTGACAGAGCAAGACTCATCTCAAAAAAAAAAAAAAAAAAAAAATTGAAAACATGGACCCCAACACCAAAAGGTTTTCATTAATAGAGAGGAATGTTCATGGTGCATTATTTGTTTACTGGCAAATCTATGATGAAAAAAGGAAATACCAAGCAAACCACCATGGACATATTTCTGAAAAGAGGGACACCTCCTTAAGAAGAGTCCCAGGCAGGTCCTTCATGGGTATTTCAGAAGAGGGCATTGCTATCATAGGAGATGACAGCTCTGTGCATGTTACTGCCCGGGAAGACCTTCCAGTGGGACAAGATGTGAAGGTGGAAGATGATGATATTGATGATTCTGACCTGTGTATGCCTAGGCTAATGTACTTGTGTCTTAGTTTTTAACAAAAAGTTGAAGTAAATAATTTAAAAGAAAAATGCTTATAAAAATAAAATATTTTTGTATAGCATTACAGTGTGTGTTTTAATCTAAGTGTTATTACAAAAGTCAGAAAATTTTAAAAGTTTAGTAAAAAGTTAACATTAGGTTAACTTATTGAAGAAAGAAATTTTTAAGTAAATTTAGTTTACTCTAAGTGTACAGTATTTGTAAAGTCTACAGAAGTGTACAGTAGTATCCTAGGCCTTCACATTCACTCGCCACTCACTCACTGACTCATCCAGAACAACTTCCAGTCCTGCAAACTCCATTCATGGTAAATGCCCTATATAAGCATACTATTTTTTATCTTTCATACCATATTTTTACTGTACCTTTTCTAAGTTATTTTTAGATATACAGATACCATTTTGCTACAGTTGCCTACAGTATTCAGTACAATAATACACTGTACAAGTTTGTAGTCTAAGAGCAGTGGGCTGTACCACATAGTTAGGGTGTAGTAGGGTGTATATCATATAGCCTAGGACTATACCACAGAGCCTAGGATGTACTTAGACTTGCCATCTAGGTTTGTTTGAGTACACTCTATGATATTCACGCAACAATGAAATCACCTAACAATGCCCTTTTCAGAACTCTCCATTGTTAAGCAGCACAGGACTGTATTGTAATGCTGGTTGCTGCCCACTGCTATGAGTTTAGCCCTCCAATTAAGTCAGGAACTGGCCCTCTCTTGGGTGTGGATTTATAGTCCCCAACACTAGAGGGTCAATTTTAGAGATTTTTAACAAACTGGAAGGTTGACTTTCAAAATGTCTCCAGTTCCTTCTAGGTCAATTCCAGCATGAGATATACTTTATCTTTCAATCACTAGTAGGCAAAAAAGGGGTGCTAGGAATCAGTCACTGGCTTGACTTCTGGCAACAAGGAAAGCCTGAGGTGAATTACAGTTGCAACATCTGTCAGCTCAAACTGCATGGCGTCCGTCACAAGGAGTTGAAATTTCAAAGTGTAATAATTTTTTTAAGTATAAGAATAAAAAATGTCCATCCAAAGTATAAGAAAATCCTTCTTACCAAATCCCCCTTCTTTTGGCAAACACCAGGGCCCTTTTCCTTGTTAAAACAGCCTATTTTAACAAAGGCAAGGTGTAGGGTGTGCACAGAAGCCCAGACATTCATGAAAGCAACTGCTAATCTTGTGTGTTTACACAATAAGCATCTGAAATGAGCTGTGTGACTCCTTGGTTTTGGTTTGCATGAGACTTAGCATCTGTGTGAAACTGCTAGTTGTCTTGGGCAGACACCTGGCGAAGGATTGCAGGCCTGAAAATGAAGGGAAGTTAATTTTTTACTAGAACAAAAGTTCTAGTAAAAAGGGTTTTGCTTTGGACATAAGGGCAAAGCAGAACTAAGTGGTGAAAGGACCAAAACACCTCTGCCTGAATGGAGACGGTGGCCAGGGAAGTGACCACTGCAGCTGTGCATGGCTCGGTGTGGGCTACAGGCGGAGTATCAGGGAGACAGTAAATTGAATGGAGCGATGTCCACCCCTGGTGTGGGCTGTGGTGTCCAGACTCAGCAGCCACTCAATGCCCACAGCCCAGTCCCTTCTCCACTTACTGCATACCTATGGGCAAACTTCTTAAACTCTCTGTGCCTCACTGTCCCTGTCTATAAAATGGTGATATTAACTATCTAAGGGATGCAGTGAGGATTGAGTAAAACACATTAAGAAGAGCACTGCACAGAGTAAGTGCTTAGTAACTACTGTATAAAATAAAACAATTATTATTAACTTGCTTTCCTGCTCTGAGACATGGCCTAACAGTAACTTATCTCTAGGGCAGGTCAGCAGGGGATAACCTGTACAGCCAGAGAAACTGAAACTACCAGGTTTCTCTGGGGGTGGGTGTTGGGGGAGTCCAGGGACTGGATGAAGTTAATGTCTGCTGGAAGGTGGGAAGGGCCAAGGGTTTACTCTGCCACTCATTTTAGAAGAGCTGCGCCATTCAGGGAAGTGGCAGAGGTAGAAATTAGAGAGTAGAGAGATCCATGTACTACCAGAGGCCAAGCAGCTCTGGGTAGAGACTGGTCTCTGCCCCACAGAGTTATTCTTTGATTCTCCACTCCTTGGCCTGCATACTGGTTATTCTTGTCTGCACCCCAGATCCATCATCTACCTCATTGCCCTGGGGCAGAGATCCCTGTGGGTGGCATCACCCTGGGTCCCTTACTTCTGGCTTCCTAGTGGGATGCACTGGTATGTCAGAGGGAGGCATGAGAATGGGACGGGGTACTTCTGTCTGCTACCATGGTTCTGGCAGTGGCTGTGTCCCTCTGTAACCACAGCTGCATGGCTCCAGCTACACCATTTCCTTCCGTGCCCTTTCAAGCTAGGAGTGGCAGAGGCTCTAGTTCTTGCTGGTATCTGGTGTCTCCCCATCCCCTCCCCAAACCTCTGTAAATCACCCTTTCATTAAACTCTCTCCTTCCTGCCAGGTCCCAGCAGACTAATAATTGCTGGCAACTAGGGGATCTGGAGAGCTGCACTGTATATTTTATTTACTAGACCAGGCTGCATGACATTTTAAGCTAAGCACTGCTTAGTGATGGGGGAAGCACAAACCTGTTCTTTATTAACAAAACATCCACACTGCAAAAGGAGCCAGTGCTAGGAAGGTTTTCAGACTAGCTGTACCTTACATCTCACACAGCATGAACATTAGCAAGCACCCAGAGTGTCACTGGCATGCCTTCCATCTATCAAGCCAAGACAGTACACTGTTCCCAACATGCTTCATGCTTTCCAGACAAGTCCTTCTCCTAGACACAACTCCTCTCCCATCAGGTTTTGGGACTCCTACTCACCCTTCGAGGTTGGCTTGAATGCCACTTTTTTCATGATCCACCCCAAATCAAAGCAGCATCCACCCTCGTCTGAACTTCCCTGCAATTATCCTCAGCTGTCCTCCCGCTCAGCATGTTCTGCCTTGTGGTGGTCTTACTTCCCCTGCTGGATTGTGTTAAGAGAAGGACCAGGTCTCATTCCCTGTGGGCCCCTTAGTTCACCTAGCAAGGTGCCTTTTACATAAAAGGTGCTCAGTAAATTGCTGAATGAATGGACAATGACTAAAGAGCGTCTTTGACCTACTTCAGCTGAGCAAGGTCACCTGTGGTAGGTACCAAAGTCTGAGAAGAACCAACTGGATTTCCCCACCTGCCTCCCACGTGGTCTCCCTTGTCTCCTTTTCCTCCTCTTTGTCCGTCTACCCTGAGTTCCCATCAGCTTCATTCTCCCAACACTTCCCTCCTCCGTCTATTAGTCCTCATTCTGACAATGGCTTCAAAGCTCTGAAATCACAAGTGGCAGAGAGAAGAGAGCTCAAAGCCCCTCATGTCCAACTCCTGTCCTGCACAGGTGTGGAAAATGATGCTCAGTGGCTTGCCCAGGGTTAACCTGGTACACGAAGCCCAGTACCGTGGGCAGGGCTTGGCCTTGGTTGGTACCACCCACACACCGGGGCTTTTGTCCTGAAACTTCTCACCTCCCCATGTGCCTGTCAAGCCTGCCACTCCTAGTGACTGTACAGCCAGTCTCTCCCCTCACTGGGGCCCACCTGGAGGCATTCCTTGTTTGCTTAGTCCCCTCCCTGGGCTGTCCCTCATCCACCTACTGCCAACCCATTCTCCCAGAGCTGGCCCACTAAAGCTTCACCCATTTCCCCTCCCTGCTGATCTTGCTATCTCTGCACACAATTCAGCACTTTAATCTCAGCTTGTCACCTACTGTCCTTTACTCATTTGTGTGTTTACTGTGTATGTATCTTGTCTCTCCAAAGACACCAGGAGGCCCTTACAGGAGCCTACCTTAGCCTGAGAGCTAGGTTGGTGACAAGGGCTCAGCTTGCTCTCATGTGGATTCAGTGCTGGACCTGAAGCCCTGACCCATCAGCACTGGGCTCTGACCGGGGAAGTTGGCTGGTATTTCTTCCAGGCATGCTCCCAGGTACCAGGCACTAGGCAACCATGAGGGGCCCTTCAGGACATGCTCTGCCTCTGACTGGTTGGGTCATCTCAGATGATTTGCAAAACTCTGAGTTGATTTCCTCACCCTGGAAAGGTGGGAGCCCTGGCCGAAGGCCTTTCCATACTGGGTGCAGCAATAGGGCTTCTCCCCCGTGTTGCTCTACCAGTGAACCAGGAAGCACGAGCTGCAGCTGAAGGTCTTGCCACCCTATGGGCACATGTGTGGCTTCCACCCTGTGTGCACGACTAGGCTTGGTCCCTGACTGAAGGCCTTGCCACATGTGCCACAGACAAAGGGCTTCTTCCCCATGTGTACCCTCTGGGGCTAGGTCAGGTGGGAGCTCTGCATGAAGGCCTTGCCACACTACCCACACCCACACGGCTTCTCCCAGGTGTGGATTATCTGATGCACGATGAAAGTGGAGCTCTGGCTGAAGGCCTTGCCATACACAGTATATGCTTAAGAGATTCCTGCTAGGGGCAGCCAGGCTGGAGTTGTGGCAGACCTCTTTCCTGAGTTCCTTATAGTTCCGGCCCCTCTCTCCTGGGAGACCTCTTTTCTTTTGTTGGGGCCTGCCTGGTGTCTGGCTTGTCTCTCCTCACTTGCTTGTCTGCAGGCTGTTCCGAATGCCCTGTTCCCCTACTTCCCACTTTTCATGCTTCCAGTCTTCCAGAGAATTCTCCTTTCACATTTGTTTTTTCCGGAATCAAATCTGCCTTTTCAACTTTGGTCTTGATATCTAAACAAGACATAGAAGATAACAGATATAACAAAAGCAAATAAAAATAGAATCAGCTTTATATTCTAGATGGGAAACATGAAACTATAGTGGGATTTGAGGGAATTCAATAAGTAACACCCTTCTCTTCAGAGGCAATATAGCATTGAGACCAGGGGTGTGGTCTCTGGGGCCAGACTGTCTGAGACCAAATCCTGTCTTTGCCATGAACAGTTATGTGACCTTTCTGTACCTCAGTTTCCTACCTGTAAAATGGATTAATACTAGTACCTATGTCATAGTGATGTTGTAAGAATTAAATAAGTCAATGCACATGTACAATGTACATGAGTCAAATACAATGTACATGAAGTGTTTAGCTAGGTATTAGCTATTATTATAATTTTATACTCAATATTCGAACCAACTGAGAAATAATATGGGGAGACCAACATATCACTTTTATTAGTGAAAGCCTGATATTGGTGAATGTGGCTGTATCTGCAGGCAAGTGGGGTTATGAATCCCAGGATTAGGCAGCATTAGCCACCCAAGGACATAGTGCTGGCTGCCATGGGTTTGCTCCTGAAACACCTGCAGCACAAACGGCCAGGATGGAATGCATGGTTTCTGTGAAGATGCCAGACCCCAAGGGAGAAGTGGGAGGAGGACTGGCTTTCCAAAACTCACCAGTCAAATAAAATCCCTTTTTGTAGTGTGGCAAGAGTGTGTGAGGATCAGAGTAAGGCCCCAAGTGTTACACCAGTGAGCTTCCTGAAATATCTGGGATAGGAAGCACAGTACTTACAATCATAATTGTCCTGTATGTATACTATGGTTTCAGAGCATGGGTAGAGAAAAAGAAAAGAAAGAGTAGTCAAAACAAAACAAAACAACAACAAAAAAATGCATTCTGGGAAAGAGCCAGGGATGGCACTGTCACCAAACATTTGTCTGATGAGGGCAATGCCTGCATGCATAAAGACTGCCAAGCTGAGAGGAGGAGACAGAGGCGACTTGGAAACTGGCCAAGGCAGCAAGTGGTGGTCAGAGATGGGCTGGGCTGTGGACATGGCGTCCTGGGAGTCACAGAGCTTGACCAAGTCAACTTCCTGGCTGGAGAGAGGCAGGATGAGAACTTGTGACTCAAGAGAGAATTCAGAGATCTATCAGATAAAGTGGGGAAAGGGAGAACAAGGGTACTGCACAGAGGGAAGGGTGTTGAGGGCTGCCAGGTTTGGCAGTAGGGGAGGCAGAGAGATGTGGCTCCCTAGCCTCACAATCCGCGAGCTCAGTCCAGGCAGGAAGAGAAAGCACAAAGAAGCAGGGCAAGCCAACCCTCTGAAGTGTGGGGAGGGACACATGCAGGGCCCTTTCCTCCCCCTAAGCTACAGGAAATACAGCAGGAAAGAAGGACGCTGTTCTAGGAGGTCCAGGAGGAGCAGCTCAGGCTTTTGCTTCCAGGAGGCCTGAAGAAACAGAGGAGTGTGGAAATGCTAAATAGCAGAGCACTGTCCCAAGGGCAGAGATGGCCATGGTCCACTCTAGGCCCTAGCCCTCCAGTTAAGATCTTGATATGATTTGGCTATGTCTCCACCCAAATCTCATCTTGAATTGTAACTCCCACAATTTCCATGTGACATGGGAGGAACCCGGTGGGAGGTAGTTGAATCATGGGGGCAGGTCTTTCCTGTGCTGTTCTTGTAATAGTGAATAAGTCTCACGAGATCTGGCAGTTTTAAAAACGGGAGTTTCCCTGCACAAGCTCTCTCTTTGCCTGCCACCACCCATGTAAGACGTGACTTGCTCCTCCTTGCCTTCCGCCATGATTGTGAGGCTTCCCCAGCCATGTGGAACTCTAAGTCCATTAAACCTCCTTTTTTTTTTTTTTTGAGACGGAGTCTCGCTCATCGCCCAGGCTGGAGTGCAGTGGTGCAATCTCTGCTCACTGCAAGCTCCACCTCCCAGGTTCACACCATTCTCCTGCCTCAGCCTCCCGAGTAGCTGGGACTACAGGCGCCCGCCACCACGCCTGGCTAATTTTTTGTATTTTTAGTAGAGACGGGGTTTCACCATGTTAGCCAGGATGGTCTCAATCTCCTGACCTCGTGATCCGCCTGCCTTGGCCTCCCAAAGTGCTGGGATTACAGGTGTGAGCCACCGCGCCCGGCCTAAGCCTCCTTTTCTTCCCAGTCTTGGGTATGTCTTTATCAGCAGCATGAAAGTGAACTAATACAGATCTTTTCTCCTATTCCCCAACCCTCTTCTTGGCTTCCTTGAACTTTCTGGTTGTACTCATGCTCTTCAACAAAGATTTCCTATCTCTGTATCTTTCCTCTCACCTTCTGCATGGCTTGGAATACCCAATCCTTGTCCTCTAAAACTGCTCATCCATCCACCCACCCATTCATTCATCCATCCATCCACCCACCCACCCATCAGGCCTGGCTCAAGTCACCTCTCCTTTAGGAAGCCTTCTCCCATCCTTCCCACAGCTCCCAGTGACTGCTCCCTCCTCTATCCTTGACTACCTCTGCCATCCATCCCCATTTCTTTGGCAATGACCTTACATGTTTTGGTGAATTAGATTTCTCTTTCCCATGTATCCATCTTATCTTCACAACTAGGCTGTGTGTTTCTCCAGGGCAACATCTGAATCCTATCAGCCCTGTAGCATTCTTAACCTGGTGCACTTGTGCTAGTATCTGTGAAGGCACCATTCTGGTTGGCACAGTCCCTGTCCTCACATCTGCCAACAAATAAAATATGTTTATCCTGCCTCCCTTGGGCCCCAGAATTAGCACTAGTGCACATCTGGCAAAATGCTCAGGATGGCTCTGAATGACTGGTTTTGGCGTGAAGGTCACCCTGAGGACCACTATGCTTGCCAGACAGCCACAGCTAACCAAGGGGAAAGAATTTTGGGGGGTTTGGCTCTTTGGGGGAGTTATTACAAAGAATTTGGGATCATGACCCAGGAAAACAACCTAGGCAAGTTCTTTGTCTAATCAATGTGAAATTGTGGTGCCATGATGGGCTGGCAATGGGTGTTTGGTAGACAGAACCCTTGTGGCCTCCAGCCTGGCCTGGCATCTGCAGCCAGGTCTGCTCACAGAGCTGGGGGACACATTCTCTCTGGTGCTTTCCTCCACGGACAGCTCAGCACCTTGGAGTAATTCACAAAGAGATGTCTGCTAACTGACCAGGAGGGAAATGGCTTTTCCCAAGACATACAAAACCTGTCTGGCAGCCTTGGGGATGGCTAGGCCCTGAAGCCTGGATTCTGAGAGGTGCACTCTGCTGAGAGTATCAGAGGCCCACATTTCTGAGGTGTGGTGGTTAAGGCCAGGTGGAAAGTGGCCTTACCCAGGCTGGCTGAAGCCTCTCAATTCAGCCCTAGCAGCATTTCTCCAACAGTGGCCCTTGGGGCAGGGAACACATGGGTCCCAGGCAGCAGGTAGCCTTAGAGGGCTGAAGTCAGAGGAAGCTCCGGCCCTACTCTCAGGGTGCCTTTCTCCCAGAGCTCATGCTGTTGTCACCAGGCTAGTACTGAGACCTGGAAAAAAAAATTCTGGAGACAAGTCCACTGATGGCCTTGGGAGGGGAAGCTAAAGAAGGTCACAGTGCTGACCCTACCTTCTCCACCCCTTTTGCTGGTGGGCAGTGGCAAGAACCCATAGTAAGTAAAGGTAAACTTTCAGGGAGGGTCTGGTGTTTAAAGGCAAAAAAGACTGAGTGGTCATCTCCAGGATGGACCCTGGCCCCATGCAGCCCACAGAAGCATCCCTCCCAAAGAGCATCCCTTCTCTTCTTGGACAATGACCCCACCCTGGTTAATAACCACAGCGATGTCAAATGACTGAACTGTTTACAGCCCTGTCCTGTCCGAGTCTCCTTTGATGCATACCACCCAGTGAAGCTGGCAGGGCAGGAAATGTTGCTTCATTTGACAGGCAAGGACATTGACTTCTCTGAGGTGACCTAACCAGTCAGAAGCAGAACAGGTCCTGAAAGGCCCCTCATGGCTGCCTGGTGCTTGGCATTTGGTAGCAGCTGGGCAATTGGACACTGAGTGAATAGGAGAGAATGAAATTAGCCTGGTGCATCTCTCACACCTAAGGGCCATGCCTTACCTGGGAATAAGGAATGGCTTATGAGAAAGGTGGCTTATGAGTCGCAGCCCTACCCTGGCAACCCCTGGTCCTTTCACCACACTCTTCTAGGGCCAGCCATATTCCCACCTCTCACCTTTGGTTGTGGCCCACCAAGCTAAGATGGGAAATGCCAGCCCTTAGCCCTGGTGGGGGTGTTCCCAAGGCAAGAGCCACTGGCCCGGGGCTGCTCCTCCTTCAGGCTTACAGGGCTCATCCTCATCTGTGTGCACCTCACTCTCATTCGAACCTGTGATGGAAGAGAGAAAACCCTTTGGTTCTTTGGGATCATCAGGTGTCACCTAAAGGGACAGTAAATACTGTTCGCCAGAGACCTGGCCCATCCCAGGAGGATTATCAGCTCCTTAGGGAGGCAGGGGCATCTTGGGACCAGGCCCCTGTGAATGCAGTTCATGACCGTGGGCACCTATTCTTTCAAAGGCCTAGCTTTGCCCACCAGGGTGGAAGAAGGAAAGGTGCTCCAGCCCACCCCAGCCTCTGGAAGCCACTCTGGCCTCCACAGCTGTCTGGGACCAGAGACCATCCATCCTGCTCCTTCCTCACAGGGCTTGTGTTGGGGGAACAGGTGTGGTCCAGACCCTGCCAGAGACTCTTATTTCCAGAGAAAACTCCCCATAGCTTCTTCTGGCCCAAGGGGTCACAGAACTATTTGGCTCCTTCTTCAGCACGGTGGCCCCTTAGGCTCTATTCTAAACAGATTCTCCCCCTTGGGACCTGAGTGGTGACTTCATGTCTCGCCTTCCTCAGACAAGGCCTCTGCTTATCATCCGCTAAGCATCCACCACAGAACAAGGCTCTGGAAGCACGGCCGAGGCCCATGTGTAAGGCAGTCAGGGGCAGGCACCCCACGCTGCACTATGAAAGTAAAATGTTTTCCAATCAGGTAAGGCTTGGTTTTCTTTTATCCATGTCTATCCTGTCCTCCAGAAGGCCACAGCAGGCCTGTGCAACCAGGCAGCCTTTCAATCATTACAAAGCCATTTCCTACCCCTCATTTCACCCCAGCCTCACAATGGCAAGAGAGGACTTACGTTAGAGAGCTTAGGGATCTGTCCTGGGTTGGGAGGTGAGGAACAGGGCCAGCCTAGAATGCCCTCTTCCCCACCTGCCCTCAGGAGTATGGTCTGGTTTCTGCCCTGCCCACCTAAGGCCAGAGAAAGCAGTGGGCAGCACGAGGGTCCCAGGGTCCTGGAGGAAGCCACCCTTTTCCTCCCTGGCTCTTCCCTGAACTGGGCTCCTCCTCCAGGCCACCACATCTGATCCTGACTCCTACCCTTGCTGCCCACCTGCACATCGCTGCTCTTCTCCTTGCACATTCCCGATTCTTCCCCCATCCCCATAGCTGCAGCCTCCTCCTTCGCCTCCCACATCTCAAGCTCCAGCCCTTCCTTCTCTTTCCTTCCCCCAACACACCACCCACCCCAGATTTGGGCCTGTCCCTAGCCTCCAGGCCCCCACCAGCCCCAACCCCACCCCATGCGAGGGTACAGCCCCTTCTGTTCTCCCTTTCTCGGACTGCCCATTCCTCCCTCAGCTTGCTCCACTCTTCGCTGGGCTCCCCGGACACCCTGCTTTTGACTGGCTCAGTGAGTCCGGCGAGGGCAGAAGGCCCTGGTGCAAGCTTCTTGCCCGGCTGCTCTAGGAAGTTGGGAGCTGTCTTCGTCTATGTGTTTTTCCTGCTTGGTTCCTCCACCTGGATGCCAGAGGAAAAGGGGCGGGAGACAGGGCCAAGACCTGACTCAGTCCTTATCCACAAAGAATTTCAAAGGGACCGATCTCAAAGGACTAGAAATCATGGGAGAACATATCATCTTGAAGAGGGGAAGTCCTTGATTTGATATTAAATTTTAAATATCCAAACAGCAAAATTAAGTACGACAAACAAACCTGGGAAAATATTTGCAACACATATAGCAGATAAGGATAATTTCTTTATAGTTTGTACAAATTGATTATTAAAAGGATGAACAGAAAAACTGCTAAAGAACGCAAATAAGCCAGTCACAGAAAATAAATACAAATGACTTTTAAACATGGGCTGTGGTACCCAGTTTCACTCATAGTTGAATGCAAATTAAAATATGAGAGCATTTTTCATTTATGAGATCAGAAACAACACAATAGTTTCAGAGGATTCAGGGGAATGAACATTTTCATACACACACTGGGAACTACATTTCCAATTTCTATCAAAATAACAAATGCACCTACGATTTAATTTCATCAATTTATCCAGGGACAGTGTGCGGGGATATTTGGCACAGTACTGTTTGTAATAGCAAAAGGCAGAAAAGAACCTAGAGGCCCATCAACAGGGGGACTGTATGAATTATGGTACATTCATACAATGGATATCACAAAGCAGTGAAAAAAATGAGGTAGATCTTACAGGCTAATAGAAAGCCATCTCCAAGACACTGAAAAAAGCAAGGTGTAGACTGTATCCTAAGCTTTTCATTTTTTGTGCGTGTTTCTTTAAGGGGGATACATAAGGTTGTAAATGCTGGGACTATCTTGAGGAAAAATCAAGACATTTAAAAATAGCTACCACTGGGGTAGGAGACTGGTTATGTGGACTGGGAGGGAGTCTCACATCTCTTTGTATGCTTTTGCACCACTGACCTTTTTACTACAGGCAAGAACTGCTCTTTCAATTTAACAAAGAACTCTTACATGGGGAGAGGAGTCCTTGGGGGTGCACTGAGAAGTTCACCTGGGAGAAAGGGGCACAGACTTGTACATCAGAGTTGTTCTAATCCTGACTGGGACTACTGGCTTTGCAAATGGCATAAGAGAACTTCCCTCCTCAGGTGAAGATTAAATGAGATGTAACACATTTGGCATTTAGTATGGTGCCTGGCACACAGGAACCCCTCAACTAACAGTAGTGATGATTACAACCTTGCTATTGGTTCAGTAGGGTGACTTGCCTTGAGGGAACCCCAGTCCTTGGAGGGAAAATACCAGAGATCACAGGAATCCTGGAAAACCACACATGGTACAAGTAGGGAACCTAGTCAGTGTCAAGGTAGCCTACGATAGCCAGGTAGCCTGCTATGAGTTGGGTTGTCTCCTCCCTTGTCTCCAGCCCTTCCCAACATCAGAGAGGCATTAGCCACTGTGAAGACAGGGTAGCTCCAGAGAGCTGCAAGGAAAGCAGTGCCTCTCGGACCTGGGCCTGGCCTCATTTGTCATGTCGTAGGTCTCACCAGGATGTAGAGGCCCAGACTTCTGGCTTGGGAATTTGCTGCTTGATCTTCCGTGTCCCTTAAGGTCTGCTCATTTTATCTTCAAAACATCACATCTATTCCTTCTCCTCTGGCCCCCTTCTAGTGGCTGGGTCAGAATCCCACTGTCTCTCTTGGGCTCTGAAAAAAACTGCCAATATGGTCTTCAGGATTCCTTTCTCCCCTCACCAGCTCAGCCTCCACTGTCCAGCCAGAACAATGTCACAAATATATATTCTTCTGCTGAACTCCTTCACCTGGTATTAGGTTCTTGGTAACCATAAAATGCTAACAATGGATAAAAATAGGGACCTTACTTCTCCAGACCCTTATTCTATTATTCCCCACTACCCATTTCACACTTCACAAGAAAGTCTCACCACTCTGAACAAGCCATGATCTTTCTCTTTTATTAACCTTCCCCTCCTGATCATAAAAGTAATACAGGCTCATTGTAGAAAATGTAGACTGCTGGAAATTTAACCACAGTTAACCCCCAATTTCTTTCTTTCCTATGCATGTGCATCTCAGAAAACTCAGCTCTCTGTACAGTGTTTTATTTTGTACTTTGCATCATTTATTTAATATTACTGTGTGCTATTATCATATCACTATTCTTTTAATTATGACCTTTAGTGGTTGCACAATATTCCATAGTATTATAACTTATTTAATCATTCCCCTATTGTTACTTAGGTTAGTCACTTTTTTGTGAAATGAGTAACATCGACAAGTATATAAATCATTGTACAAATATTCATTCTTAAGACAGCTTTCTAAAAGTGGTACTGCTGTATCAAAGGATATCAACATTCTTTTAAAAATGGTTTAACTTCCCCTAAAATAACAATGAGTAAAAATGGTTAAAATGTGTAACGATGAGGCTGGGCGTGGTGACTCACGCTTGTAATCCCAGCGCTTTGGGAGGCCAAGGTGGGCGGATCACCTGAGGTCAGGAGTTGGAGACCAGCCTGGCCAACATGGTGAAATCCCATCTCTACTAAAAAATACAAAAAACAATTAGCTGGGAGTGGTGGCATGCGCCTGTAATCCCAGCTACTCAGGAGGCTGAGGCAGGAGAACTGCTTGAAACCGGGAGGTGGAGGGTGCAGTGAGCCAAGATTGCCCCATTGCACTCCAGCCTGGGCAACAAGAGCAAAACTCCATCTCAAAAAAAAAAAAACTATAACAATGAGATAAAAGGAACAAATTTCTAGAAGATGGAAAATGAATGATGTGGTAACTAAGACAGCTGGGTGGAGGGAGTAACAGCTTGGAACTCTTGCTGAGGGCTATCCAATGGAAGGAGGTAGCTGATCTACCCTGCCCAACCCCGGAGACTTGGAATTTTGAAACCCCAGGTACAATGAAGGCTGGGAGGCAGAAGTGGATCTAAAAATAAGGGCATTAAATGGAAGTCTGTAATAACACTTGGCTTCCTTCCCTCCACTTCTAGAAAAGCACTTAACAGCATCTAAACCCCAGACAAAAATATCAGAGGATTTTTGCTAATTAAATGTAAGAGCCCAAGGCAAAATATTCTGTATTCTGGCATTTAGGGTTCTCCAGGGAAACAGTGGGCAAATCTCACTCCTACACACAGAGGTCTCAATTAGGCTTTTAATTCACAGACACACTCACGTGCACACGCACACGTATATGGGTGTAAGAATCACATTTGAGGAAAGTCTAATGAGAGTAAACAAGGTAAACAGAGGGAAAAAAGGACCCAGTGGCAGGGGCATGAAGGGAATGAGATAATTCATGTGACAGAAGATACTTTTAAGAAAAGGCTCTCAGAAATTAAACTAGTTATTGTTAAAATTATTACTGTTAAAAATATTATTCATTAGAAAATAATCAAGGTACTCTTCTCATAGTGGCACAATACAAAGAAATGGAAATAATGAATGCAGCTAAGGATCAATCCACAAGGTCCAACATTTGATTAGCAGGAACAGGAACTCTATAAAGAGAAAAAACATGGAAAGGGGGAATAGTCATATAAATAATGAGAAAATTTCCAAGAGTAGGAGTACCTGAGTCTGTAGATTGAAAAATTCCACTGAGCATTAGGGAACTGAATACATCAAAGATAAAGAAGAGACTTTAAAAGCTTCCAGGCATAGGGGTGGGAAAACAGATCACTGTAATGTAAATACTATTTACTGATTGTCAAATAAATAAGTATCAGATTGGAATCAGGCATCTCATTAGCAGCAGTGGATGCTGTAAGTCAGTGAAGCAGTGGCTACAAACTTCTAGGGAAATTTTTCAACCTAGAATTCCAGAGCCAGCCAAACTACCATCAAGTGAGAGGTCAGAGAAAGACACAGACACTCAACAACTCTGCCTTCCATGTACTCTTTCCTGACAGGAGACTTGACATGTACTATAATAAAATGATGAAGTAAATAAAGAAAAAGGAAGACACAGAATTCAGAAACAGTTGAGTCCAGTGTAACAACAGAATATAGGCAGAAAGGTCATCAAAAACAGACTAGAGCAGGAGGCTGAAAGCAGAATATACAGAGAGAAAAGAAGTGAATTCAACAGAGTATTTAATTGAATGGAGAATTTGAAAATGACTGTGAGTGTGTGGAAAGCAACCAGTACAAGGTAAAAAGAAAGGCAACTAGAAACTTCCGTAAAAACAAAAAGCTGATCCCAAAAGGAAATATAAACACAGTAAGCTAAGATCTGCAATCAACAATATTCAGATGGTTGTAATAATGTTCATGCTGTTTATTTTCAGCTTTTGAAATCAATCAATAACCAAACATAAAATCCTAACTGGTTACAGAATAGAATTTAAGAATTATCAGACTTGACAATGTAAGAGCCAACGACGTGGAAAAGGGAAAGGGAAAGGAAGGGAAGGGTCCCTCCAACATACCACAAAATGGAGAATTGAGATATGGTTTATAGTTAATATAATAAACTAGATATGTAAATATAATAATTATTTTTATAAAATTCTTGCTCCTTATAGAAATATAGAAATTGCTAAAACAAACAAACAAAACCCCTCTTAGTAAACCATAATCCTATTATCCAGAGTATATGGGTTTGAATGTAAGCCTGGAATTAACCGTCAGTATGGCTGTAAGTCATTTAACCACTTATAATATTTTCTTTTTTCCTTCAGGTAATTTATCTATATACTTTTAAATAGTATATAGTATATATAAAAGCAACAGTATATGAGAACTGTATTATATACACAATTTTTAATCCAGACTTTTTCACTTTAAAGCAAAAAGGTAAATCTCTGGACACATAGCATATCATGCACTTGTATATGCGTATTAATAAATATACTTCTGAATATGCCTTTAACCATAACGCAGTCAGGGGTTTCCCAGAGATGGAACTTGAACCAAATATAAAAAGAAACTAAGCTTGCAAAAGTAGAAGGGGACTGAGTGGGAAGTAGTGATGAGGTATTATAGGCACTGAGAAAAGTGTGAGCAAAGGCACAGAGAAGAGCAAGCACGTGCCTCTAGGCTGCAGTAAAAGGTGCCTGAGAGTGAAGAGATGAGGCTGGAAAGAGATTATGAAGAGCTCAGTAAATCATGTTAGGGATCCTGATATTTTTCCCATAACAGACATGACAACAGGGATAGTGGACCAGGTTTGCTTTGGCAGTCCAGAATCTAGCATGACGTTCACCACAAGGGAACACAAAATGTTTTTGTAATGAATGATGCTTAGGAAGGCAGAAATAGCTTCTGGACATTCAATCTGCGTGCCCCAGGTGGTGGGGATAATGTCATTTGATAAGGGAAGGAATCTAAGAGAAAAACAAATTTTAAAGGTTTAAAGAATGTCTGGGCAACATTCTTAGTGATTCTGTAACCTAACCTCATTTAAAAAAAAAAAAGTCACTGGTGATTATGTAATACACCCCAGATTCAACTTTAGGCTCTAAATGTATGTATTGTCTTCAGGAAGCCTGCATAACCTCCAAGTAAGCACAAGATTTAATCTGCAACGTACACTTCTTAGGGGAAGAGGATCCATAATCTTCCCAGGATTCCCAAAGGGGCTGCAACCCCAGAAAGGTTGCAGTGCCTACAATGGATGAGCAAGTGGAGAGGTGACAGACGTGGGAGAGGGACAACTACCTGAGACAGGGAGGGGATACAGAGCAGGTGAACAATTAGCTTTGTCCAAAGACACCTCTTCCTAAGCCTGGTGGAATTTATGGCTGTGTTTGAGTGTGTAACTTCGTGTTAGGGATTGAAGTCTTTCTCCTGTGCTCCCAGAGTACTGTACGTGATTTCGCCATCAGTTTTGCATCACTGTGCTCCACTTAATACATATCTGTTGGTCTCATTTGAGGATGAGGACAGATTTCCTGGCCCTACTCTTAATGCCAATCACTAGGCCTGCAACAGAGCTCTTAGCCTGACAGCTAAAAGTCTGATAGCTCTCAGCAACTTGGGAAAATGGGGCTTCAGAGTTCCCAACCACTCCTAGCAAGACTACCCAAAAAAGATGGGAGATGAGCCCAAAGAATAGGAAACTAAGCAAACTGACAAAAGGTGGTCACTCCTCCCTTATAAAACATAAAGAAAATGGCAGGCTGCAATTTATTTTGAGGACTGGAATCAGAAGGCAGAGTTATTAGCTGGGGAAGGATCTGATCTGTCTAGTAATCAATCCACTTGGCTCATATGATTTGTGCAGAATCAGAGGCCCTGAACCTGGATGCAGATTTGTGGAAACTGAGATCTGAAGAGGAAATCCAAGTAGAAATGTAAAAAGTCATAATACATACCAAAAGCATGTTATGTAAAACTTGGTTTGCTCATATAAATGTTTGGTATATTCACTTAAATACAAATAAAATAAGCTAGGTGGCAGAATCCTCTAACATCCAATGGTTGGCAGAGGCACTGATGGACACCTAGTTCAGCTAGTGTAAAGTAAGTCTCCTGTTCTGCTAAAAATACATAGAATGCTTTGCACGTACAGATCCTTATACTGGAGCACCCCCACCCCCTCCACCTTTGATCACACACATTCTTGGCCTGCAGCCTTTACTTTTTGCTACAGTGGCTCATAACCTTTGCTTGTCATTGTAATCCCCTCCAGAGTTTTAAAAAATACAGAGGTCTAGAAATGGAAATTTTAAAAAAGTGCCCAATGTGATTCTAACATGAAGCCAAGGTTTAAAACCACTGCTTTACTGCAAGGTTGGGTCAGTGAATCTCAAACCTAGTTTTGCATCATAATCCCCTGCGTAGCTTTTCTGAACTACCTATGAGTGAAAATCACAATCATCCATAACTGAATATTATGAGGATAAACATATGTGATGGTAGAATGGTTTAACTGTCTTAATGGTCATAAATCCCAGCAGGTATTCTTTAAGCAAAGTAGTTTCTGTCTCTTGGTGGGTCAAGGTCACAGAGTTTTCTCAAATCTTCAGACCTGCTCTCCTGATATTCTCAGCTTCCTGATAAGGCAGGGGGAAAAAACTAACTTGTTCCTACTCTCAGCAGAGACAGGGGGTGGTTTATTTGGGTCTCTCCATTCCATCAGGGAGACTGGAACAGTCACTGTTAGGATTGGTGAGGGCATGAGTATTTGATCCTACTTTTGAATCCTTTTGATTTCTTGTATTTGTGTCTCTATGATTTAGAGTGAAACTGGGAAAGTAAGTTGCATATGTTTTGGAAAAAAAACTAGAGGAGGGAGGAAAAAGGAAATTAATAAGCTTTCTTGTGTATGCCTTCTGTATGTGAAAGTGCACTGTAGGCCAGGCATGGTGGCTCGTGCCTGTATTCCTGACACTCTGGGAAGCCGAGGCAGGTGGATCACCTGAGGTCAGGAGTTTGAGACCAGCCTGGCCAACATAGTGCAACCTCGTCTCTACTAAAAATACAAAAAAGGCTGGGCGCAGTGGCTTACTCCTGTAATCCCAGCACTTTGGGAGGCCAAGGCAGGTGGATCACGAGGTCAGGAGTTCAAGAGCAGCCTGACCAACCCCACTGCTACTAAAAATACAAAAATCAGCTGGGGGTGGTGGCGTGCACCTGTAATTTCAGCTACTCAGGAGGTCGAGGCAGGAGAATCACTTGAACCCGGGAGGCGGAGGTTGCAGTGAGCCAAGATCGTGCCACTGCACTCCAGCCTGGGCAACACAGCAAGGCTCTGTCTCAAAAAAAAAAAAAAAAAAAAATTGGCCAGGCGTGGTGGCATGCACCTGTAGTCCCAGCTACTCGGGAGACTGAGGTAAGAGAATTACTTGAACCTGGGAGGCAGAGGTTGCAGTGAGCCAAGATTGTGCCACTGCACTCCAGCCTAAGACTCCATCTCAAAAACAAAACAAAACTAACACACAAAAGAAGTGCTCTGTAAACTAGAAAACACTATGTGATTAATATTTAGTCTTGCAGAAATGTGATAATAAATGCATGGGACTTCTGCATGAGAGCTGCATCAGGCTCAGCATTTATGATAAATGCTCTTGCATGCCCTGAGGCATTGGAACAGCATGGAGGGACAGAGCCAGAAATCAGGAGACCCAAATTCTAGTCTTAGGTTTGCTGATTTCTGGTCACAGTGCCTAAGGCACACTCCAAACATCTGTCACATCAGCTTCCTCACCTGAAAAATGGGACTACACACCCCTTTCTTTGTCTCCCCTACAGGTCTGCATGGGGATTACAGGTGTTTGGCAAGTGGCATGGCAGAACAGAGAATCTAGATTCAGGACCTGGACTTGGATATAAGCTGTCACTTGTTACTTGGCCTTGCACTAAATGACCATTCTCAGGTAAATGGGCAACCACCTGTTTCAGTGTTGTAAGGACTGAGGTAGGTGATCTATGTGAAAGCGTGAGATACGTGCCAGGTATCATGATCAATACATAAGGGTACACAACAAAGAATAAAAGTTCTATATAAATACAAGGCAATATTATTACATAACTCTACCTATTGCATAGTTTTATAAATCATTTTTCCAGGAGTAAAGGCTGAATGGTAACAAAGATATCTTACCTTGGCCAGTTTCTTCATCCTTCTAAAAGTTTTTCATATTCCAATACCTCTGAATTTCTCAAAAAATCAAATTAAGACCTTAGGAATCTTATTTCCACCTCCCCTCTCCCATCACTTTCCCTCTTTGGTCTTCTCAGAATGAGAAGAGCTCCACTATTTCTTCTAAACACCATCCAGAATGTGAGAATGAAACCCAAACTGAGACCCCTGGCTGGACTTGAGCAGAATGACAGCAGAGACAACTGGGGCATGCCTCTAGGCAAGCTTTATTCTTTGACTCCTTCATCCAGGAAGGGGCTGTTAGTTGCATCTCACCCAAATGGAATGCGATGGGAATTGGGGGCTTGAGTTGTTTGGAGAAGGAGCTGTTGATCTTGGCAAATGAATATAGCTGGTGTGTGGTGTCCATCAATCCTTGAGTGCTTGGCCATGGAGACTAGGGAATGGTCAGAACAGACCCAGAGGTCCCCAGATCTTTACAATACCAAGGTTCAGGAGGTATAGACAGTAAGGAAAAAGTCCATTTCCTATTTCTGTCCATTTTCAGTAAAGTTTTTGTTTTGACTGGCTTTTAAAAAATTACCTAGGAAATGGAAAGCTTATAAACATTCGTAAGTGAATTGTTGAACTGCTACCCCAAGTGGTTTCCTTACCCAGTCACCACTTAACCAGAAATATTAGAATACACGGTTCAACCAGAATTCAACCAGGCAGATAACCTGCCTGTTGCTCAAGCAATCATCAGAGTTTTAAAAAACAAAATTAAGCAAAAAAGACCTTTCCCCAAATAGCATCATTACCACTTAGCTTTGTACGACCCATTCCTAGGAAAGCCACATTCCACTTCAGAGAACATGACCGCTTAAGGTACAGTTAAAACAAAGTCCTTGCCTTTAGGTGCTTACTTTTTGTTTTAAATTAGCCTCTGAAATGCTTTTCTTGTGTCTTCTGCTGCATTCCTGAAAACTATAACTTTTAAGGACACAGCCCTCACTTTTATAGAGGAGGAAGAAAACAGCAAAGAGGTGTCTCATTAGGGAGGCAGAAGGTTATGACCAATGCTGGAGGTCTTCCTCTTCCTTACTTGTTATTCAACAAGATGGGTTCTATGGTGTCGCATGAGGTGTGAGTTGGAAATGAAAGCTGCACCACACTTCTCACATTCATAGGGCTTCTCCCCAGTGTGGGTTCTCTGGTGCACGGTGAGGCTCGACCTCTGTCTGAAGGCCTTCCCACACTCATTACATGTGTAAGGTTTTTCTCCATTATGAATTCTCTGATGAATAAGTAGGTATGAGCTACATGTGAAGGCCTTCCCACATTCATTACACACGTAAGGAAGATCTCCACTGTGAATTCTCTGGTGGACAATAAGGCAAGAGAGCTGACTGAAGGCTTTCCCACATTCGCTGCAGTCGTAAGGTTTCTCTGCAGTGTGAATTCTCTGGTGCACAATAAGGTGTGAAAAACAACTAAAGGCTTTCCCACACTCTTTACACTCATATGGCTTCTCACCAGTATGGCTTCGCTGATGTACAATAAGATTTGCACTCTGGGTAAAGGCTTTGCCACAGTCGTTACAGGCAAAGGGCTTCTCCCCAGTGTGGATCCTCTGGTGGACAATGAGGTTTGAGCTCCTAGTAAATGTTTTCCCACATTCATTACATTCATAGCATTTTTCCGTAATGTGGACTTTCTGGTGCCGAGCAAGTTGTGAGCTGTAACTAAAGGCTTTCTCACATTCATTGCACTTAAAAGTTTTTTCTAAGGAGTGGATTTTTTGATGTACAGTCAGATTTGAACTCTGAGTGAAGGCTTTCCCACATTTTGAGCAAACATAAGGTTTCTGTCCAGTGTGGATTCTCTGATGCACAACGAGGTTTGCACTCTGAATGAAGGCCTTCCCACACTCATGACATTCAAAGGGTTTCTCTCCAGTGTGGATTCGCTGATGCACAACGAGGTTTGCACTCTGACTAAATCCTTTCCCACACACGCTACACGTAAAAGGCTTTTGTCCAAGCTGGGTTTTTGGATTTTTAACAGCGCCAGAATTAAGGCTATATTTTCCTCCAGATTTCTTACATTTCTGGTTTTCCTCTTCTTTGAAGCTTTCAGGTAAGTGACAGTCATTCACTATCACTTGTCTGAAATCTTTCTTTTCTCTCTTTATTCTCTGCCTCTTTAACATGTTTCCCTTTTCACAAGCTTCTCCTAACTCAGGTCCTTGAGGATCAGCTTTCTGGATTCTTTCTGATATGATGAGGGGTTTTTCAGCTTCCTCACATATCTCAGTTTTTGGAACCAGTAACTGTAGGTTCTTGGTTTCAGCACCTGAACCAAGAAACAGAAAATACAAATGTTAGCTTTCTCTGGCCTAGAAAAAGAATAGGATCATCAAGTCATAAAACGAAGTATGTGATTTCAGCACCTCCACAAAATGGCTTCATCAAAGAAGAGAATCCCATCACATGTTACCTCTCCTCTCTAGGTTCTTCAGCTGGGGCTTTGCCCTCCCCTCTACCTATGGCAGAACCCACTGACTCGTGGTCTTTCCAGCACTTCCACTTGCCTCCATTAGACACTTAACCCCGCTGCCCGCTGCCTCATGCCAGGGAGGGCCAATCTCCAGACAGTGCTCCTGCTGGCTGTATGATGACTGCCCTTGCAACAAAGACCAGTTATGAAGGACACAAGCCTCTCCCTAGGCTTGCCTTCTTACCTTAGCTACTTAGTGTGGATTTGCTTGCAACCCACCAGTTAATTAGGGTGATTTGCTACCTGTAAACAAAGATCTAGCAACTGAGGTTTCTGTGTCTGAGGATGCTGGATATCAAAGAAAGGATAAGCACGGACAGAAAGGGTAACACTGGCTGCCAAGACAGCCACAGCAGCCAAAACCATATGAAACACTGCGAGGTCCTGCAGCATACAGGTTAAGAACATGGATTCTAGAGCTAGACTGCCTGGTTTCAAATCTCTGCTCTGACACTAACTAGCTCCATGACTTTGGGCTACTTAACTCCTGTGTGCCTCAGTTTCCCAATCTCTAAAACAGGGATACTAATAGTATCTACCTCATAAGGCCATGAGTAGATTAATGGAGTTACTCTATGTCAACTACTCAGATATTGCCTGGAATACAGTCAGTGCTCTGAATGTGTGCAGCAACTTTCAGGCTGACTGATGATGTTGTGAGGGGCCAGAAGGAAAGATGAACCCTTAGGGGAGGGGAGCTGCTATGGTGATAGACAGCTACACTAGGAGAATAAAAAAAGAAACTGTACATGGCAAACTCTTACCCTTGTGTCAGGGGAACAGCTTAGCATTGTGTCAAGGAAAGCTGACCTTGTTGAGTTATGGCATAGCCTGCTCCACAATGCCAGAAAATATCATGAGAACTTCAAAACACCCTGAAGCTTTATGACACTGATTAGTCTCTGGATGCTTTACATTGCTTCAGAACCTAATGGTGTCAAAAAGGGGTCCTGCTATCAGTAACATCATAGTTCTTTATGTTTGTCTCCTCTGCACACTCACTTTCCTTAACCTTGAAATGTGCACCCATGTAATCCAGTTTTGGCACAGTGAACCCTTAAGAAGTGTTTGTCAATTAAACCAAGCTCAAGAAATAAGGCAAGTGAAATAAAGGGTAACAGGAATGGGTGGCAAGCCTGTAGAGGAGGGAGGTATTCCCACTGGTGATGTCAGCTCAGAAATAAGCAGTGGTGCTGTGAGCTTCAGGTTATAACTGCTGCTACTGCGCAGGGGAGAGACTAGCACCCATGAGAGGGAAATATTCTATAGGATGACCATCCAACCAATGATATGAGTGGGTGGGACAAGGATGTTGGGGTGGTACAAAGCAATATTGGGGGCAGGAAAACAGCCTGGTTTGATTGCCTGGTTAAGACTATGGTAATCTGAAATTCTATCACAATCATTCAGACAAGATGAGCAGTGTCAGAGGAAAGAAATGCCCAAGTGCTGGATACAGTAGAGCCCCAGATATGACAAACAATAAATATCTGAAATGCTGGCCAGGCACAGTGGCTGATGCCTGTAACCCCAGCACTTCGGGAGGCTGAGGCAGGCAGATCACCTGAGGTCAGGAGTTTGAGAACGGCCTGGCCAACATGGTGAAACCCCGTCTCTACTAAAAATACAAAATTAGCCAGGTGTGGTGGTGCATGCCTGTAGTCCCAGCTACTTGGGAGGCTGAGACAGGATAATCACTTGAACTTGGGAGGTGGAGGCTGTACTGAGCTGAGACTGCACCACTGCACTTGCACTCCAGCCTGGGCCAGACAAAGCAAGACTCTATCTCAAAGAAAAAAAAAAAAAAAAGCCGGGTGCAGTGGCTCATGTAATCCCACCACTTTGGGAGGCTGAAACGGGTGGATCACCTGAGGTCAGGAGTTCGAGACCAGCCTGGCCAACATGGTGAAACCCCGTCTCTAGGAAAAATACAAAAAAAATAGGTGGGTGTTGTGGCAGGCACCTGTAATCCCAACTGCTCTGGAGGCTGAGGCGTAAGAATCAATTGAACCCAGGAGGCAGAGGTTGCAGTTAGCCGAAATCGTGCCACTGCACTCCAGCCTGGGCAGCAGAGCGAAACTCATCTCAAAAAAAAAAAAAAAATCTGAAATGCTAAACTTTTTCTGGTTATTTCTATTCCTACTGTTCTGCTAGCTCCCTCTTTTTAAAAATGTTCTGTTTTTCTCTCTGTAGTTCACTTGCTTTTATATCTTTTCTTCTGCTGCTGCTTATTTTTTCCTGCTATCTCGACCCCCTACTGACTCTTCATCTCTCTCCTCTCCTGTTTTTTAATTTTTTGTGTGAAATATTTTGAATTTTTCCATATACAGTTTCATGCCTCTTCTGTTTTTCTTTTGCTGACTGCTTGCTTCTCTTTGTGTTCTCTACTGTTACTTTATCACCTACATCCCACTTTATTCTCCTCCCATCCAACGTCTCCTCCCTTGATTCTTTTCACCTCCTCTTTTGCTTTAACTCCCCATCACTGACACGTGGGCCTCCCATACCCCAGCTGGGCATCTCTCCAACAGAAACAGAGCCCATGAAAACTTTAGTTCATAGCTGCACTGTCTCCCTGACTTTCACTCCTACCCTCCTTACTGGGAGATTTAGAATGTTGGGCATGAAGATCAATGGGAACTACTAAACTGATTAGAGCCAATAACGGAAACAATTCCTTCTATCTGAATAATGTCTCATGTCAAAACCATTACAAAACCAGGTGCAACTGTAGCCTAGAAGGTTTTCATGCAAGTGATTCATCACTGAGTAAAGTAAGACCTGGGGTCTTGGCAAGTGCCTAAGAAAAGAGAATTAGGGTCCATCTGGTATAGTCAAGTTCAAATTTCTTTGGGTAAAAAGATTAATCAGCAAATAATCCGGGCGTATAACCTTGGCTTATTTGAAATGGTATTTTTCCTTTTTTTAAAAAACATGTAGGATTACTGTAGCTCTAGAGAAATTAAATTAAGTACAGAAATAATGAAAAACTAAAACAAAAACTAATTTGTGACCAACTAGAACACAGGCATAGCCATAGTTTTTAAATCAATACTCTTCTTTCACTCTTTTTTTTTTTTTAAAGATAGCTGAAATGCTACATAAGCCTGCCACCTTAGCTGGTGACTGTATTCTGAGATAAGAAGGGTAATTTGATTTACTAAATTTATAAGTCCAATTCATTAGATTTATAACAGCTGTGTTTATCAAGATTTTATTTACAAGATTTGTAAGTCTGCCCAGTTAGGTGTTTGGAATGTTTTAAAGAACTAAAGATATCAAATTTGTAATTATGTTTTATATAAAGAAATTTGATAAGCAGGTAGAATTAAATGTTTAAAATTTTTAATTAATTTATTTTTTTAGACAGAGTCTTGCTCTATTGCCCAGGCTGGAGTGCAGTGGTGCAATCTTGGCTCACTGCAACCTCTGTCTCCCGGGTTCAAGCGATTCTCCTGCTTCAGCTTCCCAAGTAGCTGGGACTATAGGCACGCACCACCATGCCTGGCTAATTTTTGAATTTTTAGTAGAGACAGGGTTTCACCATGTTGGCCAGGCTGGTCTCGAACTCCTGATATCAGGTGATTCACCCGCCTCCGCCTCCCAAAGTGCTAGGATTACAGGCTTGAGCCACTGCGCCCGGCCAAAATGTTTAAAAAATTTAATCTGTAAAATTTGAAGCTTAACTGAACATAAGTTAAAGAAAAAATACAAATGTTCTCACTTTTATACAAATATTTCTAGATGTATGGATGAAGTAAAAAGTTATGCTTAATGGCTTAAAAATTGGTTTTTAAATGAATAAACTTTAATAAATTCAACATTAATTAAAATATGAAAACTACAGTTAAAACTTGCTCAGACATTAAAAACCCAGTAACACATCACAATTTCCAAAGCACTTTCATGTATATTATACAATTTCATCATGAAGATGAAACTGTTCTCCTTCAGCTAAAAAAAGAGCAAGGTTGTGTCTTATTCATTTCTGTATCTCCAGCACCTATCACGCTGCCTGACACATAGGAAGGAGGCCGCCAACAAATCCTGTACTTAATGAACACACCCAATTTGTAGAACAGGAAATGGAGGTCCAGAGAGAGAAGGGACTTACTCAAGGTCACAGAGTTATTACAGGCAGGGCAGCAACCCCACTCAGATATCTCTCACACATAGAGCTCAGTGTTCCCACCATCGCCTGCTGACATCGCCATGGAAATAGTGTTGGCAGTGTTCCTGCCATCGCCATGGAAATAGCTGGCAGCACAAAATACTAAGTCTTGGGTATGAACATGGTCTTGAGGTAAGAGGCAAAGTAGGAAAAGGGAGCCCATTCCTGATGAGGTGCAGCTGTTGGGGTTAAGACTATGAATGGCTGATAAAGCTCAGAGACAGAAAATAAGTGACATGCACGCGAATGCACCAGAGAGAATGGAACACAAAGCAGAAAGTGGGGAACAGAAGCTGCTAAGAGTTTGGGAATAATTAAATATGAGACAAGAAAATCTAGGTGGAGATCCTTGTCTTCCCCATAGCACTGGTTTAAGAAAGTGACTTGGTCCCCAGATGCCTGAGGAACTGGTTAGGGAGGAGAGTGGGTTCAAAATATTCAATATCTGGCAGACTCATAAAAAGAATAGGGCTTGGCAATCAGCCAGTAAGTGCTTTGAAACACAGGACTCATGGCTACTGCATTCTTGACCCTCACTTATATGTCACTCCTCCACAGGCAAGCTTCTGCCACTGCCAGTGAGATCTTTAGAACATACTACCCTTTCTCTAGTCCTAGCTTAGAGAGAACAAGTTGATAAGCCATCAGTACCCTTCACGAAGACCTAGTTTTGAACATCATTATGGTTAACACAGCTGCTCAAAATCCTCTATAATTTGCACAAAGATCTATGAAAACAGAACATCTCCAGGGCATTTGCTCAAAATCACCACAAAAGTTGACTGTTCCTACCTCGGCTAGCATCTCTTGCAGGCTCACCAACCTATGCTAACTACAAAGCGTATAAAAAGGACATGTGCCTACATGTGTGCACAGAGATGAAACTCATTGAACAATAAATATCACTAAAAAGTGAGTTTGGAATTCACCTATTGTATGGTAAATACACCTGATGGCAACAACTTAAGCATACCCTGAGAATGATCCTGTATGGCAGACACACCTGAATATAGTTTGGAGTTCCAAGCAAAGGAATCCAGAAGTGGCCAACCTGGAGATCCATTCCTTATCCATTCCCCACCCCTTTCAGTGGAATGCGGGCCTTAAAGGGGATTGAGGCCCCTTGTTTTGGGTTAAATTAAGGCTGCCAGGTGGAGGTCATTAGGGAGAGGGTGTTAAGTGAAAATGCGACATAAACCGCATGCCTTTTGCAAGCAGTTGCAGCTCTCCTGTCCAGCCTGTGCCACTGGGCCATGTGGTTCTCCCGTGCCCAGTCCACTGCCTCTAGACTGTCTACCCTGTACATAAACACCTAGTAAAATTCTATGTTGTTTGCTGGCTCTGGGTCTCTTCTTCAGCCTCTTGAACCTGGTACCATATTGGTGTTGATCAGGTTTCAGCACAACACCTATGTTTGTCTAGTGTCTTGAGCCTGTGTGCAAAATAAGCCACTTCCCATGACAAATGCACAGGCATTTCAGCATTCCTCTTTCCAGCTTTCCTGGACACTTTCAATACCTCAGTACTCTGTTGGTCAACCTAGGAGACTGGATGCCCACCAGTCTCTGAAAAGATTTTGAGAAACCCCAATGGTCAGATTCAGAATCAGGGAACTGAACCATACCTAGAAAGTTCATGGTCCCATGAGTCTCCAGTATCTCACTCTTGGCCAGAGTCCCTGGTAATGAGTAGCTGCCAAGGGTTGAAGCAGCAGGTGCCTCCTGAGTTGCTTTCAGGACTACCGCCATATCCCAGGATATGTTCTGACCCTAGAGACAAGCAGGCACATGTTTAAGAGGGAACTGGTGGTAGGGGGTAGTGTGGTTACAATTTTGAGAATGAGAACATAATTATCTATTCCTGGAGGCCATAGAACAATTTTTAAAAACAGAAAAGGAAGCCAGAGTCTCCTCCAACCCCCAGGGTGAGTTGGGCAGAGAAACAAGCTAGCTACTTTCTTCCTTATTACTTTGATTGCACCTCACTGCTCACTCCAGAATCTAAACCTAGCTTACCAGTGAGTACATGATAAGAGGAGAGAGCATATGGGAAGAATTTTCAGAGTGAACTTTTGTGGGATCTAAAGATCAAAGCAGCAAGGTTTTGATGATATTATTACAGAAAGGCTCTGGGGGAACCTCTGCCCTCATTTGACTAGTAATGGTAAGGGGTGTGTTTGAAACATTAAGGACAGCACAGTGTACAGCCTCATGAATCAAAGTGTGGTGCAAAGATCAGCAGCAGTATCTGCATCACCTGGAAGCTTGCAAAACAAACAAACAAAGAACACAGAATCTCAGACCACCCCCAGACATCCTCAATCAGAATCTGAACTTTAACTGTTTTAACAAGAACCCCTAGGTGATTCCTATGCACATTAAAGTTTTAGAAGCTCTGGTTAGCATTGTCAAAACCTGACTGAAATTACCTGAAGAGTTTTAAAAAAACATGGATACCCAGGTCCCACCCTTAGATTCTTTTTTTTTTTTTTTTGAGGCAGGGTCTCACTCTATTGCCCAGGCTAGAGTGCAGTGGCATGAATTCGGCTCACTGCAACCTATGCCTCCAAGGCTCAATCAATCCTCCCACCTCAGCCTCCCAAGTAGCTGAGACTACAGGCACGTGCCACCATGCCAAGCTAATTTTTTGTATTTCGGCATTGCAAAACACGAGGTGTGCAATGTTGCTCAGGCTGGTCTTGAACTCCTGACCTCAAGTGATCCTCCCGCCTTGGCCTCCAAAGTGCTGGGATTACAGGTGTGAGCCACTGTGCCTGGACCACGGATTCTGATTTAATAGGAATAGAATACAGTATGGACATCAAGATTTTATAAAAAGCTCTCCAGGTTCTGTGTAGCAAAATTTGAGAACCACTGGTTTACAGAAAGTACTGAATGTCACATCAATCAGAAGGGAATGTTTCTATCCTATTACAAAAGACTGGAAGCTAGAATTGTACCCAAGAAATAAGACTCCAGGTGTGGAAGCAGAGGGGCAGAGTCCCCTCTTAAACTACTTGAGGTCTTCAAGTATCTCCTCCCCTCTTCCTCTCAGGCCCCCGTTTACCTTTTCTTCCTCTTCTGATCCATCAAGGCCTGTCTGAAGACCCTGCACTGGGGCCCAGACTTTGATGTTCTCGGAGTGCACTTGTTGGCTGGATGCCTGACCTGGGAAGTTTTCTTCTTCTTCCTCCTCCTTTTTCACCTTCACTGGGCCCCATGGGGCTAGGGCCATGGCTTCTCTCAATTCTGCAGTCATCTTCTCTGCTCAGCAGGGGAACTCCTATAGCTGGGCGCTGCCCTGCAGAGGTCAAACCCCATCCAAGCTTTATGTTTCAAAAGCTTCTTCTTGAGTTTCTTCCCAGGGCCAAGATGAGTACTGCCTACTGAGAAATCAGAAAACACTGTTAGCACCAAGGAGAGATTTGCTGGATGCCACTTAGCAAATTTGCCGGATGCCACACCGGCAAATTTCACCAGCGCCTGGCCAGGGGCCAATGTAGGACATGGAATCCTCTATTCCTCCCTCATAGGATGAAGGGGTTGGACTATAAATATGTAATATCTTCCCATAATAACCACATTGCAAACAGCTTTATATAATGTTTATTGATTTTTTCCTGATTAAAAGTTAACTTACTTTTATTGTAAAAACTTAAAAGCAGCAAATGATTAAGAAAAATCATCTCGGTCTACCTCCAAAGAGATAACCACTATACATTTTAAGATTTAAGATATTTCTTTCAAAGGAAAATCTCCAACCATACTACTAATAATTATGATTTTACAAATTCTTGTTTTTGACTTTGGGGATACATATTTTCACAATTATCATCATAGCATTTTTTAAAAAAGGATTTTACAACAAAAAGATTTTTTATTGCCAAGGATACAAAATAATGTGAACAAAAGGATCCCAAGAAAAAGACTGGGAGTCTTTATACCAACGTGTTAGCAGTGGGTAGTTAACTCTGGATGGTGTAATTACAGGTAGTTTTAAGGTTCTTTTCATTTTTTTTGTTTGATTTTTACATTTTCCATAGCTTCCAAATGTCCTGTGAGATAAAATATTACACTTAAGATTTAAAAAAAGATTACTTTCATGTTGCCATTCTTCATGCTTATTTTAAATGCTACACAATAACCTATGGTGTTGATAAATCTTCACTCTCATTGAAAAAGGATCAAGTAATACAGAAATATATAGAATTAAATATATAACCTACACACACTACACACACACACACACACACACACAAAGTACTTATCAGTTTAGATGGGAGTCCTAACCCATTTTCTCTGCATTTACATACTTATATGTTCACCTTCACACATATTGCTTATTTTTCAAAAACATACTTTAGATCATCACAGTTATATACTGTTCAGCAACCTGCATTGTTTTTTAACTCAATTTCCGTATTTCACAATAGTCTTAACAATCTTTCAATACAACACATATAGAACTACCTCATTCTGGCATAGTATTCTAAATTGTGGCTATATTATCATTTACTTAATCATATTCTATTTATGAACCATTTATTTAGTAAAAGTTTATATTTCCATTTTATTAATATTTAAAAGTTTTTCTTTGTAAATATTTTTTTTTTGCTGAATTATTCCTTTAGAATAATCAGAGAATTACTGGTTCAAGGATTTGCTGGTTGATATGTACTGTCAAATTGCTTTCCAAAAGCACCATGCCAATTCACACCCCCACTAATTGACAGTAACCCTTTATCACAGCTAAGCCAGCAGGGTTTTTGTTTTTAACCTGTGAGCAAAATAACCTTACTAGTTTGATTGCTTATGAAGAGATTGAAATTTTTCTTTCTAACCCCCTTTGAATGTTTTATTGGAAAAGGGTGCGAAATCTTATTCAATCCCCTGTTGCTGCTATTGAAGTGATCATACTCTTTTCCCCATGTCAACTTACTGGCCACTTACTGTATACACTGAATTTATTAAGTAATGCAATACTTTCATTCCTGTGACAAACCTTAATTCTGGAGGACTATTCTTTCCATCACTATCCGAATTCAATCTGGTATGAAGGTCCTTAAGACTAGTTCCACCTTGTGTATAAGACTGCCTACAGTGAGTACTCTCATCAGACTTCTGATCAGATTCTGACGGACCTCCGGTCCCAGACGGCACAGGGCCCTCTATCAAAGGCTCCCTTTCAACGTCCTTTCTCTATTTCCAAACGTGGCAATCCATTCTTTCCACGTATAGGCTCCTCGCGGCCCTGTCCCTGGGACCTATCTGGCCCCTTGGCCGGTCCGTGTGCATCCTCTCCCGGACCAGGCCCCAGGTGGGCAGCAGCCGGGATTCCGAGGCGGTGGGGAACTCACTGCCCCCCGCACCCCGACAGACAAGGCTGGTGTCCCCGGGGAAAGGACGCAGGGGCCGCTCCTAGGGCCATGGCCCCTGGGAGAGCCCCTTTTTCTCCCTCGACGTTCGTGCCCACCCCCTCCGACCCCACTCACTGTGCGCAGCTGAGAAGCCCGACCTGAGTTCACTGGCTCTGCAGCAGGAGGCTGGCTGACCGGTACTTCAGCTTCTACCGGCACGAGAACAATGACCGGACAGGAAGTGCCTCGGGATGGGCTTCCGGCTCCCCAAGTCGCCAAGCCGGCCTCTCTAGGAACCTCGGAGGTGCTTTCCTCTCGATGGGTGTCCAATGTCGCCCCAGACCAGGGATGGGGCAGAAGCGCTTAGGAGGATTGTGCTGTTGGAAGCTCTAAGTGAGCCTCAGGGAGGGGCGCATCCCAAGCAGGGATGAGACACTCAGGCGAGGCGCGCACCCAAGAGCCTGAAGCTACACAGCATTAATCTGTAGAAAGCCCTGATAATTTCCCCTCAAATGTTTTATTTTGAAAATATCAGAGTACAGAAGAGTTGAAAGTATGGCACATTGAATACCCGTATTTTCCATGTGGACTCAACAATGAACATTTTGCTATGTTTGCCTGATCTCTCAATACATATTTAAAATCATTTTTTTGAAAGTTGTAAACATCAGAACACTTCATTCCAAATACTTCAACATGCATCCCTTAAGATTAAGAATATTCTTCAAACTACCACCACCGTCACAGGTAAGAAAATCAACAAAAATTCCCTAATACCATCTAATAACCAGTCATATTCAAATTTCCCAACTGTCCTAAAACATGTATTTTATAACTTTTTTTCAAATCAGTTTCACACACTTTAGTTGGTTACAGCTCTTTAGTTTTGGGTTTTCGTTGCCATTGTTGGTTTTTACTTTTTATTTTGAAATGATAGAATCACAGGAAGTTGCAAAGATAGCACCCTTCACCCACTTTCCCCTCATGGTTACATCTTACATAAAATGAAAAAGGAAATCAACATTGGTACAGTATGTGTGTATAGGTATAGCACCTATAGATTTGTGTAACCACCACTGCAATCAAGATACACAAGTGTTCCATCACCACAAAGACCTTTCTGGTGCTACCTTTTAATAGTTCCATCCAACCCTCTCCCCATTTTTCCTCCCACCATCCCTAACCTTTGGCAACCATTAATCCATTTTTCATCTCTATAGTTTTATCATTTTGAGAATGTTATATGAATATTTTCATACAGAATATGGCCTTTTGTGATTATTTTCACTCAGCATTAATTCCCTTGAAATTTATTTGAGTTGTTATGGATATCAATAAGTCAATTTTATTGCAGAGTAACAAGTATTCCATGGTAATACATAAACCACAATTTGTTTTAACCACCTAAGGAAGGATATATGGGTTGCCTACAGGTTTCGACCATTACAAATAAAGCTGCTATGAACATTCGTATACAGGTTTTTGTGTGAACGCAAGTTTTCATTTCTCTGGGATAAATGCTCAGAAGTGCAATTCCTGAAGCATGACATATACATGTGTGGTTTTACAAGAAACTGCCAAATTATATTCCAGAGTGGCTGTACCATTTTACATTCCCAGCAATGTATGAGATCCTGTTTCTCTTCATCCTTGCCAGCAGTTACCACCATTAAAAAAAAAAAGTTAAGCTATTCTGATAGGTGATATCTCACGATTTTACTCTGCATTTCCCTCATGCCTAATGATGTTGAACATCTTTTCATTTGCTTATTTGCTATCTATACTTCAGTGAAATGTCTGTCTTTTGCTTATTTTCTAATTGTATTTACTTATTACTGTTAAATTTGGAAAGTTCTTTATGTAGTTTACATACAAATCCCTTGTTGGATATGATTTGCAAATATTTTTTCCCAACCTGTAATATCATCTTTGTAAAAAGGTCTCTTACAGGGTAAATTATCTTAATTTTGATGAAGTCCAATTTAACATTTTTTTTCCTTCTAAGGAGCATGCTTTTGAGTCATCTGAGCCTTCTTAGCTCAGTCCTAGGTCCTGAAGTTGTTGGTTTACTGCCTATGGATATCCAATTACTCCAACAGTATTTGCTGAAAAGGCGATCCCTCCTCCATTGAATTGCTTTTGCCCCTGTCAAAAATCAATTGGCCATTTATGTGAGTCTATTTCTGGTTCTTAGTACCTAACGGCTCTCTAGTATTATCTTTTAAAAACAAGCCTCCTCATCCATGTTTTATACCTTTCATATCGAAATTTTCATACATACACAAAAGCAGAGAATGGTATAATAAACTCACAGCAGACTCAAGACAGCTTGAACAATTTTCACTCCCCTCTCTTTTTCATCATAATAATATTTTGAAGAATCCAGGGCAGCTTTCTTATGCAATATTCCACGTTCTGGATGTGTCTGTTTCTCGTGGTGTCTTTTATTTGTTCCTCTGCCTCCTGTATTTCCTGTAACCTGGCAATGAGGTCCAAGAAGCTTGATTAAATTCAGGTTGAACATTTTTCAGCTTATTACATCACAGAAGGTGGCACATTATGTGGGCTGTCTCAATCTAAGCAATGTGACATTTTGTTACTCGGTGAAGAGGTAAATCACAGCATTCTCCATTGTTAAAGTACATATGTCCTTTGTAATTATTATATAAGCTGGGATGATTCAACAACCTGGATGAAACATTTTTATATTCATTATCTCATAAGAACTTTGTGAGGTAGATATTCTTCCTCCTGTTTAACAGATGAGGAATTCAAGGCTCCAAGAACTGAAGAGATTTTTTCTGAGGCAGATGGCAAAACCTGAACCACATCCAGGTCTTAAGACTTTAAGCCTTAGGCCCCTTCCAGTTTTCACTCTTGGCTACCTTTCACTCTAATGAGGAACCAGCCCCCAAGAAACTGTGGGGTTGAATTAATAACATTTATGATAATCAACACACCACTTTGACATTATTAAAAAACACAATCTTCATATTCAGGTATTATTCATAGTCCAGCTACAGAAACAGAACTTTGAGAATTACAACATAAAAATTACCAACTTAAGAATATAGACTGAGTTAAACCCACAAATGTACTCAAGGGCACAGAATGGTTCACAGGGGGTAATGGGCACTGACTGCCCACAAGTGGATTCTGCACTGGCTTAATCAGTGAAGAGCTTGGCTCCATGTGAAAAATTTATGTCCCAGTAAATTTAGTGCTGGGACAGAATGTTGTTTCATTAGTAACAGGCTATCATTTGACAGCAATGATGAAATATTGATTAGAATTCACAATGACTGTGGCAGGGATCATCAGCTCAACTGCGGGTCAAGGATTTTTTTCCCTCTGAATAGGGAAAGCAGGGTACCACTGCCCTTCCATTTTGACACTCTCCATCTGTTAAGTTTCAAATTCAAAAGCTGGGAAATAAATTGTTTTCCTTGGCATCACTGTTAATGGCTGGCCATAACATTTTTTTCCATATACATAAACTAGATATATAATCTAGTAACTCCCTCAGATATTTTTAAAGGTAAATTTAACAAAATTATTCTTAGAACACTAAATTCCAGTTAGCTATTCACCATACTTCCTCTTATGAAAATGAGTATCTTTTAGGTTCCTGGAATCCCCCTCATTCTAATATTGACTTAATACACAAACTTACATGATCCCATGTTCTAAACTTTTACCATAACCTCTTTTATCCAACTTTATTGACAACTGAATGATTTCAAAAAGTACTTTCACAAAGATCCTTTCACTTAACCCTCACAACAACCCTGTGAGGTAGGTATCATGTCAACATTTGACTGACAGGAAACTAAAGCTTTAGAGGCTGACTTAATAACATCACATGGCCATTAAGGGAAAGCCAGGAATCAAAGGTAGGTCTTCTGATTCCAAATCCAGTGCTCTTTTAGGTTGTCCTCATCAGCAGACTCTTGTCCGCCCAACTCCACACCTGACATTCTGGATCATACTGTCTGTTCAGGTTTTCCACAGCAGTGACACTATCTTTAAAATGCATACTATACACATTTTAAAAAACAATGTCCACTTTTTATTATTAAATTTTTAGTTTTATTAATAAATTTATTTTTATTTACTAAAGACGGGTCTCCCCGTGTTACCCAGGCTTGTCTCGAACTCCTGGGCTCAAGGGATCTTCCCACCTCGGCCTCCCAAAGTCCTGGGACTACAGGAGTGAGCCACTGCACCCAGCCCATGTCTACTTTTTATTGTTGCTCTCATTTACAACTATGTTATTAGATTTGGATTATGTTTTTGTAGACTTGAAAGTTGGGATGAACTTTATTTTTTCAGACAAGAGTTTCGCTCTTGTTGCCCAGGCTGGAGTGCAATGGCGCGATCCTGGCTCACTGCAACCTCCGCCCTCCCAGGTTCAAGCGACTCTCCTGTCTCAGCCTCCTGAGTAGCTGGGATTACCGGTGTGTGCCCCCATGCCCGGATAATTTTTGTATTTTAGTAGAGATGGGGTTTCACCATGTTGGTCAGGCTGGTCTCAAAATCCTGACCTCAGGTGATCCACTCGCTTCGGCCTCTCAAAGTGCTGGGATTACAGGCATGAGCCACCAAGCCCGGCCTATTAACTTTCTTCTATATGCTACTCATTTGTCTAGTAAAGAGTAAATAATAAACTTTTTCCTTAGAAGAAATATATATCATTTGTCCAACAGTTACTTAAGTAGGCAGGGATTCTATTCCATTTTACATATGACACTAGATTTTCTGAATCTCAATCTTGGACTCATTGGTGTTTTGTAGCCAAGAGAATTCCTCAATGGTATGGATTTTCTGTTGAAGATGAAGGTTGGAAGTCTGAGAGAATTCTTTTTCAGACACATCACATTCACAAGGTTTTTCATCTGTGTGGATTTTCTGATGTACAGTAAGGTTTTTTCTTTGCCTAAAAACTTTACTACAATCATTACACCCATAGGGTTTCTCCCCTGTGTGAATTCTCTGGTGGCCAACTAAATTCCTCTTAGAAGTAAAGGATTTCCTACACTTGTCACACTCATAAGGTTTTTCCCCAGTGTGCATTCTCTGATGTACAACAAGGTTTTTATTCTGACTAAAGTCTTTTCCACACTCATTACATTTATAAGGTTTCTCTCCAGTATGGATTCTTTGATGTACCATAAGATTTCTACTAGAGGTAAGGACTTTCCTACATACATGACATTCGTAGGTTTTTTCTCCACTGTGAATTCTTTGATGTTCAATCAGGTTTCTGTTGTACGTAAAACCTTTTCCACACTCACTACACGCATAGGGCTTCTCACCAGTATGGATCCTCTGATGGGCTATAAGGTTTGAGCGGTAACTGAAGACCTTCCCACAGTCATTGCATTTATAAGATTTTTCCCTCGTGTGAATTCTCTGATGTCCAATGAGGCTTTTCTTCAGAATGAAGCATTTGCCACACTCATCACACTCATAGGGTTTCTCACCACTGTGGATTCTCTTATGCTCAATGAGGTTTCTGTTTGAACTGAAAGCTCTTCCACACTCACTGCATTCAAAGGGTTTTTCTCCGGTGTGGATTCTCCGATGTACAAGCAGGCTTGAATTGTAACTGAAAGCCTTCCCACAATCCTCACATTTGTAGGCTTTCTCTTGTGTATGGAGTTTCTGATGGACCATAAAACTTTTGCTCATAATAAAGGTTTTCCCACACTCTCGACATTCATATGGCTTCTCCCCATTGTGGAGTCTCTCATGGTCAATGAGGTTTCTGTTTGAACCGAAGACCTTACCACAATCTTTACATTCATAGAGATTCTCTCCAGTGTGGAACCTTTGATGTAAAATGAGGCTCTTCTTCAGAATAAAAACTTTCCCACATTCATTACATTCATAGGGCTTCTCCCCATTGTGGAGTCTCTGGTGGTCAAAAAGGTAAGCACTTTGAGTAAAGGCTTTCCCACATTCAGTGCATTTGTAAGGTTTCTCTCTGCTGTGCATCCTCTTATGGTCAATGAAGTTTGACTTAGAACTGAAAATCTTCCCACACTTTTTACAACCAAAGGTTTTCTTTTCTGTGTGGACTCTCTGATGTAAGAGGAGGCTTTTGCTTCGAATGAAAACTTTTCCACATTCTTTACACTTGTAAGGGTTCTCTGCACTGTGGAGTCGCTGATGGTCAATAAGATAAGTGGTCTGAGCAAAGGTCTTTCCACATTCATCACATTTATAGGGTTTTTCCCCAGAGTGGATTCTCTGGTGCAGAATGAGGCTCTTCTTCAGAATGAAAGCTTTCTGACACTTATTACATTTATAAGGTTCTTCCCCTTTGTGGAGCCTCTGATGGTCAATGAGGTAAGCATTCTGAGAGAAGACTTTCCCACATTCATTACACTTATAAGGTCTCTCCCCTGAATGGCGCCTTAGATGTATAATTAGGCCTGAGTGCCTATAGAAGCCCTTTCCACACTCCTTACACTTATAAGGTTTCTCCCCAGTGTGGATCCTCTGATGGTTTAGAAGGTAAGCACTTTGAGAAAATGCTTTCCCACATTCATTACATTTATAAGGTTTCTCCCCTGAATGGTTCCGTAAATGCATTAGAAGGCTCGAACGCTGAATAAAGCCTTTTCCACATTCCTTACATTTATGAGGTTTCTCACCAGTGTGGATTCTCCGATGGTTTATAAGATGGGAGATTTTATTAAAATGTTTACAACACATATCACATTTATAAAACTTCTTTCCTTCAGTACCTATTAAACTTTCAGAAATAGCTGAACCGAAAGTCAAGCTGTCTCCTAATTCCTTCCACTTTTGGCCTTGTTTCTCTGGTGGAGTCCTTTTCTTCTTGTCTCGTTCACAAAGGGAAACTTTCTTCACTGTATCTGCCCTTTCATCTGTTTCATTTCCCCACTGACTTGCCAAAACTTGCCATTCACACTCTTCTTCAAAATCAAGGACCTGGGGAACACTTCCTTGAAGTCTTTTTGATGTTCCTTTATGAGAGTCTGCTCTTTGAGAACTACTTGGCTTTGATGTCACCTCCTCATTCTCGGTCATGGTCTCCCATTCTGGTAAAAGGAATTAAAAATGCAAATGTTACCACGTCCCTGTGTTTGGAAGAACAGGATCTTCAAATGACTTTAAAACATTCTAGGAAGGCACACTTTAATATGCATACAAAAAGGAGAAACTTTTCATTAAAGGAAGGTACAAAGAATAATGCTACACTGACAAGATGTTGTAAATGGATTAACATACAACTCAGGTTGAGACATTTTTAAGTGCTTTGTCTTCAGGAAGCAGATAGAAAAATACAAATAATGCTGAGAAAACAGAAGCAAGGAAAACCAGAGAGAAAACACAGGATCTTATGGAGGTGGTTCACATCTAAGGAACTTGGATAGAAGAGCAAGAACCATTGGATTAGAAGTAACTTTCTTTATTATTTTCTTCATGTTAGAAGGATGGAAACTTTAAGGGAAGGAAAATATATGTAAGGACTCTGAAAGGCAATTTTTAATTTTTGAAAAGTCAAAGGCATGAATACTTTTTAACTGGTTGAAAGCAATTAACCAACAGAAAAGAAATCCATTGAAAAGCAACTTAATTCTTAGAATTCATATAACTCCTACTCCGTTTAAAATTAAGAAATGGAAATTTTAAAATTCATTTTAAATAGTCAGGTCTGTTATGAACTCCCTTAATTACACATAAAAGGTAAGAGAAGAAATACAGAAAAGAAAAGGGAAAATAGAATAAAAGTATGAAAACATCTGTAAAATGATGAGGCTAAACTAATATCCAAGGTTCCTATCTACTCCAATATTCTCAAATATTTTAAAGTATGAACAGTATGAAAATGTTTTGGAAGTTTACTTTCAAACTACCCAAGTGTGAGAGAAATTATGAGCCAGTTCCCCCAAACTGTCTAATAAGTAAAGTTATGTGAATAGCAGTAACATCATCTTCTCTTTGAATATAACAATACTTTTCTTCTATCTAAACAGAGAGAGAAGACAAGAGTGCAGCCATTTTATTTCATTATACATTTCTTTAAGTTTATGAAAGGATGAGGATGGCAAATATCCAACAAATATTAACTTGAACTACAGACATTCTTAGGTCAGGCCCTCATATCTCATCTCAACTGCCCTTCTCTCTAGGACTCAGGCAGGACTGCCAGTCACACTACCCAACCACCTGGCTGCAGGGATGGGTATGTGTCTTAAGCCTATCTAATGCTGGTACTTCAGTTTCCTTATTCACAGTGAGGTTTCAAACATAAGGAGAGGCCGGGCATGGTGGCTCATGCCTGTAATTCCAGCACTCTGGGAGGCTGAGGAGGGCGGATCACTTGAGGTCAGGACTTTGAGACCAGCCTGGCCAACATGGTGAAACCCTGTCTCTACCAAAAATACAAAAATTAGCTGGGCATGGTGGTGCACACCTGTAATTCCAGCTACTCAGGAGGCTGAGGCAGGAGAATCACTTGAACCAGGGAGGTAGAGGTTGCAGTGAGCCGAGATCACACCACTGCATTCCAGCCTGGGTGACAGAGCAAGACTCCATCTCAAAACAAAACAAGAACAAAACAAACAAAAAACAAAGAGAATGCTGATGGAGAGGAGGGCTGCTTCTATATAATGAAACATTTCTATATAAGGAAATGAAGTGTTACAAGTAGTTAAACTGAGATGGAAAATGGTTAAGAAATTAGCAACTCTTGTATCAGTAGCTAATTAGCTGGTTAAACTATTTAATATTTTTAGCTTAGGAATCAGACTATATATGGGCCTCTTGAGCTTTTTAAGACTTTGTAGAAAAATGTCAGAATGACAGAGGGAGCTGGTTACTTTCCATAACCTTTGGTGAATGAAGCCTGCAAGAAAGAGACACAGGCTTTCCTACCACTGACACCCCCCGCCTTTCATCTGCCCTAATCCATGCCTATCTTCTGTCAATGATCTTTCCGATAGGTAAATTTGATCCTGTCACTTACCTGCACAAAACACCTAACTCTTCATTGCCTACAGGACAAAGCAGAAATAACCAGTGGAGTCAAAGGGGTATCTTCACCCACTGCCTGTTTTTCTGGTATCAACTATCATCAGTATCTCTTATGCCCCTAGACTCTAGCCACACTGAACTACATGCAGCTGCCCAAACATGTCATTTCTTGCCTATCACTGTCCGTGTCCTTTCCTCTTCCTGAATTGCTCTTCTTCTTTCCAACTCACTACCTAAGCCCGTACCTACACCCTTTAAAACTAAGTTCTAAAGTCACTCTCTGGACATTAACATTGATCTTAAAAAAATAAAAAGGAGTATAAATGATACTATCAATGATACTGTGCCAATAAATTAAGACAACTTAGATGAAATAGGCAAATTCCTAGAAAGGCACAAATTACTAAAACTGACTCAAGAAAAAAAATGGAAAATCTGAGTAGATCTACAACAGGGAAAGAAATTGAATCAATAATTAAAAAAAAAAAAAATTACCCCCACCCCCTGCCTGCACACAAAAAGCCCAGGCCCAGGCTGCTTCACTGGCAAATTCTACCAAACCTTAAAAGAATACCATTTCTTCACAAATTCTTCCAATAAACAGAAACATTTCCCAACTAATTCTATGAAGCCAGTGTTGCCCTGATAGCAAAACCAGACATAACCATCACAAAAAAGAAAACTATAGATAAATATAGCTTATGAATACAAACATAAAAATCCTCAACAAAATGCTAACTAACCAAATCTAGCAGGACATAAAAAGAATTATACACCATGACCAGGTGAGATTTATCACAGGAAAATAATGTTGGTATAACACTAGGAAACCAATTGATGTAATACACCATATCAACGAAATGAAAAACAAAAACCACATCATCATGACAATAGATAAAACACTCCATGGTGATAAAAACACTCAACAAAGTAGGAATAGAATTTCTGGCCAGGCACAGTGGCTCATGCCTGTAATCCCAGTGCTTTGGCAAGCCAAGGTAGGTGGATTGCTTGAGGCCAAGAGTTTGAGACCAGCTTGGGGAACATGGTGAGACACTGTCTTTACAGAAAAAAATAAAATTAAAATAAAAACAAATAATTAGCTTGGTGTGTGCCTGTGGTCCTAGATATGTGGGAGGCTGAGATAACAGGATTAGGAGGATTACTTCAGCCCAGGAAGTTGAGGATGTAGTGAGCCGTGATCACGCCACTGCACTCTAGTCTGGGCAACAGAGTAAGACACTGTTCAAAAAAATTAAAATAAATTATATTTCATGGTGAAAGACTGAATGTGTTCTCTCTAAGGACAAGAACAAGAAAAGGCTGTCTGCTCTTGCCACTTCTAGTCAACATGTACTGGAGGTTCTAGCCAGAGCAATTAGGCAAGAGAAAGAAATAAAAGGCATCCAGATTGTAAAGGAAGAAGTAAAATTATCTCTATTTGCAGATGACAAAATCTTGCATATAGACAATCCTTGGAAATCACTAAAAAGCTATTAAAACTAATATATAAATACAGCAAGATTGCAGGATACAAGCTCAACATATAAAAATCAGCCTGACATAGTGGCACACACCTGTAGTCAAAGCTATTCAGTAGATTTAGGCTGAGGACTGCTTGAGCCCAGGAGCTCAAGGTCAGCCTGAGAAACGTATAAAACCCCATCGCATTAAAAAAAAAAAGTGGTATTTCTATGCATTAGTATTAAATAATCCACAAAGAAAATTAATAAAACATTTATAATAGTCTCAAACAATAAGATTAGGATAAATTTAACAAAAGAAGTGAAAAACTTATATTCTTATATTCTGAAAACTACAAAACATTACTGAAAGAAGCTGAAGGCCTAAATAAATGGAAAGAAACCTCATGTTCAAAGATTAAAAGATTTAACATTGATAAATGGCAGTACTCCTCAAATTGATCTACAGATTCATTGCAATCCCTACTAAAATCTCAGCTTGCTTCTTCAAAGATATTGACCAGCTGATACCAAAATTAGATGGAAAGTCAAGAGACCTAGAGTAGCTAAAACAATCTTGAAAAAGAACATAGTTGGAAGACTCACACCTTTTTATTTCAAAATGTACCATGAAGCCAAAATAGTAAAAGAGGGTGATACTGACATAAGGGTAGACATATAGATCAAAGGACTAGATTTGAGACTTTAGAAATAAACCCTGATATTTATGATCAACTGCTTTTTTAAAAGGGTGCCAAAACAATGCAATGGGGAAAGCACAGTCTTTTCAACAAATGGTGCCTGGGATAAATGGTGCCACATGCAAAAGAATGAAGATGGATCCTTATCTCATACTATATAAAAAAATTAACTCAAAATGGATAAAAGACCGAAATGTAAGAGCTAAAACTTAAAAGAAAACATAGACATAAATCTTCCCGGCCCTAGATTAGTGATGGTTTCTTAGATATGACACCAAAAGCAGAAGCAACAAAAGAAAAAAAAAACTGGAATTCATCACAATTAATGACTTTTGTCCTTCAAAGGATACCATCAAGTAAGGGAAAAGTCACCAGGCCCAGTGGCTCATGCCTGTAATGCCAACACTTGGGGAGGCTGAGGCAGGAAGATCGCTTGAGGCCAGGAGTTCAAGACTAGCTTGGGCAACACGGTAAGACTCTGTCTCTACAAAAAATTTTAAAATTAGCCAGGCTGGTGGGGTGCATTTGTAATCCCAGCCACTTGGGAGGCTGAGGTGAGAGGATCGCTTGAGCCCAGGAATTCAAGGCTGCAGTAAGCTATGATCACACCACTACACTCCAGCCTGGGCAACAGGGCAAGACCCCACAGAATGGGAGAAAATATTTGTAAGTCATATATCTGTTACGGGACTTATATATAGAATATATAAAGAACTCTTACAACTTAGTAATAAAAAGACAAATAACTTAGTTAAAATATAGACAAAGAATCTGAATAGACAGTTTTCTCCGAAGACGTACATATAGTCAATAAGAACATAAAAAGTTGCTTGACATCATTAACCATCAGGTAAATGCACATCAAAACCACAGTGAGATATCATTTCAGACCCACTAGGATAGTTAAAATAAAAAAGACAGATAATAACAAGTGTTAGGGATGATGCAGAGAAACAGGAACCCTTATACGCTGCTGGAAGGAGTGTAAAATGGTGCAGTTGCTTTGGAAAACAGTCTGGAAGTTCCTCAAATGATTAAATACAGAGTTATCATAAGACCTAGCAATTCTACTTCTAGGTAGAAATGAAAACATATATCCACACAAAAAATTATACACAAACGTTCATAGCAGCATTATTCATAATGGACCAAAAGCGGAAGTACCTAAGTATTTATCAACTGATAAATGGGAGATACATCCATTCAATGGAATATTTGGCAATAAAAAGGAATAAAGAACTGATACCTGATACAACATGGATGAGCCTTAGAAATACTATGCTAAGTAAAAGAAGCCAATCACAAATGACCACATATTGCATGATTCCATTTATATGAAATGTTTCAAATACACAAATCTACAGAGGTAGAAAGTAGATTGGTGCCTGCTAGGGCTGGATTGGAGGAATGAGTTAGGTGAAATGAAGGTGGACTGCTGAAGGGTTCAAGGTTCCTTTTGGGGTTGATGAAATTTTTTTTTTTTTTTTTTTTTGAGACGGAGTCTTGCTCTGTCGCCCAGGCTGGAGTGCAATGGCACAATCTCGGCTCACTGCAAGCTCTGCCTCCCGGGTTCAAGCCATTCTCCTGCCTCAGCCTCCCAAGTAGCTGGGACTACAGGCACCTGCCACCACACCCGGCTAATTTTTTTGTATTTTTAGTAGAGACGGGGTTTCCCCGTGTTAGCCAGGATGGTCTTGATCTCCTGACCTCGTGATCCGCCTGCCTTGGCCTCCCAAACGGCTGGGATTACAGGCATGAGCCACCATGCCGGCCGAAAATGTTTTAAAATTATTGTGGTGATGGTTGCACAACTCTGTGAATACACAATAACCACTGAACTGTACACTTTAAATGGTGAATTTTACGGTATGTTAAATATACCTCAGTAAAACTGTTATAAATCTTTCCTTCCTGGTGGAGGAACTGGGAACCATCCATCTCCTCCTCCCACTGTCCCAATCCTTCCATCATTCCCAGGATCCTATGGGCTCACACAAACTTATGCACCCTTTTATTATACAGAATGTGCCAAATTGTATTGTAATTATAAGTGGAAATGTCTATCTCTCCAATCTGAATGTACTTTAAGGCAGGGGCTAAGCCTGACAGGGGAGGTACTCAATATTTCTTAATACTTTCCTTCAAGTTTTAGTCCAATCTCCTAAATAAACATATACAAATATTTTACATACTGAAGTAGTATGTACAAGTTATCTGGGAGTCTACTTTTCTACCACAGTTTATCGATGCATGAAAATTGAGTACACAGAGTTGTCATAATATTTGATAGTGTCATAATATACTATTAGGTCAAAACACCATGTTCTGCTTAGTACTTTACCCTTAGGGAATTTGTTTTGCCCAACTTTTAACCATCATAGTTACCTGGGACTATTTTTAGACATATAACTTTTATTTCCTCTTTCTGAACCATTTCTTTAATGTATCTCAAATCAGAGTTACTAAGTCAATGGGAATAAACATTGGGCATCTGCTTGCCCGAAGCCCCAACAACATCGGAGTGCACATTTTTTTTTTAATTTATTAAAGTAGGTTCAAGTTTCTTTTTCTTCAAAGAGCCAGAATAATCAAGCAATTACATTATTTTATTGGTTTTTTTTTTTTTTTAGTTTAACTCTTAGACCTATCTGGAATTTATTTTAGTATACAGCATGAGGTATGGGTCCATGGTGAGTGTTCTTCATAAAATTAGCCAATTAATCCATATAGTCTATTTTAAAATTTTTAGGAAAGATTGATTATTGAGTAAATAGCTTTGGAACTACTGAAAGCTACTTGGATTAAAAAACAAGCTTGGAGGGTGGTGCATGCCTAGAGTCTCAGCTACTTGGGAGGCTGGGGTGGGAGGTTTGCTTGAGGCCAGGAGTTTGAGGCCAGCCTGGGCAGCATAGTGAGGCTGCCATCTCAAAAAGCAATAACACCCCTCCACAAGATGTCTATGTCATTCTATGTATCAAGATATATTGATAAATATCAAGATGGATTAAAGCTTAAATGTCAAAATAAAATGATAAATAAGAAAATACAGCTGGGTATGGTGGCTCACGCCTATAATCCCAGCACTTTGGGAGGCTGAGGCGGGTGGATCACCTGAGGTCAGGAGTTTAAGACCAGCCTGGCCAACATGGCGAAACCCCGTCTCTACTAAAAATACAAAAATTAGCTGGGCCTGGTGGTGCATGCCTGTAGTCCCAGCTACTTGGGAGGCTGAGGCAGGAGAATTGCTTGAACCCAGGAGGCAGAGGTTACAGTGAGCTGAGATCACGCCACTGCACTCCAGCCTGGCCGACAAGTGGAAACTCCATCTCAAAAAAAAAAATAGAATACAGGTGGGTTTACAAAATAATTTTATGAGGAAAAAGACCACTAAGACCATAAAGGAAAATACTGCCAAGTTTGACAACATAAAGGATTTTCTAAGGCTTAAAAAAAATTAATAATATTGAAAGGCAAACAAATGGGAAAAACATATGCAACAACTGACAAAGCATTAGCAGTAGTTCTATATATAGGAAGTATATGAATAGGAGTAAAATGACCAATAAACATATGAAGAGATTTCAATCACACTAATAATGAAAACATGAAAAACAAACAAAAGATGGTATTCTTCATCTACCTAGCAAAGATTTAATTAAAAGACTGACCAAATCATGAGCATATCCAGGGAAAATTGGCTCTCCTGTGTGTTCTTTCTGTGGGAGTTTAATTCAAGTATCATTGGTAGAAAATAATTTGGTAATATGTATCAAAGTATAAAATCTACAGACTGTTTCACCCACCACTGCCACTACTGAGATACTAAAGGATACAGTCTCAAAAGTGTGAAAATGTACAGTTTAAATTATTAAAGATAATAAAATAAAGTTGCTAGGTACAAAATTAACACAAACAAAAAGTACTTTCATATATGCAAATGACAGTCAATTAGAAAATACAGAAAAGACTCCAATTCCAAAGAATAAATATTACCAGAAATATGGAAGATCTAGGCAATTTTAAAACATGCCCGATGCATACAAAAGCAGTACAGAAAAAATGGAATGTTATGTAATGTTCTTGAATAGAAACATTCAGAATCATAAAGCTGTCAATGTAAAGCATGATACACAGACCATGCAATACTCTGCAGCCATTTAAACTGATACTGTAAATCTGTATTTCAGTCAAAGTTAGTTCCTGTGGCTGATTACCCAGTTCTGAACGTTGATTTCTCCAAAGAGAATTCTACTCTTTTCTTCAAGTTCCAGTATAAATGCTACCTCCTTTATGGCCTTTGCTAATCCCTAGGAATGAAACTGATTGCCCCGTTTTCTGCATTTCTGTCACACCAGGTTTATGCCACTCTTGTACCAATTATTTTACTCTGCCTTGTATATTTAATATCTCTGTAATCATCTCCTAAACCATTGTAAGCTATTTAAGGGCCGAATCACATCATTTTCACAGCTGTACCATGATAGGTATTTAATGTCTGCTGGTAGCAAAAATGGCTAAAAATTGTTTTGAAATATTCTTTTATTATTTATCAAAGAAATCTATTTTAGAATATATATAACTTTAAAAATATATTAGCAACAATTTAGAATTGTGGGATTACTCAGTACAAATGAAGGCAGAGCAAAAGGAGTGTTCTTATACACCACTTCTAAGAACAGAGAGGACAGGGATCGCTACAGAAAGTAATTTGGCAATATGAAGCAAGAGCCTCAAAGCCATTCAAACACTTATGCCCAGTAATTGTACCTCTAAAAATAATAAAACATTTTAGAAGGCCTTAGGCACAGAGACAGATGATTATTATAGCAGTTATCTAAAATAAGGAATGGCTGACTGAATTATGGTACAAATCATATAGCCAATATAGATAATAACTGCAAAGAGTTTGTAACATGTGAGAACACACACAAGGAAAGCAAGCTATAAAACTGTGCACAGACACACACACACACACACTTTGGAACAATGTAAAAAATCCCTCAAACATATAGAAAAAACAGAAAGGTAATATATCAAAATGATAATAGTTATCTGGAAATAGCGATGTTAAGGAAGGTTTTTTTCTTCTTTGTAATATTCGGTGTTTTCCAAAATACATATATGCTACTTTTATAATCAGAAAACAAATAAAGGCTGGTGAAATAAAGGTAAGCATCATAGAAAGAAGAATCCTTACCTAGGGAGGTCACATTTCCATAATTCTCCAGCATCACATCCCAGTACAAGGCCCTCTGGATTGGGCCCAGACATGCCCATTCCTCTGAAGTGAAGCATACTGACACCTCCTCGAACATCACCAACTCCTGAAATAACAAGTGTGTGTGAGATTACCAATGCCCAGGAACTTGCCTGTCGAAAGGTTCCCTTCACTTCTGGGGAAGGGATACACTGTGAGGCCATGAGTGCATAACAGACATCAGGGAGACATAAGGAGATCACATGTAAAGTCTGTCTTCCAATAGCATAGACCCTGATTTAGAAATGGGAACTGACTGGACATTGAAGCACAAGGATGAGAGAGGGCACTTCAGCCACAGTTACGCTGTGCAGATGGGAAGGAAAGAGGATGCAAACCTTACCTGGGGCTGGGCTGTTAGGAGCATAAGTGCCATTAATTGATTTCTTGGGTTCTCTTCCTGGGAAAGGGCAGAAGCTTCAGGGGCAGGAGAATCTGAGGAGGGAGAAAAAGCTGCATATGGGACCTACAAACCTTTTCTGAGTGACCCCACTTGCAGAGCTGGAATAACACAAAGAGTAGCAGTAAGAATGATACAAGGCAGGGCGTGGTGGCTCACACCTGTAATCCCAGAGCTTTGGGAAGCCGAGGTGGGTGGCTCCCAAGGTCAAGAGATTACGACCATCCTGGCCAACATGGTGAAACCCTGTCTCTACTAAAAATACAAAAAAATTAGCTGGGCGTGGTGGCACGTGCCTGTAGTCCCAGGTACTCGGGAGGCTGAGGCAGGAGAATGGCTTGAACCTGGGAGGCGGAGGTTGCAGTGAGCCGAGATTGTGCCATTGCACTCCAGCCTGGCAACAGAGCGAGACTCCATCTCAAAAAAAAAAAACAAAAATGGCCGGGTGCAGTGGCTCACACCTGTAATCCCAGCACTTTGGGAGGCCAAGGCGGGCAGATCACAAGGTCAGATCAAGACCATCTTGGCTAACACAGTGAAACCCCGTTTCTACTAAAAAAAAAATTAAAAAACTAGCCGGGCACAGTGGCGGGCACCTGTAGTCCCAGCTACTCAGGAGGCTGACGTAGGAGAATGGCGTAAACCCAGGAGGCGGAGGTTGCAGTGAGCTGAGATCGCGCCACTGCACTCCAGCCTGGGCGACAGAGCGAGACTCCGTCTCAAAAAAAAAAAGGGGGGATGTATACAAGCTCAGAGGGGCCCAAGAAAGAAGGAGAGAACAACAGAACAGCAGAAAGAAATTGGCACTGTAAGAGACTCCTAGACAGGGTAGCAGAGGAAGCAACTCCCTGGAAGTAGGGGGATGAGCCACAGGAAGGGTCCTTGAACAGCCCAAAACCCAGAGCACTGAGTAAATACCATGCTGAGGATCCTGGAGGTTGAATGCCACTAGGTCAGTAGGAGGATGCGGGCAAATTTCAGCTGCTATGTGGCTGCCAGGAAGTACAGGAGGAAGTGTTGTTCCTGGGGCACTCACCACCTTCTGGAGAGTGTCCTGATCCTTGACAAGGACTGGAACCTGGAAACAAGTAAAATAAGCTAGCTCTTCTTGTTTCTTAAGAAAATGGACTCACCTAAGCACTGTGGACCTCTTTCTGCCCACAATCTACAACTGTGAGATCAGAGAGACCCACCTCAAGTATGGAGCATCAAAACAGCAGTAAAGCTTTGCATTGAGAACAATGGAGCTGCCCTCGAGCCCCACTCATGGCACTGGTGACCTCTCCCAGAGGAGACTGTACACAACGGTGGGAACAGAAGCCAGACCTGGGTGTGGGTTAAGGAGGGAATGGGAAGTAATAAGCAGTAATTAAGAGCATGGATTTTAGCTTCAGACTTAAGTTTTAGATCGGACTTCAGTCACATCTCTTCTACTTATTTACCATCTACTTATTGACCCCTTTACCTAGCCCTTTGTGCTCAAATACAACTAACACTAAAATTGGCACCAAGACACTTGGTTTTGCGGCCAGCTAGACATCTGCCTCAGTTTCCTTATCTCTCAAATGAGGATGTATTAGTAATTTGTAACGAAATATATAGCTCTAAAATTGTTCACGTTATTATTAAAAGAAACAAGCCCATCCTTAATGCCACACCCAAGTTTGAGTTATGATTCAGACGTCTTATACAGAAATGTTTCTAGTGAGCTACAGATGTACAAAAAGAAATCTCACACACATGAGAGGCTACATTAAGATCCCAATCTAATGGTCAAGGATATAAATCTTATCAGAAGCAAATATCTTAACCCAATCCCTTGGCTTGCAGATCCCTAGTAGGGCACACAAGAGGAGATCTTACCAAGATGTGGAAAGCTTCATTCTTGTTATGCTACTGCCATTTTATTTATTTATTTATTTAAAGACAGGATCTCACTCCATCACCCAGGCTGGAGTGCAATGGTGTAATCATAGCTCACTGCTGCCTCAACCTCCTGGGTTCAAGTGATCCTCCCACCTCAGCCTTCTAAGTAGCTGGGACTATAGGCACTCGCCACTACATCTGGCTAATTTTTAAATTTTTTGTAGAGATGGGGTCTTCCCATGTTGTCCAGGCTGGTCTTGAACTCCTGGCCTCAAATGATCCTCCCACCTCAGCCTCCCAAAATGCTGTGGCATGAGCCACTGTGCCTGGCCTGCTATTGCCTTTTATACTCTAGGCTTACATCACCATTCCAAACAGAATTATAGAAACAATACATAGGCTTCTGTTTAGGGAAAAACTTATTAACATTTCTTCTTCAGGTTCTTGGTCCAAACTCAGCATTAGCAAGCATTACCCAAGGGACAAAACAGTCAATGTTTTTATGCTGCTTCTCAGTTGGACCCGAAGACCTCAACGTAAATCCGTTTCTCTACAGACATATTCTATGGTCTGAATACTCATGGACCTGCTTTAATTATCATTAAGGTTGCTAGTGTGCTATTAATGCTATTAATTTTTAATGAAAATCACAGGATCACCCTCTAGCCTAGCCTCAATTCTTTCCTTCCTTTCATCCCAACACCCACCGCCCCTCCCTGTCTTTCTCACTTGTATTGCTGGTCCATCAAGGTCTTTCTGCAGCTCCTCTACCAGGGCCACAGCCTCCTCGCCACTTCCAGGGTGATGGAGCTGTACCCAGGTCCGAATCTCCCCAGGCAGGATGCTCAGAAACTGCTCCAGCACCAGCAGCTCCAGGATCTGTGCCTTGGTGCGTGCTTCTGGTCTCAGCCACCGGCGACAGAGTTCCCTGAGCCGGCTCAGGGCTTCCTGGGGTCCAGATGTCTCATGGTAACGTAATTGTCTAAAGTGTAGGTGGGAGGTCTCCCAAACAGAGGAGCTACTTCCTTGGAAGCTGGTTCCCCATTTCCAGGTATCATCCTTCCCCTTCACAAGGCCCTCTTGTCTCAGAGCATTGTGGGCTACATTTTCTCTTGTCATTGTTGTTTTTTGAAAAAGGCTCCTCTCCAGTCCAGGTCTCCTTAATCCTTGACTTCTTCCTTACAGCTTGGAGAGTATCATCTACAAGACCTCAAGAAATCATTGTTAAAGTTAGCCCAGAGAAACAACTGAGCTTTCCAGGCCCCAGTCAGCTCCCAGTCAGCTCCCAGTAATAAAGAGAACCTTTGTGAGTGCAAGGTTCCAGGCTCTAGAGAGTGCTTCCTCTGACAGAAACCCCCTGCCTAAGGCTCTGGGATACAAACACTCATGTTACGCACGAGACTGCTGAAACCAAACACATGAACTTCCTTTGGTCTTTGTTCATAGGATCCCTTCAGCTAATTACAATAGACTCTTTACCACTCTAACAATGAGCATCCTGACTACTCCTGTGTAACCTGGAACAAGTACCTCACTTCTGAGCCTTAGTTTCTTAACCTGTAAAATAGGGATAGTAACAGTTCCTACCTTATGGGGTTGTCATGAGAATTTGATGTATAATACATTTCAAGTTTTTGAACAGTGCCTGGTATACGGGTTTAAATGTTACTTATTACCCTTCTGTAACTAGTACTCTTTCCTATGTTCCGCAGAGTTAACAAGTAATCATTAATCATGATACATATGAGAGAAAATCCTAACCACCTCCTCAATTAACAAAGAAAGGATGAATTAAGTTCTGTGTAGTTTTGCTCTACATGCCTTTAATTCTCTGAAAATTGTTCTTTCTGTTAATCAAAATATTTGGATAAATTTGCCTTTTCTTCTTTTCCTTTCACATCTAGTCCCACAGATGGATAAATATGAATAGAGTTTTATTATACAGAACTTAGACTTGCTCTCTAGAAATCATCTGCTCTTTAGAAATAACATTTTTCTAATTATAAAACCAGAAAACACACAAAACCAGAAAACAATCACTGCTATTATTCTGAACTATGTCCTTACCATAGTTTAATTATCATAGATAAATTCTAACTTTCCCCTATTATTAATAAGGTCACAACGGCTATCCTTGATAACAAATTTTTAGTTACATCTCTGCTTATTTCTTCAGGATAAACTCCTAGGAGAAAATTGTTGGGCTGAAGGATAAAAACATTTTTAAGCTTTTAAGGTTATAACAGTTATATCACCATCAGTGACATATGAAAACATCCTCTTTATTTGAACACACAGACCCTTAAAGAGAGCTTGCTTATAACAAACAGGGGAGCCAGAAATATAAACATAATTTCAATATAATGTTTAAGTACAAGTAATAGGAGAACATAAAACTACAGAAAGGATTCATGAAAGGAAATTTCTTTTTTTTTTTTTTTTTGAGATGGAGTCTCGCTCTGTCACCCAGGCTGGAGTGCAGTGGCATGATCTCGGCTCAGCGCAACCTCTGCTTGACAGGTTCAAGCAATTTTCCTGTCTCAGCTTTCCAGGCAGCTGGTACTACAGGCTCGCACCACCATGCCCAGGTAATTTTTGTATTTTTGGTAGAGACGGGGTTTCGCAATGTTGGCCAGGATGGTCTCAATCTCTTGACCTCGTGATCTGCCTGCCTTGGACTCCCAAAGTGCTGAGATTACAGGCATGAGCCACCATACCCAGCCATGAAAGGTACTTTTGGATTGGGCTTTTAAGGAAAAATAAAAGGATCATTGGACTATGAGGAAAGCCATTCCAGGAAGAAAGAAACTCTATTTTCAAAAGCAAGGAAGGACACATAACTCTGTGAAGGAAGACCAGAGAAGGAAAGTAAACTTCAGAGGCAAGAGTGTAGGAGTAGAGCAGAGAGGTGAACAGAAGTTAAATTCTAACTACTGCTCTTGAGAGGCAGTATTCTGAGGAGATGATCCTGTCCTGTAAGTGAAGTGATTTTACTTACATTTCAGCATTAAAGAGGCTTTACTTTACATTTTTCCTTATTTTTAAAAATAGTAATATATTCACTTGGTTCAAAATTTAAAATTATAAAATGTATACTGTGTAAAGTTTCCTTCTCCGTTAGCTTCTTATCTATCTTTCCAGTTATTTCTGCATATGTGTGTACATATATTGTTTTCTAGTTCCCTTTTTTTCACAAATGGTAGGACACCATGAATGACGTGGTACATTTTCCTCTTCTCAATAATATGTCTTAGAGATCTTTCCTGTCAATACACAGCCCCTCTCCGCATTTTTATGGATGCATAGATGTATCATAATTTATTCATGCCAGCACTGATGGAATGTTTGGGTAGTTTTCAATCATTTCTTATTACCAACAATATAATCATGAATAATCTTGGGCATACATCAGTTTGGATGTGTGTAGGCATATATAAGAAAAATTCCTTGAATCAGAATTGCTGAGTTAAAAGGTATATACATGTATAATTTTGATATTGCCAATTTGACCTCACTAGGATTGAACCAATTTATAATTTATACTCCCATCAGAAACAGCTGTATGGGAGTGCCTTTCCTCACTTTCACCAATATGTTTCTCAAAGTTTGTGCTCTTCGCCAAATTTTTGACTTGCATTTTGAACGAATTAATATAGAGTCATTTGTATATTTTTTAAAGTAACTATTCATATATTTTGCCCATGTTTCCATTGAGGTGTTGGGTCTTGTTAATTTGTACACACTTTTATCACAGGAAAATTAGTCCTTTGTTTACAATGGCAGCTGCAAATTTTTCTCAGTTTGTCAAGTGTCTTTGTGACTATATATGCCATGTGACTTTGCTTAAAGTGTTTTTTGCCATGCAGTCAATCTTTTACGACTTCTGGGTACTGTACCACAATTAGAAAGACCTTTTTCACTCTGAGCATGAAGAGAGTCTTAAGTGGTGTCAGGACTCTATTAGTGAGAAATGGTGGGGGTGGGAGGGCTGGATATCAAGAAAGGTCAGTTAGGTTTTTCTAATAGTCTAAACACATGACTTAAGTTCTAAACGAAGTAGGGATAAGGCAATTGAGAAAAACTTGGTAGTCCTTGGTAACTGATCTGGGGGTGATGGAAAGGAATTTTTAAAAAGAATTTTGAATAATTTTCAAATAACATAAAAATAACAAATTCTTAAACATACATTTTATTAGCTTCTCACAAAAGGTTTTCAAAGCAGAAGTTAAAAAAAACAAAAGGATCAGAGGAGCGAATCCACTCAAGGCCACTTAGCTAACTGAGACATGGGAGCAAATTCTGAATTCAGGGATTCTAATTCCAGAAGTCCAAAACAATTCCATCTACGAAGAAACTTATGAAACCCAAACAACCCAAACTGTTCTAAAACAACAGTTTCCAAACACCAGTCCACGACAAAGCTTTAATCTGGTAAGCTGCAAAAAGAGAAAACCAGTAACAATCGTCGCTGACAGGTTGGCAATGAGTGTGTGTGTGTGTGTGTGTGTGTGTGTGTGTGTGTGCGCGCGCGCGCGCAAAGGCCAGCATTTATTCTGAGTTTACGGTCTTAGTACTTTGTGTTAAAATGTATTGCCTGAAGTAATGTTGGTATGGGTGGTTTCAAGTTTGAGTTTTTCAAGTTTGATTTTTAAATACCATTATATTACAAAACTAAAAGACTAAAAAAGCTAAAATCGTTCCACCCCTTAAAACAAACAAACAAAAAAATCCGTCCTCAAGAGTCTGGGCGCCACCGGTAATAGGGAAACCTCAGAATGTTTCTGTGGATTAGCCTCAGACAAGACTGAGGAAGAGCAGAAAGGCCTGAGCTGGGGGAGCAGGCTACTGAGGCAGCTCTTCTCAAAGCGCCAGCAGAGTCCGTTAGACAGGAGCACCGGTCCACAAACACACACAGACTCGGAGCTGCTGTCCTCAGTACTTCCCTCGGGCCGGCTGCCTGCCCAGCCGAGGCCACGACGTCGAACCCCAACACGAAGCTGGCGACGGACCATGCCGGGGGTCAGGGCCCGGGAGAGGCTACCGAGGGCTGTGCAGTCCCAGCAAGCTCAGGCCCGCGTCCCGGGCCGCCTTCCCTGCACGCCCACCCGCCCCCGAGCCCACCCCGCTCACCGGGGGCTCCCGCTGCGGCTCCAGCCTTGCGTACCGCCGCCTCGGCGCCAGGCCGCTAGGAGATGACACAGGAACGAGCCCTTCCGGCAGCCGAGGCACAGAATAATGGCCGAGCCGAGAATACTGCGACTTCCGGTTGCACCCCGCCCCTCATCCCGGATCTCTAGGAAGCCACATCTCTATGGTTCGTTTCTTTTCCCAGAACTGGGGAAGAGAGGCGGAACTCCTGAGCCCTTGGGTACTAGTGTTCCTTACATCGAACAAGAACTGGCCGCTGTTTCAGACCGGAAGGGTGCAGAGATGAAAGACAGGACCCAGGGTCTCAGGATGCCTGTTGCCTCCTAAGAGAGTTGGACATTTCTATTTTGATTTGCATTTCAATTGAGGTTGATAGGGAGTGACCTTCACGTCTGAATGACCTGGTAGGTGACTTTTCTGGTCTCTTCTTGAACTTATGCAATTCTCACTATAAATAATAACATGACTTATAAATCACCCTCTTGTGAATTCGCTTACTGTGGTGTATCTCTTGCCCACATGATGACATATTGGAGCTATGATATTAAATAATAATCAAGTTGATGGTGCAAGGTAATGTGCAAATGGTAGGGACATCTCTCCCCTGAAAGAAGAGGTTATTCTAGCTGTCCATCGCCCTGGGTAAAGTCAGGTGTATATAAAGGAAACTGGCACTCTGATCCTCTCTTTGGTCTTCAGTCTCTTAAGTTTGGACTTCTGGAACTGACACCCCTATATGGGACTATGGCTGAAACAAGTCTCCAAAAGGGCAAAGGCCATGTCTGCATGGATCCCATGTATTTAGCACCTAGTACAAAGCTGAAGCCATATAGGTTGTAGATGAATGTTTATTCAATGAGCAAGGTTCATGTTATTCTGTTTATGTCTTTTTTTTTTTTTTGAGATGGAGTTTTGCTCTTGTTGCCCAGGCTGGAGTGCAGTGGCGCAATCTTGGCTCACTGCAATCTCCACCTCCCGGGTTCAAGCGATTCTTCTGCCTCAGCCTCCTGAGCAGCTGGGATTACAGGCACGTGCCACCATGCCTGGCTATTTTTTTTTTTTTTTTTTTTTTTTAGTAGAGACGGGGTTTCACAATGTTGGCCAGGCTGGTCTTGAACTCCTGACCTCAGGTGATCCACCCCCACCTTGGCCTTCTAAAGTGTTGGAATCACAGGCGTGAGCCACCGTGCCAGGCTTATTCTGTTTATTTCTTTATGTTCTCTCCTGGCATTCATTAAACAACATACTTAAACTTCAGCCTTGATTCATTCATTCATTCAACTACTGAGTACTTGCCATATGCCAAATACTGTTCTGGGCACTAGGGACATAGATAAAGAGGTAAAGTCTCTGTTCTCATGGGGCTTACATTTCTAGTGGGATAAACAGAAAACAAATATAAAAATGTGTCAGGTGGTGGTAAATGCTAAGAAATGTGAAAGCTGATCATAAGAATTGGGTCATTTTTGTCATACCTAATAAAAGAAAGTCGAGAAATTAGCTGGGGGAAGCACTCAGGGTACACAACATTGCTCCAGGAATGTTATTCTCTGTAAGCTTGACTGCTGAAACTGCTTATTATAAGCCAAAACCAGTTTTATCTATAGCTTCTGAGATAAGTTGCTGCAACTCTAGGACTAATTTTGCCCACCGCAGTTGCTCACCAACTGGAGCTTGTCAGCTCCCCACACCCTTACTACTGCCAATGAACTTTCTCAAAGAGCAATATGTAACATTCCTCCTTTTTGTAAAACCTCTAACCTTCTCTTTGTTCTTCAGAGAGAGCACCACTTTCAGTTCAAGCCAGAGACTATCTCTCCGAGTTTGTAAACTGATGTTGTGAATAAAACTTTCTTTTCTTTCTTTCTTTCTTTTTTTTTTTTTTTTTTTTGAGATGGAGTCTCACTCTGTCGCCCAGGCTGGAGTGCAGTGGCGCGATCTCGCTCACTGCAACCTCCGCCTCCCGGGTTCAAATGATTCTCCTGTCTCAGATTCCTGAGTAGCTGGGATTACAAGCGCACGCCACCATGCCTGGCTAATTTTTTGTATTTTAGTAGAGATGGGGTTTCACCGTGTTGCCCAGGCTGGTCTCAAACTCCTGAGCTCAGGCAATCCACCCGCCTCGGCCTTCCAAAGTGCTAGGATTACAGGTGTGAGCCACTGTGCCGGCCAACTTTCTTTTCTACTATCTAGCCATCCTGGTGGTCCTTTGGATGACATAAAAAAGGGTAAGGAGGACCCAACAAAGGAGACTGAGAAGCAGCAGCCAATCAAGTAGGAAGAGAAGAAGGAAATAGTACTTTATGGGTCTCAAAGTATGAATGAGTAGATTTTGAAATATTGATCAATGTGATTGCTGTTCCCCCCACACTAAATTATAATTTTACTTGTAAACCAAGGCTCCCTTCTCCTCCCCTGCCCTACCTAGGTAGACAGGAGTTACACACTATGGGACTGGAAACAAAAGTGACAAAAACGATAGTGAGTTAGGCCATTAGAAGCCTTTAGTAAGGTGAAAAACATTCTTGCCTTGCTGGGAAAGAAGAAAGGAATGGGAGGAGCCAAAATGACCAACTAGACTATGGACCACTGACCAGTGAGCCTGTAATCATTCACACTCCTACTAAGCAATGGCCCGGAAGCATGTAACCAAAGAGTTGTCAGCTGGTAAGAACCACCAGTTGCCAGTGGCCAGCCCAGAGCCTCAGTTTTGTCACTCAGTTTGTGCCCTGAGATTCTGCCCATCTGACAAAGAACTTGAAGCACCCTCACCACTGTCCCAAGATGAAAGACTTGGTAACCTTGTGGAATGATGGTGATAGGAAAGGAACACCCTATCTTTGACCAAGGTGGAACTATACAAAACCTGTTTAAAGTGGGCCAGAGCTCTGGGACAGTGGTATAATACAACACATAGCCTTTGTTTTACATACACACACATTCCTGGTATTTAAAATCCCCAAATGTACTGGTGAAAAAAACTAAGCAAACAAGAAATAAATGAGTTTGAGATAGGCATATGAGAAGAGGCTGGAAGCACAGGACTGACATTTCAAGATGGGTTAAGATCTTAGACTACTGATCAACTAAAATGGAAATCCCGGTCTGAATGGAAAGTTTGTATTTCTCATCTTTCTATAAAACCCCACTTTGCCAGAGTTGTTTTTAATGCAAATTGGAATGTGATTGACCTATGACCAAGGATTATATGTATATAATATATATGGCTAAGAAATCTCAAGACATGCAATCTGAAGACCCAGGAGAGCTGAAGGTATAGTTGTAGTCCAAGATCTATAGGCCTAAGAAGCAGAAAAGCTGCTGGTGTAACTTCCAGTCTGAGTCCTAGTCGGAATCCAAATGTGTTAGTCTGTTCTCGCACTGCTATAAAGAAATGCCTGAGATTGGGAACTTTATAAAGAAAAGAGGTTTAATTGGCTCACAGTTCTGCAGGCTGTACAGGAATCATGGTACCATCTGCCTCTGGGGAGGCCTCAGGGAACTCATGGGGGAAGGCAAAGTGGGAGCAGATGTCTTATGTGGCAGCAGAAGGACCAAGGGTCGGGGGAGGAGGGAGGTGCTACACACTTTTAAACAACCAGGTCTCACTCACTATCTCAACACAGAGCCAAGGGGTAAAGCCATCCCTATGATCCAATCACCTCCCATCAGGCCCCACCTCCAACATTGGGAATTACAGTTTGACATGAGATTTGGGCGGGGACAGAAATCTAAACCATATCACCAAAGGTGGGAGAAGACCAATGTCCCAGCCAGAAGACAGGCAGAAAGAGCAAATTCTCTCTCAGTCTTTTCCTTCTACTCACATCTCCAATGGCTTGGATGAGGCTCACTCATGTTAAGGAGGGCAATCAGTCTACAGATTCAGATGTTAATCTCATCCAGAGATACCCCCACAGACACTCAGAATAATGTTTAGCCAAATGTCTGGGCACACTATGGCCCATTCAAGTTAACATGTAAAATGAACTATCACATATGGATTCTTCCAAATACAGTTCAGGGCATTAGTTATTTAAAGATTTTCTAGGCACTGAAGGGCATCCACAGTGGTTAGATTAGGCTAGTGTCACTTAAAAGGATCCATTTCAGATCTGAATGTCTGTCTTGGACAACTTCACCCCCTTATCTTTACATCCTCAGAGAGGGATCTTGTAGAAATGAGGGAGTAACAGCAAACGGAAAGTTGGAGAAGGGGACAGGCCACCTGTGAAAGGCCAATCATGCTGGGAGCAGAGAGGGGTAAATCCAGTCCAGACTGGAAAGCTTGAGGGAAGACAGAACAGCCATATTCTTTGCAATTTGGAGGGAGGTAGAAATCCCATTGCCTATCCTTTTACCCTCATCGGAGTCCTACCTGGAGAGGCTGTAAAAGGCACATAGTCATTGGTAGGAGTAGAGGGATCACAAAATCAGAGGACCTGAGCTTGGAGTGCCTATGGCTTTGACAGGAGCTTTAGAATCTGAAAGGCTAAAGGGGCTGTTATGGCCCTAGCAGGAAAGGAAAGGAAGTGGGATACTGGGGGATCTGCTTTGGTCTTTCTGTAGCCTTTCTCAAGGGCTAGATGAAAATGAAAATCTCAGGTTGTTCCGAATTGGTTTCTAGGCCAGCCCTCTATTACTAGGCTGATGATGCTACAACGAATCAAAAGATCATTGACCCCTGATAGAGGTCTTTACTAGTGCCAAAATCTACCCAGCTGCACTTTCTGCATCCCACCCCCAACACACACACACACACACACACACACACACACACACACACACACACACACACATACATGCACACACACACAGACTCAATTTTCAACAGTATATAATTGGCAATCACAGAACATTTCAGTTGAATTAAGATAGAGTTCAAACCAGAAGAGTGAGGCAAAGCTAGAATATTAGAAAAAAAATAAAGCATATAAAAATTACTTGCTATGTGTCAGCCCCTTTCACATGGTTAATTTCATTTACTCCTTACATGAACCCTTTGAGACAGATAATATTGTGACAGTTTTGATGATACTGAAACTAAGGGTGAGTAAGTTTAAGTAATTTGTTAAAATACCTTCCTAATAACCAGTGAGGCTTTGAAATCCAAGGCAAATGCTGTTTCCACCACTATATTTAGGCTTTTGTACACCCAGAAGCAAGAAAATCATTCAGGAGACTGAGGCAAGACACAGGTAGGGAAAAGGGGGAGAAAAGTCAGGACAGCCAGCATGAAGAGTGTCTTCAGCCTCCTGAATACTTTAGCTGTGGTCGGGCCTTGGACAACTCATGCTAATTTGAATGCAGAGAAGCATTAATATGTTGTGTTCACTGGGAATGCATCTAAGGCTTTGATAATCGTTAGGGGTGGGAGGCAGGGAGGCCTGCTATCTTGGCTTATACCCACATGGACTTTTATATAGAAGGTCATAACTCTTGAATACATTCTGCTCTAGAGAGGCCCAAAAGTGGTAATTCTAAAGTCAGTCTAGTATCTCCTAGCCTTAGAGGTGTCTGGGTGTCTGGGGAGTAGAACAAATGTAACTGAGGCCCTTCCCAGTCCAAGATATTCTGCAGATACTTTACTTTTGGGTACTGGAAAACAATGGAAGTAGTTACCACACAGGTAAAGGGAATATTTTAAAACACTAAAATTCTTTGATGCTAAAAGCATAGTAAAAGAAGCATCTGCTTATTACCTAAAACAGATGTTCTTTGTATTCTCTACCACAGTCACCTCTGCCCACCTATGATTTTCATGCAGCTGTGGGAGAATGGATGTAGCCATCCTGACAGAGTCCTGTCTCAAGCATACACCATAACATCTTAGGCTGTTTTGTTGAAGGCTTCCTCTGGAAGTTCAGAAGCCTGTTCAGCCAGGTCTTAGGCACAAACTGGAAGAAGTGGATAAGAGTAACATCCCCTCAGGCAAACCTGAAAGAATGATAAATAAGAATTGGTACACAAATGCCCCAACGTCCTGTCCTTTGACAAGAAAAGTCTGAGCTATGTTCTACATGGGCCCTTAGAGGGCCCCTAGTGAAAATGAGCCTCAGTTGCCCACAGTGGATCCAGCTCAATTACTCATTCTTTGTTGGCTTTCGACCTTCCCTGTCTTATCCTTCCTGCTCACTGCCTCTTGCTCCTTAAGATCACCTTCAAAATAATCTACTCCACCTATATCCTTGTCTCAGGCTCTGCTGTTGGAAAAACCTAAACTTATAATCAATCTTTTAAATTCAAACAAGGTTGGGGGATTTGACAATGCCCAATTTTGTGAACACCCATTTATTAGTCTGGTTGAAGACTAATTTTCTTTTTCCAGAGGAGGCTCCAGAAGCCAGTCCTTTACCTTCTTTCTAAGTAGATAGGCCTTTACACAGATACACAGACAATGAGCTATTTAGTACATCTTGTCTTCCTGAATTATACACTAATGAGGAAAATGGAGGATCTTAGCCAGAGGGGAATCGTGAGTTCAAAGTTCTCACCACTGTGGGAAGAGATGCAAGCTCTACAGGCTAGACCAGATGGTGGAAAACTGGGCCTCCCGGAGACTATGCCTTGATGCAGGGTAGTCCAGGAGCCAAAGCAGCAAAAGTAAATGAATCTTTGTGCCGGTGTTCCACTGTAAATACAACCCAGCTGCTCCCAGCATTTATTTTCTATTTCTTTACTTCCCACCACTATCCAGCTTCTTCACTCTGAATCTTCTGTCCCTTTCATTAGTCCTTCTTATTACAATTTCTGTCCCTTCATGCTTACTGCTTGCTGCGGCTCCTAATGATGTGGCTTCTCTCCATCCACAATTTCTGCTTCAGCTCCTGTTCTTAATTTCCTCATTTCTGCCCTACTTCCAATTCAGAATTTCCTTAGAAAGGGATTCCAATTGGTAGAGTCATTAAATATTGTCTTTGTTTGGGCAGAGCTTTGACCTCAGGCCACACTCTGCAGGATAATTAAAAGGAACCAACATATTCATGTTTAGTAATCATGACCATAATTACTCTGCCTTCTGTATTTGACTTGAGATGTTTGCTATCCCTCTCTCTGCAACATCTTTTCAGAGAACTATGGAACCATACAATGTTATGGTTGGAAATGAATCTACAGTTCATCATTTTACTAAAGATCTTACCTCTGTAAGACCACATCATCCTTTGTAAACTTGTCACTTGCCCTCCAGTTGGCCTTCTAACTTCGTTGTGATGGCTCAGTATCTGTTTGTCCCTGATATCTTCTTTTACCTTCCACCGATAAACTTCTCTCCCTCTTTTTTTCCTGCCCATGGAGAAAAAATTGAGCTACTAACACTTCACTCTTGTTCTAAATATGTCATCTCCTTCTACACCCATAATCTGACATTTTTTTTTTAAGGTCTCTTGATGATACTGTTTCCACAAGACAAAAAAAAATGAGTAAAACTGTTTTCTGCTTACTTTTGACAGCAGATGAGAACAGAATAGACTTGATTATGAAGCAAGAAATTTTTAAAGGATTTATCTGATGGAACATCAAGAGGATTCTTTCTTTCTTTTAAGAGATATGAGGTCTCACTCTGTCATAGTGGCACAATCATAGCTCAGTGCAGCCTTGAACTCCTGGGCTCCAGCGATCCTCCTGCCTCAGCCTCCCAAGCAGCTGGGACTACAGATGAATACCATCATGCCCCCAGCTAGTAAGAGGGTTCTATGTGTTGATTCACTGGGAAACCAGAGACTAGAGATACCTGTGAAGACACTTTCAAGAAGTTAGAAGAATTACCCTTGAATGAAGAAAGGAGCTGACTAGAAGTAGTTTATTGAATAACACACAAAGATTGTTTCAAACCTACAAAAGATAAATGTGAGGAAGGGATTTGGGGAATCCTCCTATGTCCTCCAGTCTGGCTATACATTAGGATGGAACAGAAATCCTACCAATGTGATGAATGTGGCAAAGCTTTCAGAGTGCATACCTCAATGGCCATCAGAAAACCTATACTGGAGTGAAACCCTGTGAATGAATGAGTATTATAAGACATTCAGGTAGAATTTTCCATTTTTATGTCAGACATTTTTATCTCTAGAAATCGAATTTTAATTTTTTTAATATCTTTTGTGTCTGCTAAACAAATTCAATCCTTCCCCTTGATTTTTGCTTATATAGTCATAATATCATTAATATCCTTGTTTGTTGATTCTTTGTGTCAGTTCTAGGTCAGTTTTGAATAACTGATTTTTCTCATCAATACAGGTTGTATTTTCCTATTTGTTTACATGCCTAGTAATAACTGTATGTCAGACATTTTCCATTTTACCTTGTTGGAGACAGAATACTTTTCATTCCTATAACTATTCTAGGGAGTGGAGGATGCAGTTAAGTTACATTAGGTCAGAGAACATACTTTGTATTATTTAAATCCTTCTGATGTATTAAGGTTTGTTTTTTTACCTTGTATATGATTTGTCCTGAAGAATGTTCCTTGTGTGCTGGAGAGGAAGGTATATTCTGCTATTCTTCAGTGGCATGTTCTAGGGCTATATTAGGCCTAGTTGGTTAATAGGGTTCAAGTCCTCTATTTCCTTATTGATCTTCTTTCTGGTGTTAAACTATTATTGAAAATGGGCTATTGAAGCCTCCAACTATTATTGTTTGAATTGTCTATTTCCCTGCTGCATCTCTTTCAGTGTTTGTTTAATGTATTTTGGGGGTATTTCAGTAGCTGAATATACATTTGTCATTGTTATATCTTCCTGATGAATTGACACCTGTATTGTTATAAAATGCCCTTTTTTATCTGAAATAGTATCTTGTTTTGGTTTTAAAGTCTAATTTGTCTTGTATATAACCACTCGAGCTTTCTTATGGTTGCTATTTGCAAAATACATCTTTTTCCATCCTTTTACTTTTAATCTCTTTGTATCTTTGAAACTAAACTGTGTCTCCTGTAAACAGCATATAATTGGATCTTATTTTTTTATCCAGTCTGACAATATCTGCTTTTTCATTGGATTGATTAATCCATTCACATTTTATTATTGATACGGGGTTTCTTTTTAGACCACATTTCATCTGGAAGAAGATATAGTTGGATTTACGTCTGCCATTTTACTTTTTTTGTTCTCTTTATCTTATTATTATGAACCCATTCCTTTTTTTTTTTTTTGACAGGGCCTCACTCTGCCCCCAGACTGGAGTGCGGTGACATGATCATGGCTCACTGAAGCCTTGAATTCCTGGGCTCAAGTGATCCTGCTGCCTCAGCCTCTCAAGTAGCTGGGACTATAGGCATGCACCACTATGCCCAGCTAACTTTTTAAAATTTTTAGTAGAGATGAGGTCTCACTATGTTGCCCATGCTGGTCTCAAACTCCTGAGCTCAAGTGATCCTCCCACCTTGGCTTCCCAAAATGCTAGGATTGTGCATTTTCTGCCCCAATCATAGAATCAACCACTTTTTTAAAGGGCCCTAGTTCCCTTTAGAGGGAAATGGTGTTTCAGGACTGCAATTTTGGTGTGAAGGGTGCTCACTGCTCCTGGTAGATCTTTGTTTCTAGGTATTTTCAGTGGAAAGGGCGAGAACAAATTTTTTCTTTTTCTTTTTAGTTGGCACATAATAATTGTACATATTTATGGGACACAGGGTGATATTTTGATATGTATATACAATGTGTAATGACCAAATCACGGTAATTAGCATATCCATTACCTGAAACATTTATCATTTCTTTGTGTTGTGAACATGCAAAATCCTCTCCTCTATGTTTTTAAAAATATACAATAATTTCTAGTTAATTATATTCACCCTACAGTGCTGCAGAACACCAGAACTCCTTCCTCCTATCTAGCAATAATTTTGTGTCTATTAAGCAATGTTTCCCCATCTCTCCCCTCCACTACCCTCCATAGGCTCTAATACCCACAATTCTATTTTCTACTTGCATGAGCTCTAAATTATTTTTACCTCCCACATATAAGAGAGAACATGTAGTTATTTATCTTTCTGTGCTTATTTTGCTCAACATAATGTCCTCCAGGCTCATCTATGTTGCCACAAATGATAGAATTTTATTCTTTTTATGACTGCATAGTATTTCATTGTGCATATATGCCACATTTTCTTTATCCATTTGTCTGTTGATGGACACTGGGTTGATTTTATCTCTTAGCAATTGTGAATATTATAGTTCTGTAATAAGCATGGGGAAAAAGTATCTCTTCGATATTTAGATTTCCTTCCTTTGGCTAAATATTCAGTAAAGGCATTACTGTATCATATAGTAGCCCTATTTTTAATTTTTTGAGAAACCTTCACACTGTTTTCCATAATGGCTGTACTAATTTACATTTCCACCAAAAGCATATAAAAATTCCTTTTGAGCTGGGTGCAGTGGCTCACACCTGTGATCCCAGCACTTTGGGAGGCCAAGGCAGGTGGATCACCTGAGGTCAGGAGTTTGAGACCAGCCTGGCCAACACCTGGTGAAACCCTGTCTCTACTAAAAATACAAAAAATTAGCCAGGCCTGGTGGCAGGTGCCTGTCATCCCAGCTACTCAGGAGGCTGAGGGAGGAGAATGACTTGAACCCAGGAGGCAGAGATTGCAGTGAGCTGAGATTGTGCCATTGCACTCCAGCCTGGGCGACAAGAGTGAAACTCCATCTCAAAAAAAAAAAAAAAAAGGCCGGGCACGGTGGCTCACACCTGTAATCCCAGCACTTTGGGAGGCCGAGGCAGGTGGATCACGAGGTCAGGAGATCAAGACCATCCTGGCTAACATGGTGAAACCCCGTATCTACTAAAAATACAAAAAAAAAAAAATTAGCTGGGCGTGGGTGGGTGCCTGTAGTCCCAGCTAGTTGGGAGGCTGAGGCAGGAGAATGGCATGAACCTGGGAGGTGGAGCTTGCAGTGAGCCGAGATCGCGCCACTACACTCCAGCCTGGGTCACAGAGCGAGACTCCATCTCAAAAAAAAAAAAAAAAGAAACAAATAATTACCTTGGAATGCTCTCCAGCATTTCTTATTTTTTGTCTTTTTGATAATAGCCATTCTAACTGGGGTGAGATTATATCTCATTGTGGTATTGATTTGCATTTCCCTGATGATTCATGATGTTGACCATTTTTTCATGTATTTATTGGCCATTTGCATGTCTTCTTTTGAGAAATATCTATTTAGATCCTTTGCCCACTTTTAATTGGATTTAGGTTTTTGTTGTTGAGTTGTTTGAGCTCCTGGTATATTCTGGATATTAGTCCCTTGTCAGATTAGGAATTTGCAAATATTTTCTCCCACTGTACAGATTGTCTTTCCACTCCATTGATTATTTCTTTTGCTATGTAGACGTTTTTTTAGTTTAACACTGTCCAATTTTTTTATATTTTGTTGTCGGTGCTTTTGAAGTCTTATCCATAAAATCTTTGCCTAGACCAATGTCCTAAAGCATTTCTCCTATGTTTTTCTCTGGTAGTTTTATAGTTTCAGGTCTTACATTTAAGGCTTTAATCCACGTTGAGTGTATTTTTGTATATGGGGATAGATAGGGATCTAGTTTCATTTTTCTACATATGTATATCCAGTTTTCCCAGCATCATTTATTGAAGAGGGCATCCTTTCTCCAATGTGTGTTCCTGGTTCCTTTGTTGAAAATCAGTTGGCTGTAAATACATAGATGTATTTCTGGGTCCTTTATGCTGTTCCGTTTGTCTATGTCATACTATAGCTTTGTAGTATATTTTCAAGTCAGGTACTGTAACGCCTCCAACTCTGTTTTTCCTTGATAAGTACTGGTTTGGCTATTTGGTGTCTTCTGTGGTTCCATGCAAATTTTAGGATTGTTTTCTATTTCTGTGAAGAATGTCACCAATATTTTGACAGGGACTGCATTTAACCTGTAAATTGCTTTAGGTAGTATGGGCATATTCTTCTGATCATGAGCATGGGATGTCGTTTCATTTGTTTGTGTCCTCTTTAATTTATTTCATCAATGTTTGGTAGCTTTCATTGTACAGATATTTCACTTCCTTTATTTCTAGTTTTTTTTTTTTTGGTGGGGGGCTATTGTAAATAGGATTGATTTCTTGATTTCTTTGTTACCCAGTTCATTACTGGTGTATGGAAATGCTACAGTTTTTTTCTATGTTGATTTTGTACCCTGCAACTTTACTAAATTTGTTTATCAGTTCAAAGAATATTTTAGTGGAATCTTTAGAATTTTGAATACATGTTTTCTGAAAGGACAATTTGACTTCCTCTTTTCCAACCTGAATGCCCTTTATTTCTTTCTCTTGCCCAATTACTCTGGCTAGGACTTCCAGTACTATGTTGAATAAGAAAGGTGAACATGAACATCCTTGTCTTGTTCCAGTTCTTAGAGCTCTCAGCTTTTCCCTATTCAGTTTGATGTTAGCTATGAGTTTGTCATATTTGGCCTTTATTGCACTGAAGTATGTTCCTTCTATGCCTAGTTTGTTTAGGGTTTTTATCATAAGAGGATATAGAATTTTATCAAATGCTTTATCTGCATCTGTTGAGATGATCATATGTTTTTTGTTCTTCATTCTGTTTATGTGATGTATCACATTTATTGATTTGCGTATTTTGAAACATCCTTTCATCCCTGGGTTAAATCCCACTTGATCATGGTATATTATCTTTTGGTTAGATTTTATTTGCTAGTATTTTGTTGAAGACTATTGCCCCTATGTTCATCAGGGATACTGGCCTGTAGTATTCTTTTATTATTGTGTCCTTTTCCAGTTTTACCCTGGTATCTGGGTAATGCTGGCCTTGTAGAAAGAATTAGAAAAATTCTCTCATCTTCAGTATTTTGGAATAGTTTGAAAACAGTTGCCGTTAGTTTTTTTAAAGTTTGGAGGCCAGACATGGTGGCTCATGCCTGTAATCCCAGCACTTTGGGAGGCTGAGGTGGGAGGATTGCTTCAGGGCAGGAGTTTGAGACCAGCCTGTATAATATAGAGAGACCATGTCCCTACAACAATAAAAAAAAATTAGCCGTGCATGGTGGTGCATGCCTGTAATCCTGGCTACTTGGGAGGCTGAGGCAAGAGGATCACTTGAGCCCAGGAGTTTGAGATTATAGTGATCACACCATTTCACTCCAAACTGGGCAAGAGAGCAAGATCTTTTCTCTAAAAAAATTTTTTTTTTTTAAGTTTGGTATGCTAGGTGCAAAGACACATGTCTGTAGCCCCAGCTATCCAGGAGGCTGAGGCAGGAGCATGGCTTGTGTCCAGGAGTTTGAGTCTAGCATGGGGAACATAACAGGACCCTGACTCTAAAAAAAAACAAAAGTTTGGTAGAATGCAGCAGTAAAGTTATCCAGTTCTGGGCTTTTTGTTGTTGTTGTTGTTGTTGTTATTGATTCACTCTCATTACTTATGATTGGTCTGTTCATATTTTCTACTTCTTCCTGGTTCAATCTTGGTAGGTTGTATATATCTGGAAATTTATCCATTTCCTCAAGGGTTTCTAATTTGTTGGCATATAGTTGTTTGGAATAGCCTCCATTGATCCTTTGTGCTTCCGTGGTAACAGCTGTAAAGCTGTAATGGTTCCTTTTTCATTTTTTATTTTATTTTAGTCTTCTCTCATTTCTTTGTTTAGTCTAGCTAATGATACCGAGATCACCTTTTGGTTCAATGATTCACAAGATTCAGCATAGCTTCATACTCATAGCCATGATTTGCTACATCAAAAGAATTCAAAGTAAAATCAGCACAGAGAAAAGGCTCATAGGGTGAATTCCCGAAGGTACCAGGTGTAAGTTCCAAGATTCTTTTCCCAGTGGAATTACAAAAGACATGCTTAATTCCTCCAGGAACAAATTGCTACAAGTGTAAAATGTTGTGTACTAGGAAACGGACTAGAGATTCAATTTGAGAATTTTTAGTGTGGGCTGGTCACACATGCACACTCTGCCTGGCATGTACTAAAATTCTAAACTCCCAGAAAAAAGTAGATATTCAGCATAAACCATATTGTTTGCACAAACAATTTAGGTATAGTGATCCATTCTTATCAGGGAATGGTGGAAAATCTCTCAATGTCCAGGTTCCCAGATGCTGACCAACCTTGAGAGCAGACCTTTCTAAGGATAACAGTCGCAGGCATACTAACTTCAGTATTTTAACTATACAGGGTCAGACTTTTTCCTGTGTCTTTGCATGTCTCATCATTTTTTTATTGGAAATAGAATGTTTTAGATAACATTATAGCAACTCTAGGTACTGCTCCCCTCTTTCCTAGGCTTTGTATTTTCATTTGCTTGTTTATTTATTTAGTGACTGACTAGATTAATTTAGTGAAGTCTATCCCCAACCCTACCAAATGTGAAGCCTCTAACATTGCTCCTTAGAGGGCTCAGCCTTGGGCATACACATTGTCACCCCAAAAAGAGAGTGGATTTATCGAGATTCACATTGTCTCTTTCCCTTATCAAACCCAGCTATTAAGCACCACCAATTGCCAGATGATTGTTCTGTTGTTTTCTACAATATCCTGAGGCTAAAATTGCTCCACAGACTGATCTAATTAATTTGGGGTTCCTTTGCAAGAATAGTTTTTTTTAAAAGACTTTAAATTTTAATTGTGGTAAAAAATGCAAAACATAAAATTTACCATATTAATTATTTTTAAGCCTACAGTTAAGTGGCATTAAGTATATTCACAATGCTATACAATCTCCAGAACTTTTTCATCTTGCGAAACTGAAACTCTATACCCATTAAACAACTCACTATTTCCCCATTCCCCAAGACCCTGGCAATCACCATTCTACTTTCTGTTTTTATGAGTTTCACTACTTTAGATACGTCTTAGAAGTGGAATCATAGTCTTTGTTTCGTGTGACTGGTTTATTTCACTTAGCATAATGTCTTAAGATTCGTCCATGTTGTAGTGTATGATAGAATTGCCTTCTTTTTTTTTTTTTTTTTTTTTTGAGACGGAGTCTCGCTCTATTGCCAAGCTGGAGTGCAGCAGCAGGATATCGGCTCACTGCAGCCTCCACCTCCTGGGTTCAAGCGATTCTCCTGCCTCAGCCTCCCGAGTAGCTGGGCGTGTGCCACCATGCCCAGCTAATTTTTGTATTTTTAGTAGAGATGGGGTTTCACCATGTTCGCCAGGATGGTCTCGATCTCTTGACCTCGTGATCTGCCAGCCTTGGCCTCCTAAAGTGCTGGGATTACAGGTGTGAGCCACCGTGCCTGGCCGAATTGCCTTCTTTTTTAAGGCTCAATAATATTCCATTGCATGTATATATGACATTTTGTTTATCCATGCATCTATTGATGGACATTTGGATTTCTTCCACCTCTTGCTATTGTTAATAATGCTACTATAAAAATGAATGTGCAAATATCTCTTAGAGATCCTGTTTTCAATTCTTATGAATACATACCTAGAAGTGGGGTTGCTGGATTGTATGGTAATTCTATTTTAATTTTTAATTAATTAATTAATTAATTTTTTATTGAGACAGGGTCCCACCCTGTCACCCAGGCTGAAGTGTAGTGGTGTGATCCCGGCTCACTGCAGCCTCGACCTCCCAGGCTCAATCAATACATCTGCCTCAGCCTCCTGACTAGCTGGGACTACAGGTATGCACTACCATGCCCAGTTAATTTTTTAATTTTTTATAGAGACAGGGTCTTGCCATGTTGCCCAGGCTGGTCTTGAACTCCTGGGCTCAAGCAATCCAACTGCCTCGGCCTCCCAAAGTGCTGAGATTACAGGCATGAGCCTCCATACCCAACCTGTTTTTAATTTTTTGAGAAATTGCTATTCTGTTTTATGTAGCAGCTGTGCCATTTTACATCCGCACCAACAGTGCACAAAGGTACCAATTCTGCACATTCTCATCAATGCTTATTATTTTCTTTTCTGTTGTTGTTGTTGTTTTGGTTTTGATAATTGCTATCATAATGGTGTGAGATGACCTCTCATTGTGGTTTCGATTTTTACTTCTCTAATGATTAATGATATTGAGCATTTTTTTATATGCTTGTTGGCCATTTGCGTATCATTGGAGAAATGTCTATTTAAGTCTTTTCCTCATTTTTTAAGTTTTTTGTTATTGAATTGTAGGAGTTATTTATATATTCTGGATATCAACTACTCATCAAATGTTTAATTGCAAATTTTTTCTCCCATTCCATAGGTTGTCTTTTCAGTCTGATTATGTCCTTTAGTGCACAGAAGTTTTAAATTTTGATGTAGTATAGTTTATCTATTTTTACTTTTTTTTTTTTTTCAAGACGGAGGCTTGCTCTGTTGCCCAGGTTGGAGGGCAATGGCACAATCTCAGCTCACTGCAACCTCTGCCTCCCAGGTTCAAGGGATTGTCCTTCCTCAGCCTCCTGAGTAGCTGTGAGTACAGGCACACGCCACCATGCCCAGCTAATTTTTGTGTTTTTAGTAGAGATGAGGTTTTGCCACATTGGCCAGGTGGTCTCAAACTCCTGACCTCAAGTGATCCAACCTCCTAGGCCTCCCAAAGTGCTGGGATTACAGGTGTGAGCCACCGCACCTGGATTTACTTTTATTGCCTGTGCTTTTGGTGTCATAGCCAATAATTCATTGTCAAATCCACATTTAACTTTTTAAACAACAGCCAACGTGTTTTCCACAGTTGTTACACTACTTTACATTTCTGCCTACAGTGTTTGAAAGTTCCAGTTCCTCCACATATTTGCCAACATGTGATGTGAACTATCTTATTAATTTTCATCATTCTAATTGGGGTGTAGTGGTATCTCCCTGTGGTTGTAATTTGCATTACCCTAAAAACCAGTGATGTTGAACATCTTTTCCAGTGCCTATTTGCCATCTGAATGTCTTTGTCAGTGATGTGTCCATTCAGATCTTTGCACATTATTCTACTAGGTTATTTGCTTCCTTATTGTTGGATTTTGACACTTTTGGATACAAATCCTTTATCAGATATATGCTGTATTCATATTTTTCCCAGATCGTGGCTTGTTTTGTAATTTTCCTAACAGTACTTTTCAAAAAACAGATCTTTTAGTTTTGATGACATCCGTTTATCAAATTGTTCTTTTGTGAATCATACCTTTGGCATTATATGTAAGAAATGTTTGTCTAATGCAAGATGACACAATTTCTCCAGATTTATTCTAGAATTTTCATTGTTTTAGGTTTCCTACTGAGGTATAGTATTCATTATTAATTTTTAATATATTGGGAGATATTGATCAAAGTTAATATTTTTACATAGGGATATCCAATTATTCCAATATGATTTGTTGGAAAGATACCATTTATCCACTGATTGCCTTTGAACATTTGTCGAAAATCAGTTGCTCATATATGTGTGGATCTATTTCTGAATTTTTTATTCTCTTCTATTTATCTATTTTTCTATCACTATGCCAAAACTACACTGTCTTGACTGCTGTAGTTCTACATACGTTTTAAGATCAGGTTAGCCCTCCAAATTTTAAAATATTTTTCTGATTTGTTTTGGCTACTCTAAGCTCTTTGCATTTTCATATAGAATTTAGAGACAACTTTTTAATTTTTACAAAACACACACACAACTACTAGGATTTTGATTGAGATGGATTTGAGTCTACAGTTTGTGGACAATTGACATATTAACCATACTGCATACTCTGATCCGTGAACAAAGTAGATTTCCATTTGGTTAGGTCTTCTTTAATTTCTCTCACCAAAGTTTTACAGTACTTAATATACAGATATTTTGCATTTTTGCCATATTAATTACTGTATTTCATATTTTAATGCTATTATAAATGATATTATTTAAATTTTGATTTCAAATTGTTCATTGTTAGTATATAAAAATCAAATTGATTTTTATAAAGTTATGTGTCCTGCAACCTTCCTCAACTCACTTACTAGTTCTAGTAGCTTTTAAAAGAGATTTAATTGGATTTTATACATAGCGAATTGTGTCGTCTACAAAGAAGGACAATTTTACTTTGTTCTTTCCAACCTGTATGCCATTTATTTATTTATTTACTTATTTTAACTGCCCTGGCTAGAACCTGCAGTACACTGTTGAGTAGACAAAGTGGTGAAAGCACTTTATCTTGTTCCTGATCTCAGGAGGAAAGCTCAGTCTTTCAACATTAAGTGTGATACCAACTATAAAATTTTTGTAGATACTTTTAAATCAGATTTAGGATCTCGTTTACCCCTAATTTGCTGAGGGGTTTAAAATTTCAAAATCAATGATGGATGTTAGATTTTGTCAAAAGCTTATTCTATACCATCATAGTGACCATGATTTTTCATTTTTAGCTTGTTAATATGGTGAATTACACTGATCAATTTTCAAATACAAAGCCAACATTGCATTTTTTGAAAAAATTCCTTTGGTCTGGATGTATTATCCAATTATTGGATAGTGATTTACTAAAATTTCATATTGTTGGCTTTAATTTGCTAAAATTAAATGAATTAGGATTTTTGCATTTAAGTCTGTGAAGGCTATTGGTCTGTACTTTTATTGTAACACTTTTATTGTATTGGATCTGGTTAATGCTGGCCTCACAGACTGAGTTGGAAAATATTTCCTCATACTCAATTTTCTGCAGGAGCTTGTTGTATAAAGTTAGTACTATTTCTTCCTTAAACGTCTGATAAAATTTACCAGTGAAGCCACCTAGGTCTAGATTTTTTTGAATTTTTAATTTTTGTGGGTACATAGTAAGTGTGTATATTTATGAGGTGCAGGAGATATTTTGATACAAGCATGCAATGTGTAATAATCACATTGTGGAAAATGGGGTATCCATCCCCTCAAGTATTTATTCTTTGTGTTATAAACAATCCAATTACATTCTTCTAGTCATTTTAAAATATGCAGGCTGGGCGCAGTGGCTCACGCCTGTAATCCCAGCACTTTGGGAGGCCGAGGCGGGCGGATCATGAAGTCAGGAGATGGAGACCATCCTGGCAGGTGAAACCCCGTCTCTACTAAAAAAAATACAAAAAATTAGCCGGGCATGGTGGCGGGCGCCTGTAGTCCCAGCTACTCGGGAGGCTGAGGCAGGAGAATGGCATGAACCCGGGAGGTGGAGCTTGCGGTGAGCTGAGATGGCGCCACTGCACTCCAGCCTGGGCGACAGAGCGAGACTCCGTCAAAAAAAAAAAAAAAAAAAAAGCAATTAAATTATTATTGACTTTAGTCACCCTGTTATCAAATACTAGGTGTTATTCATTCTTTCTATTTTTTAAATACCCATTAACCATCCCCACTACCCCCACCCCCCACTACCCTCCCCAGCTTCTGGTAACCATTCTTTTACTCTCTATCCCCATGAGTTCAATTGCTTTGATTTTTGGATCCCACGAATAAGAACATAAGATGTTTGTCTTTCTTTGCCTGGCTTATTTCACTTAACATAATGACCTCTGGTTCCATCCATGTTGTTGCAAATAAAGGATCTCATTCTTTTTTATAGCTGAATAATATTCCATTGGGTATAAGTACCACATATTCTTTATCCATTCATCTGCTGATGGACACTTAGGTTGCTTCCAAATCTTGGCTTTGTGAACACTGCTGCAACAAACACAGTAGTACAGATATCTCTTCAAAGTACCAATTTCCCTTGTTTTGGGCATATGCCCAAGAGTGGGATTGCTAGATCATATGGTAGCTTTATTTTTAGTTTTCGTCAGAACCTCTAAACTGTTCTCCATAGTGGTTGTACTAATTCACATTCCCACCAACAGTGTATAAGGGTTCCCTTTTCTCCACATCCTCACCAACATTTGTTATCACCTGTCTTTTGGAAAAAGGCCATTTTAACTGGACTGAGATGATATGTTATTGTAGTTTTGATTTGCATTTCTCTGATGATCAATTATGTTGGGCACCTTTTCATATGCCTTTTTGCCATTTGTATTTCTTCTTTTGAGAAATGTCTACTCAAATCTTTTGCTTATTTTTAAAATCGAATTATCAGATTTGTTTTCTATAGAGTTGTTTGAGCTTGTTATATATTCTGGTGATTAATCCCTTGTCAGATGGGTAATTTGCAAATATTTTCTCCCAATCTGTGGGTTGTTCCTTCACTTTGTTGCTGGTTTTCTTTGCTATGCAGAAGCTTTTTAACTTGATGTGATCTTGGGCCTAGATTTCTATGTCTGTGGGGGAAGTGTTTTATTTTTTATAGTTATAGCACTATTCAGCGCTATCTATTTTTTTTCTAAAGTGAGTATTGGTAGTTTGTGTCTGTCAGGGAACTGGCCATTTGATCTAAATTATCAAAGTTATTGGCATAAAGTTGTTTATAACATTCCCCCATTATCCTTTAATTGGTGTAGAATCCATAGTGATGTCACCTCTTTTAATCCCAATGTCGATACTTTGTGTCTCTTTTCCTTTTTTTTGCTGATCAGTCCTACTAGAAGCTTATGCATTTATTTATTTTCTAAAAACCACTTTTGGCTTGATTTTCTCTATTGTCTTCTTGTTTTCCATTTTACAGGTTCCCATTTTGATCTTTATTATTTCTTTTGTTCTGTTTACATTGGCATTACTTTGCTTTTTTTATTCTAGTTTCTTAAACTTTACTCTTTTCCTTTATTTTTTTTTAACACTGAGATAGGGTTTCACTATTTTGCCCAGGCTGCATTTGAACTCCTGGGCTAAAGTAATTCTCCCACCTCAGCCTCCCAAGTAGCTGGGACTGTAGGCATGCACCACCACACCCGGCTACTCTTTTGTGTGTGTGTGTGCGCACGCGTGTGTGTGTGCGTGTGTGTGTGTGTGTACATACAGTCTATGATACCATATTCTAATGTAGATATTTAGTGCTATAATTTCCCTCAGCTAATGTTTTAACAACATTCCATAATTTTTTTTGAGATGGAGACTTGCTCTATCACCCAGGTTGGAGTGCAGTGGTGTGGTTATAGCTCACTATAGCCTTGAACTCCTGGGCTCAGTGATCCTTTCATGCCAGCCTCCCAAGCAGCTAGGACTACAGGCATGCATCCCATGTCTAGCTAAATTATCTTTTTTTTTTTTTTGTAGAATCAGGGTCTCACTATGTTACCCAGGTGAGTCTTGAACTCCTGACCTCAAGCAATCTTCCTACCTTGGCCTCCCAAAGTGCTGGGATTATAGGTGTTAGCCACTATACCTGACTATAACATTTTTTTCTTTTCTTTCTTTCTTCTTTGTATTATATTGAGACAGAATTTTGTTCTGTTGCCCAGGCTGGAGTGCAGTGGTATGATTATGGCTCACTGCAGCCTCAACTTCCCGGGCTCGAGTGATCATCCCACCTCAGCCTCCGGAGTAGCTGGGACTACAGGCATGTGTCACCACGCCCAGATATATATAGTGTTTTTTTGTAGAGACGAGGTTTTGCCATGTTGCCCAGGCTGGTCTCGAACTCCTGAGCTCAAGTGATTTGCCTGCCTCAGCCTCCCAAAGTGCTGGGATTACAGGCGTGAGACACTGTGCCTGGCCAATAACTTTTTTGATCAGCTATAATTATTTGTTTTTTAATGATTGCTTTAGGATTTATAGTGTATGTCTTTAGCTTATTCGTCTGCCTTCAAGTGGTATTATACTACTTCCTGTACAGCAGTGGCATATAGCAGTGGTTCTCATTTGGGGGCAATATTGAGAGATATTTTTAATTGTCATGACGGGGTAAAAGCCATTGATGCTGCTAAACATCCTAGAATGCTAGGATAGCCCCTGCCACAAAAATTATCTGGTCCAAAATGTCAATAAGGCCAAGGTTGGGAAAAATTCATATTTCTATCAGGTGTCATTTTTCTTTTGCCTAAAAGACTTACTTTAACATTTCTTATAGTACAGGTCTGTGAGTGATCCATTATTTTAGCTTTTTAATGTCTGCAAATATGTTTTGCCTTTGTTCTTGAACTATATTTTCACTGGTCTGGAATTCTAGTTTGGCTTACTCTGTTGTCCAGGCTGGAGTGCAGTGGTGTGATCATGGCTCACTGCAGCCTTGAGCTCCTGCATTCAAGTGATCATCCCACCTCAGCCGCTGGAGTAGCTGAGATTTTTTTCTTTCAGTACTTTAAACATGCCGCTCCACTCTCTTCATGGTTGCATTGTGTCCAGTGAGAAATCTGTTGTGATCCCTGTCTTCTTCTCCATACCTAATGTCTTTGTCCTCTGGTCATTTTATTTTTGAATGTTTTGAGCAATTTAATTATAGAGTAGTTTTCTTCACATTTATTCTGTGGCTTACTGTTCTTCCCGACTGAGACAGTCCCTTCTGAGTACTCTACCTAATGCACAAAGCAATGCAGTGTTTTCAGTCCAGCTTGTGAGAACAGTCACTATTCCTGGCCATATTTCTATGCCTGACACCATTCCCTCTAATCCTTTGGGATGGTTCTTTCTTTGGCCTCAGATAAGTTTTCCTCATACGCCAATCAGTACTCTGTGGAGTATCCTAGGGGACCCTTCAAAGATCCCCAGAATTCTCTGTGCAGGTCCCTCTCCTCCAGAATTCTGTCTTGTGAACTCTATCTGCCTTGGTCTCCTTAGATTCTCAGTTGTGTCTTCAACTCAGGAACTTCATCACACAGCTACACCTGGGTCTCCCATCCCTGTGTAGCTGTCTGGTAACTCTCTCAAGACAATAAGTTAGGACATTTGTAGGGCTCATCTCATTTGTTTCCCATCTATCAGAGATCATCATATTTTGTTGTTGATGCCCAATGTCTTAAAAGCTATTATTTCATCTATTTTATTTGAGATTATTTCAAGCAGGGGTATAATTCTGGTTCCTGTAACTCTTCTATGACCAGAAATAGAAGACTGTCCTTCAGTTTTCTTCATATCTAAGTATTTTCCCTTTTTTAAATTAAGTTTTCTTCTTAACCCAGGAATTCTTTAGAAATGCATTAATTTCCAAATGTATTTTAATTTTGACTTCTATCTTAATTACATCATGTTCTGTGCAGAGGGCATTGTGCCACACTGTCCGGATTCCTCTTCAGATTTTCTCCCCGCAACCACCTCACTAGAGGGGCAGGCCAAAAGCCTTCAAATGTCAGCCTTCTCTGGGAACTATCCTCAGCTTTAATCTACCTCACCCACTTTAAGCCCAGGACAAATCCCACAATCCTCCTTGCTGTCTTCCATTGCTGCTGGCTGACTTTTTTCTAATGCATACTTTCACTGAGGGTGTAGCCCTGTAAGCATCTGGGCTTCTTGTGGAGACCTGTGCCAACTTTCCCCCTCTTGCAAGCCCAAGGACTCAAATCCTCTTCTGCATGGCTGATAAAATTCAAGTCCATTGGATACCAAATCACCAAACTGCCTCTTGGCAACCAAAGACAGCATCCACACACTTACCTTTCTAACTTCCATTTCATCTTCATTTTTGGCTCTAAGGATTTATTTCACTTTCTTGAAAATACTTTAAAAGGACGTTTAAATTTTATTCAGCATTTCTGTGTGTTTGTAGCCAAAGGGCTTTATGAATACCCAGCTTGTCATGTTGTTTTATTCTTTCTTTTTTTTTCTTGAGATGGAGTCTCACTCTATCACCCAGGCTGGAGTGCAGTGGCGCAATATCTGCTCACTGCAACCTCTGCCTCTCGGGTTCAAGCGATTCTCCTGCCTCAGGCTCCTAAGTAGCCGGGATTACAGGCGTGCGCCACCATGCCTGGCTAATTTTTGTATTTTTTTAGTAAACGGGGTTTCACCATGTTAGCCAGGCTGGTCTCAAACTCCTGACCTCAAGTGATCTGCCTGCGTTGGCCTCCCAAAGTGCTGGGATTACAGGCGTGAGCCACCGCGTCTGGCCTATTCTACTTTTTAAAAACATGCTAAATTCTGTGGTTAAACTAACTGCGAATGTGACAGCATTTTCTTTCTGACTCAGTTAACTGCTGATTTGTCATATGATTGTACAAGCTTTGGTATAAGTCTCAATAATTTTGTAATTTGTCACAAATCTTCTGTGGGAAGAGTCTTCTGTTCTTCCAAAGGAAAATGGATAATCAGTATAAAAACAGTCAACAGTCATGTAAAGAGTCAAGGCTCCTGGGCTGGACACAGTGGCTCACACCTGTAATCTCAGTACTTTGGGAGACCAAGGTGGGAGGATTGCTTGAGGCCAGGAGCTCAAGATCAGCCTGGGCAAGCCAACATAGTGAGATTCCTTCTCTACAAAAAAAAAGAAAAAGGAAAAAAGAAAAAAACCTCAAGGTTCCTAAAGGAAAATTTTATCTGATCCCCATTGCAAAGTTTTGTTTTATTCCAAGGCCCCACTGTAGATATGCTGATTTGGTGGGCCTGGGAAATTTATCTGTAGGTGTAAAATTACCTCTTGTGAATCCCAAACTTGGAATCCACTAGCCTTGGTTTCAGAGATTGGTCACAGCTTTTGTATGTCTGTAATCCATATAGTCAAGTTGTGCCGTCTGGATTTGAAATAATCAGAGAGAGGAATGGGAACTAGTCAGGTCCTGTAACTATGCTGCACAGAAAGGAGTCTGCCATCTCTTTTTAACCCTCTCAAACCTACCTTCTGGAGCAGAGAGGGACTTCAGAGAACATGGCTGGTTTTTATACAGCCATCTGAGGTCTGCACAGCAGTAGGGGTATGAAGCACGTGTGTGGCCAGAGAGAGGGTATGGCACATAGCCCTCTCAAGAAATAACAGAAGGAAAATTTCTAATGGCTAGAGAGTGCTTACTTATGTATTACTAGTGTGAAAATTACAAACTTCTTGTAGTGTTTGAATGAGAAACCAGCCAGAATCACTTCTTTATTCTAAAAACAGCCACTATGATGGTTAATATTAGGTGTCAACTTGACTGGATTCAGAGATGCCTAGATGGCTGGGGAAGCACTGTTTCTGTGAGTGTCTGTGAGGGTGATGACAGAAGAGAATGACATTTGAGTCAGTGGACTGGGAGAGGAAGACCCACCCTCAATGTCAGTAGGCATATCTAATCAGCTGCCAGCACAGCTAGAAGAAAGCAGCCGCAAGAAGGGGGATAAGAAGCTTGCTGGGTCTCCTGTCTCTTTCCATGCCAGGTGCTTTGCTTCCTCTCTTCCTGCCCTTAGACATTCTAAGTTCTTCAGTCTTTGGACTCTGGGACTTGCACCAGCAGCCTCCTGGAGGTTCTAGGGCCTCTGGCCTCAGACTGAGGCTGCACTTTAGTTTCCTTGGTTTTGAGGCTTTCAGACTTGGACTGAGCCACACTACCAGCTTCTCTTTTGCCAGCTTGCAGATGGCCTATGGCGGGACTTTGCCTTAAGCCAATTCTCCCTAGTAAAATCTCTTTTATATATACATACATCCTATTCATTCCATCCCTCTGGAGAAAGAACCCTAATATAGCTACTTAAAGAAAAGCAGATTGAACTATTTTTTTCCCACTCTGAACAAAGAAAGTAAGCAAAAAGAAAAAAAAAGTGATATTTATAAGAATAGCAGACGTTTATTGAAGGAATTATCACTACTTCCTGCAAAACAATTTCATGACTCCAGTTTTATAACATCAGAGGCTATTAAAGACAGTCTGGCGACTAAAAACAACTGACAATATGGGCATCTTTTAAATTTTATATTAAATGGAAAAAACAATCAAGAAAGGAAGTCCTGCTGAGGGTACAGAGCTGCAATGAAATTTAGTCTTAAGGGATTTAGATTCAACAGCTACTAATTAATCCTAATTACTCAGTTACTTAAAGCTGTTTTTTACTTCAATTTTCTTCCAAGTAATACCTAACACAGGACGCACCATCTATGAAAAAAGATTTCTAAGTCCAGGGCGACACTTTCCTCTCTAAGCAGAATTCTTTGTCTTACGTATTGCCCTCTACTCAAGGCTATATAAAATGAGATTTTCGTATTTTCCTCTCAACTAAAAAGAGCATATATATTTTTATTCTACACAGGAGCAATTCTATATAACCAGGATGTCTGTGGCTAAAATTATTGCCTCTTTATATTCCTCAGGAATATTCAGGGTACTAAAACTGTAAGTGAATAAATGTGAGTAGACAAGAAACCAAATAACAAGAATGAGCAATACACAGTAGTTTAGTGATATATATTTCAAAAGCACTGGGTTGGGTTTTTGTGGGTTTTTTGTTTTGTACTGTTTTGTTTCTGAGACAGGGTCTTGCTCCGTGACCTAGGCTGCAGTGCAGAATTGTGATCATAGCTCACTGTAACAGTGAACTCCTGGGCTCAAGTGATCCTCCCCCCTCAGCCTCCTGAGTACCTAGGACTACGTGTGTATGCAACCATGACTGATTAGAGCTAAGTTTCTGATGGAGAAGAGAGAAGAAATGGCAGTACAGAGAGGTACATGAGTTGAGAGACACATAAACCAGCAATTGAGGAATGCAGAATAAGCACTGCCCTTGGGGAACAGCCCGGTTTCCATTGGAACAAGAATGTGAAGAAAACACATTCATTCAAGACCAGCCTGACCAACATGGCAAAACCTCGTCTCTACTAAAAATACAAAAAATTAGCCAGGTGTGGTGGCAGGTACCTGTAATCCCAGCTACTTGGGAGGCTGAGACAGGAGAATCGCTTGAACCCAGGAGGCAGAGGTTGCAGTGAGCCGATATCACGCCATTGCACTCCAGCCTGGGCGACAAGAGCAACACTCCATCTCATAAATAAATAAATAAATAAATACACATATAAATAAAGCCAGGTGCAGTGGCTCATGCCTATAATCCCAGCACTTTGGGAGGCCGAGGCAGGTGGATCTTGTGAGGTCAGGAGTTCGAGATCAGCCTGGCCAACATGGTGAAACCCTATCTCTATTAAAAATACAAAAATTAGCTGGGTGTGGTGGCAGGTGCCTGTAATCTCAGCTACTCAGGAGGCTGAGGCAGGAGAATTGCTTGAACCTGGGAGCTGGAGGTTGCGGTGAGCTGAGAGCTGAGATCACGCCACTGCACTCCAGCATGGGCGACAGTGCGAGATTCCATCTCAAAAAAAAAAAAAAAAGAAAAGAAAAGAAAAGAAAGAAAAAGAAAGCACATTAAAAGAGACAGTTCCTGGTTTCCAGAGGGTATTATGAAAGGGCTTGAAAGGATGGTAAGAGCTGCATGCCTAAACTCTGACTGAGGTAAAAGTTGGTAACCCTGGGAGACTCCCGGAGAAAGGTGGGTGATCAGTTCAAATTATAGCTGAATGTTTATCTGAAAGGATGCAGGAACCCACTGTCAAGTGTTTATTCCTACAGCTCAAGGCAGGTATTAGCCTAGAAGATGGGTGATGGCCTCCTCAAGAGACTATAATCCTCGCCTGCCTGGGGCAAGAAATATGAAGCTCTCCTATATTCAGTTCTCTGGTTATGAGATGGCATCATATCCTTCCTTGAGATATACTCTTGAAGATCATAGTCTTCTAAGACAAAAAAGAAAGCCTATCTAAATAAAGAGTTTTAGGCACTATGACATGGTGGTGAAAAAATGTTTTGGTCAGAGAATATCTGCTCAGCAATATATAAAGCATCAACAATTCTGCTCAGGAATGATAGACCAGGCTTGTCCATGAATGCTACAAATCTGTTCCAGGCCTTCCAAACCCTGCTTGGAATGACCATGCAAAGGACTATTATATCACAAATTATGTGCAAACCACTATCCTATCAAAATAGGACAAAATCAGTAATTTTTTTTCACACAAATATACAACCTTCACCCTTCACTTCTTTCTTTCCGGTAACAGCAAGAAAGAAATATATATACCTTAAAACTAAATTATGAGGTACAGAGATAGGCCATAAACCCCATTCACAGAACACTGATAACATCTTCCCTATAAAACCATGGTCAAATATCAAATAATTGTTAGATACAATCACCTTTCATAGAGGCAGCTACCTGGGAAAACGCCAACTGGTCTTCCACTCACATACAGAACCACCATGGTGGGCAGAGGCACTTTGGTATAATGAAGAAAGCATGAATTTCAAAGTCAGATCTGAGCTCAAATCCTGGCTCCGACAACTTACTAGCCAGTCACCTAACCTCAATGACACTCAATTTTCTTGTATAATAGAGGGAGAACTAAATAACATATTATCAAAAATTCCCCAAACACTAATTCACTATGTGCATAAGACAGATAACAGTGGGCTTAGGGATTCACTGTATACACAGAGGAATGGCTGAGTTAAAAATAGGGAGATTCTAAGTGTTTCAGAGTGACTTTGAGCTAAGCACTTAAAATGTTTTAAATATTGGTGGAAGATGGGCTAAGACCTTCAAGGAGGACTGGTCATAAAGAAAGGCAGAGGAAGATAGAAAACATCTGTTGTATTGATTGCTCAACACCTCTCCGTCCCTTCTTCAGGGAAAGATTTTTCTCAGTGACAAAAGGAAGAAACCAGATGAGAAAGCCTCAGCTCCTTTTCCAGTTCCCAATCTGAAGGAGTTGTGTGAAGGCAAGATGCAGCTGTGGCCACTGTCTTGCCACCATGAGGTTATGAAAAATGAAAGTCAACATGCTGAAAATTATGGAGTTAAGAGAGAAGTGTGATGAAGTGCTGAGTTGCCAAACCAAACATAGCACTGCTTACCTCTAGATTCCCCTTAAGCAATCAATCAATGTTCTTAAGGTCTAGGCTGCTAGTACTTGGTATTCTGTTCAATACATCTGAAAATATCCTAAGTACTACCTTACACAAAAATTCTCTTTAATCACTCTCCCTAAAGTGTTTAGAAACACTGCTACAATGTCCTATACTTAAGATTTTATCATTTACCACGTGTCTGGCTTATCATATATTTCATGCATTACTCACTTAATCCTCACAACAACCTTGTAAGGTAGGTAATTGTTCCTTTTTTACACACAGGTCTGAGGCTCAGAGCAGTTAAGTGACTTGTCCAAAACTGACAAGCTAGTTCATGGTAGAACTGGGGTTAGAACATGGATATCTCCAACCCCAAAGTTTGTACTTTTAGCCTTTAAACTCTATATACCATGTGAAGGCAGAGTCTCCCACTAGTTTTATATTAACTGGTGACTGTATCTGAAGTTTTTGAGTCTACAGTTGTTTCAATTTCATTTTTTTCTGGTTGTGTAGACATATGTTGAAAAGATGAAGCCTAGGTAGTTCTCCATCATCTGCAGATCCTTCCAGAACTGTGGGAAAGGAGGGTTCAGTGAATTTTTGCTGTGTTCTTTTAACCTAACAGTGTTATTATATATTTTGTTGACAACTCTAAAGTCAGCTTGTCTTAAAACTAAAAAGGACAAAGGATCGGTGTTTATGATTTTACTTAACAGGAAACACGCTCTAAAAGGAAGGGACTTGCTCGCGGTTCCACTGCTGCTAAATGCCAGTGTCAGGGTGCAATCCCAGGGCTTTGGGCTCTATATACTACGTGCCTTTCATAACACTGCTGAGTGAAAATAAGCACGTCTTCATTGCATTTAAAAAATACTGTGCTTTTTTTCTTGCATATAAAATTAGTATATTCTCATGTAGATAATCTAGAAAGCATAGAAAAGTATACAGAAGAAAATAGAAATCACCTATAATCCTATCGCCCAGAGATGATCACTGTTAACATTTTGGTTTACTTCCTTCTCAATTTTTCCTATGCAAAAATATTTTTTTAAATTTTGGATTGTATGTCATTATCTTCCGTCTTATCCAATCATTTCCCCATGGCATTAAATTGTCTTTAAAAATGTTTGCAATGGCTGCAGAACCATCATATGGATAGCTCATCATTCATTTCAACCCTGTAATGTTGAAAATCTAGTTTTCTTCTTTCAGTCGTATATGATGCTGTCATGAACATCCCTTTCATTAATCTTTGTCTACTTCTAATTATTTTCTTAGAAGTAGAGTATGATTCTTAGAAGTAGAATTAAAGTTGATACTAAAGAACTACTTTTTAGAAAAGCAGCAGTCAGCCCTACTACCCACAATATTTGTTATTTATGAGGTTTCTTTCTCCTCATTATGTTTCCTCTGGTGTTGAATAAGCTGTGAACTATACCGATAGGCTTTCCCACACTCACTACATTTATAGGGTTTCTCCTTAGTGTGGGTTCTCAAGTGTAGAATAACTTGAGAAGTCTGCCTGAAGGTTTTCCCACATTCATTACATTTATAGGGTTTCTCTCCAGTGTGAACTCTCTGATGATCAACAAGGTTTCGATTAGAAGTAAAAGCCTTCCCACACTCATTACATTTGTAAGGTTTCTCTCTACGATGAAGTCTCTGGTGTTCATTAAGAGTTTTCCTTAAGATGAAAGTTTTTCCACACTCATCACATTCATAAGGCTTCTCTCCAGTGTGAATTCTCTGATGGTCCATAATCTTTGTATTAGAACCACATGTTTTCCCACACTCCTTACATTTGTAAACTTTTTTTCCTCTGTGCATTCGCTGATGTTGAGTAAGGTTTGAACTACGGCTAAAGGCTTTCCCACACTCAATACAAGAATAGGGCTTCTCTCCGGTGTGAACTCTGTGATGTGATATAAGGCCCGAACTCCGACTAAAGGCTTTCCCACACTCTTTACATTCATAAGTTTTCTCCCCACTGTGGATTCCCTGGTGCCGAATAAGATGTGACTTTCCACTGAAAGATTTCCCACATTCACTGCATGTATAGGGCTTCAGTCCAGTGTGGATTCTCCGATGAACAACAAGGTTAGAGCTATGACTGAAAGCTTTTCCACACTCCTTACACTTATAGGGTTTCTCTCCCGTGTGGATTCGCTCATGTACTGTGAGGTTTGCACTCTGACTAAAGGCTTTCCCACACTCAGTACATACATACTGTCTCTTTTCAGCCTGAACTCTCTCATTTGTTGCAGGGTCACAGCACTGACTATTGTCTTTTTCAGATTCTTGGTCACTCCCTTCTGTGAGTACTTTATTGTCTTTAACTGTCTTATGTTTGAAATTTCTTGTCTTTCTCCTCATTTTCTCCTGCTTGGAACATACCAGTGTCCTCTCTAGTCTTCTCTTTCCCTTCAGAGGAGCCTTCTAAATTTTGACTTCCTGGGCAATGTCTCTGTGGAATTCTCTTGAAAGTATGTATGATTCTGATTTTTCAGGAATGATGCTTTGGAATTAACTCCTCCTCAGTCCCAGTTTCACCATCTGACAGGAGAAACAGAAATTGCACATGTCACCTATTCTCTGTACCAGAGGAAGGAGATCTATCCACGGACAAGATGTGGTAGCCATATGGAAGGGTTAAGTGTTCAAGGGCAGGGGAACAGATCAAAAAGATGACAAAAATGAAGTTAAACATAGAGGCCAATGTAAAGGCTTATGGAAAGCCAGGGGCTAAGGGGAGCCCAGCAGGTCCAGCATCAGAATAAGCAATGAATCGTATAAAATCTACCCTAGTTCCTTCCTGCCTCATCCTCTACTCCCTGAATTGGAGCCATCTAACTCGTTGCTTTTTTTTTTTTTTTTTTTGAGATGGAGTGCAATGGCACGATCTTGACTCACTGCAACCTCCGCTTCCCAGGTTCAAGCGATTCTCCTGCCTCAGCCTCCCTAGTAACTGGGATTACAGGCGCCTGCCACCACGCCCAGCTAATTTTTTGTATTTTTAGCAGAGATGGGGTTTCACTATGTTGGCCAGGCTGGTCTTGAACTCCTGACCTCAGGTGATCCACCTGCCTCAGCCTCCCAAAGTGCTGGGATTATAGGCATGAGCCACCGCACCCAGCTCAGAGCCATCTAACTCCTAATGGCAGGCTCAACTATAATCTGGTCCTAGAAAAAGTGAACTGAAAGATGACTAAACTTTAGTTCAGTTTGGCTTTTAGTTCTTGCTAACCTATTCCCCTAGTACTAGTGATACTGTGGCCAGTATGTAAAAGGTGCTCAAAATGGTATTATAGAATAGCAACTAGGATTCTGTCTTAGGTTGTGAGTAGGATTTCATCTTTTGCTCAAGGTCCAGGTACTAGACCCCAGTCTACATCCTTGCAGGTAAACCCTATCTTGTTAAGTGGTGACACAGTTCTTTCAATATTGAGCCTAGTCACATCATAGCCTACTTCATAGGGGCTGGCCTATAGTTGGACCCAGTTTTTTTTTTTTTTCTGAGACGGAGTCTCACTCTGTCGCCCAGGCTGGAGTGCAGTGGCACGATCTCGGCTCACTGCAAGCTCCGCCTCCCAGGTTCACGCCGTTCTCCTGCTTCAGCCTCCCGAGTGGCTGGGGCTACAGGCGCCCGCCACCACGCCTGGCTAATTTTTTGTATTTTTAGTAGAGACGAGGTTTCACTGTGTTAGCCAGGATGGTCTCGATCTCCTGACCTCGTGATCCACCTGCCTCGGCCTCCCAAAGTGCTAGGATTACAGGCGTTAGCCACCGCGCCCAGCCAGTTGGATCCAGTTTTATATGCAAGTGTAGTCTGTCTGCTTTTCACCATGCTGTCACTCTGACAGACTGAGACTACTTAAGGGGTGAGTCTGAGAGGCTAAATTGGGAAAGAAGGTTAGTTAAAGCATGGCAGATGAAACTCTGATAGGATCTTGCATGGCATAATAGTAAAGTATCTAAGGATGGCAAAAGCGTCAGAGTAGGGGCAGCATAACCAAGAGGTGCCAATACATGAAACCAAACATCAGAATAAGGAGGAATTTCCCAACTGGTTTGACGTGAAACTCTGGACATACAGGTAACCATGGCAGACCTTAGAGGGAGTTGGGATGTAAAAGAAAGCAAAAAGATAACTACATGATACTAACACATGACTATGCTCCTTTATAGACTTGCCCATATGTATTTTGTTAGACAATTAAATATGGTAGATATTATTTTGCATCCTACTTCTTGCAGTTCATTTCATTTATTTTTTAGTTGATAAAAAAGTATATATATTTATGGCATACAACATGTTTTTATAAATGTTTACACATGGAACAGGTAAATCAAGCTAATTAACATATCCATTACTTCACATACTTATTATTTTTTCATGGTAAGAACATTTAAAATCTCTCTTAGCACTTTTCAAGTCTAAATATGTTGATATTAACTATAATTACCATGTAATACAATAGATTTCCTGAAATTATTCCTCCTAACAGAATTTTTGTATCCTTTGACCAACATCTCCCTAATCCCTGCCTCACAAATTTTTTTTTGTTTTTTGAGACGGAGGCTCGCTCTGTTGCCCAGGCTAGAGTGCAGTGGTTCAATCTCCACTCACTACAACCTCCGCCTCCTGGATTCAAGCAATTCTCCCTGCCTCACCCTCCTGAGTAGCTGGGATTACAGGCGTCTGCCACCACGCCTGGCTAGTTTTTGTATTTTTTAAGTAGAAATGGTATTTCGCCATGTTGGCCAGGCTGGCCTTGAACTCCTGACCTCAGGTGATCCACCTGCCTCGGCCTCCCAAAGTGCTGGGATTACAGGCGTGAACCACTGCGCCCAGCCTCCACTTAATTTTTTAATGCACATTTTTCCACATTGCTATTTAATCTTCATATGATCATTGAATTCCTTCTAATTTACCTACCATTTTGCTAGTGTTGGACATTTCTGTTGTTCCTTGAAGTTAACTACTATCAATAATGCTATCATAATCTCTTTATACACACAAAATTTTCTTCCTATTAAAATATATTCCTAGGACAAAAGTTCCACAAATGAGTTAATTGGGTCAGAAGGAGTGCAACTGTTGTGCAGTATTGCTTGTTGCTATTCAAAAAAGTTTGATGGGCTGAGCATGGTGGCACATGTCTATAATCTCAGCACTTTGCAAGGCTGAGGCGGGAGGATCACTTGGGCCCAAAAGTTTGAGACCAGCCAGGGTAAGACAGGGAGACTACATCTCTACAAAGAATTTAAAAATTAGCTAGGCATGGTGGTGTGCACCTGTAGTCCCAATTACTCAGGAGGCTGAGGTGAGAGGATTGCTTGAGCCCAGGAGGTCCAGGCTGCAGTGAGCCCTGATTATGCCACTGCACTTCAGCCTGGGCAACAGAGCAAGACTTTGTCTCAAAAAAAAAAGTTTGACCAATTTCCATGTCCCACAGCTTTCTGATAAATGGAGCCACACTTTCTGGAGAAGGAAGATAGCAAATGGTGGCACTCGAGACTGGCAAAAAGATAACTGCACATATTCGAGTTCACATCTCAGAAATGCGGGTGGCCACTGATTCCATACACAGGCACATACACACAAACTCATGCCCAAGATAAGAAGGGTAGGAAGAGAGAATGGTGAGGGAGGGTGGATTCTTGCCAGGGTCCTGGGCTCACTCACATCCAGCTGCTGCTACCTCTCCTAATCATTAAGGATGAAGCAGGTGGAGAAAACAGTGCAAAGCCAGGGGACTGCAATGCAGAGCAGTAGAGCAAGTGAACTCACCTTCAAAGTTCTGTGAGAAAGTTGATAGTTTTTTCTGAATTTCTTTTCAATTTCTCATCTTCTCTGGAACTTCTCTTTTCTTCATACATTTCTTAAACTCATAACTAATGAGCACCCTACTCTGTATATATCCCTGTTCTGGGTCTAACACAGGGAAAATTTAAAGAAGCATTGTCATGGACTGAATGTTTGTGTCCCCCTAACATTTGTATGTTAAAGCTCTAACCCCCAATGTGACTGTATTTGGAGATGGGGCCTCTAAGGAGATAATTAAGGTTAAATGAGGTCATAAGGGTGGGCCCTGATCCAACAGAATTCATGTCCTTATAAAAAGAAACACAAGAAAGTTCTCTTACATGCTCTCCCTCTCTCCACACACATACACATAAAGGCTATGAGAATACATAGTAAGAAGATGGCCAGCTACAAGACAGGATGAGAGCCCCCTACCAGAAACCAAAATGGCGAGGCACATGGATCTCACACTTCTAGGCTGCAGAACTGTGAGAAAATAAGTTTCTGTTGTTTAAGCCACTCAGTTTATGGCATTTTGTTATGGTAACCCAAGCACACTAATACAAGCATGAAATATCATACTTCCCTTAAAGAGCTTACAATGGAGTAGTATGGAAAAACAATAAGAGAGCAAATTCAAATTTACAATGTATGCAAGCAGGAGATGAAGAGGACTAGGGGAGGGAGGGAGCAATTACTAAGGCATGGAATGATGGAGAAAAGCATTTTAAAAAGGCAGAATTTAGGCTGAGCCCTGGAGAATAAGCAGTGTTTTCTCAAAAAAAAAAAAAAAAAAAAAAAGGCACAGGGTTGGTATACATGAAAATAAATGGGAGATCATAATATTATATAAACTTCATGTAGGCAGGGATTTTGTCCGTCCTGCTTACCCTGTATTCCTAGCACTACCACAGTCCCAGGCACATGGTAAGCGCTCAACATTTTTTGTTGTTGGAATTAACAAATGAAGAAAGAATCAAGCTGCCTGAAGTGATTCCAACCAGAATACTGAAATTACAAGATGAAAAATATGGATATAAACTGATGGTCAAAGGGAAACCAGTTCTAAACAGAAGAGTGAAATCTATCCTTAATTTTCTTTCTCCATTCTATATTCTTTTTTGTACCTTGCTATTCTCCACTCTTGTTATTTTCCTTCTTTTTCTCACTTAACAATACAGTTTTTCAAGCATTACCATGCACTTCCCCTAGTTCCCATAGTTCCTCCACTACCACCTCCCAGAACATTCACGTTTCTCTCAGCTTAATGAAATGGAAAACAGAGGAGAGAGGCAGCTGGGATAACACATGGGGAGTAAATTGAGGGAAACAGAAAGTAAAGAATCCAAGAGATGTCAAGTAGGGCAATCATATATCCTGGTTTTCCCAGAATAGTGCTAGTTTAAGCCTACTATCCCAGCATCATATTTAATAATGGCTCCCTTAACTCACAACAGTATCCCCGTTTGGACAATAAATTTTGCATTATCCTACCCAAAAGTGAAATTAGGATAAGAACTCTTTAGGAAGATTAGCCCAGATGGATTAGAGGGGGTTAAAAAGAAAAGAGGAAGGGAAATGAATTAGGAGACAACACTAGTCATGCGGTACAGGTGAACACTGGAGGGTCTGGCACGTTGTAGGTACCCAATAAACGTTTGTTGAATGAATGAACAAATGAATAAGATAGCAAGACCCTAATCCAAGATGAGAGAACAGAGAACAATGAAGTCTAGCTATTTTCAGGAACGCATCCAGATGTATAACGCACACATCCATATTCCTTTGAATACAGAGGATGGACTGAAGGAAACAATCCAAGGTCATCAGATCCATGTCTGAATACCAAGAATGGTAGTGTCACTAAGCAAGATGGGGACACACAGAAACATTTTAGACAAGGTGAAGAGGAATATATCACGAAGGCAAATTTGAGAATGATAAGACAGAGAGGACAGAGGGAGTCATGAAAATGTATAAACTTACTGAGGGTCGGGCACGGTGGCTCACTCCTATAATCCCAGCACTTTGGTAGGGTGAGGTGGGAGGACTGCCTGAGCCCAGGTGTTTGATCAGCCTGGGTAAAAATATTTTAAAAAGTGAGCCAGGTGTGGTGGCATATGCCTGTGGTCCCAGCTACTTGGGAGGCTGAGGGAGGTCGAGGCTGCAGTGAGCTATGATCATGCCGCCACACTCCAGCCTGGGAGACAGTGAGAACTTGTCTCAAAATAAATAAATACATTAAAAAAATAAAAAAACAGATAAGCTTACTGAGAAAGGGATTTGGGTTAGAAAAGTGATATCATTTAGATGTTCCTTCCAAATCTCACATTGAAATGTAATCTTCTATGTTGGAGGTGGGCCTGTTGGGAGGTGACTGGATCGTGGGGGTAGATTTCTCATGAATGGCTTATCGTCATCCTCTTGGTTCTGTCCTTGTGATAGTGAGTTCTCGTGAGATCATGTTGTTTAAAAGTGTGTGGTATCCCTCTGCCTTGCTCTTGCTCCTACTCTCACCATGCTCTGCCTCCTCCTACTTCACTTTCCACCATGAGTAAAAGCTTCCTGAGGCCTCCCCAGAAACTGAACAGATGCTGGCACCGTGCTTCCTGTACAGCCTGCAGAACAGTGAGTCAATTTAAACTCTTTTCTTTACAATTAACCCAGTCACAGGTATTTCTTTCTTTCTTTCTTTCTTTTTTTCTGAGACGAAGTTTCGCTCTTGTTGCCTAGGCTAGAGTGCAATGGCGTGATCTCAGCTCACTACAACCTCTGCCTCCCAGGTTCAAGTGATTCCTCTGCCTCAGCCTCCCGAGTAGCTGGGATTACAGGCATGTGCCACCACGCCCAGCTAATTTTTTGTATTTTTAGTAGAGATGGGGTTTCTCCATGTTGGTCAGGCTGGTCTCAAACTCCCAACCTCAGGTGATCCGCCCACCTCAGCCTCCCAAAGTGCTGGGATTGCAGGCGTAAGCCACCGCGCCCGGCTGGTATTTCTTTACAGCAACACAAGAATAGCCTAACACAAAGGGGCAGGTAGGGAGAAAGAGAAATGCACAGCGATGCACTGTAAGAAAGCCCAGGGTGGTGATGGAGGAGCTGAGGAGGAAGCAGGACCAGACAGGAGATCAAAGAGGGCCAAATGAGGAGAGTTTGATCAAAAAGAAACCTATTTGCTCCCTTCTGTCTGATTGGATAGGAAATGCCCTCAGAAATCCTGGAAGAATTCCTAGGTACTAAGGAAGTAGGGTCTTGGCTGGAGAAGTTTGGAGGGAAACATGAGGCCACAGGCCAGTAGGACACTAGGGGTATCTAGGCAACTGTACAGAAAAGCAAAATCTCAGACAGCCAGTGAATGTATGAGGACTGATAAGGCCCTGCAGATCTCTAACCCACAAATCTCTGAGACTGGTAGGTAAGTGTTCTAATCCTAGGACCACCATCCATTTCAGGCTGTGAAAAATACATAAAGGGTAGAATCCTATTGAGAGAGAGAGAGAGAGGCTTTACTTGGAGGCTGTCTTCCTTTAATTCACCAGCATCATCTGCCTGTTCAAGTCCCTCTAAGCAATGGTTACATGGTTCTTGGTTATTGATTAGGTGCAGTGGAGTAAGGAATAAGAGGAAATACCTGAAAATAAATTCAAGGGATGGATAAGTGAAATGTAAACATTGCAAGAAAAAAAAAGAATTAGAAGAAAGGCCTAAGCCTCAAGGGAAAGGCTAACACCATGTGAAAAAGCTGATATATCTGACACATAAAAATTTCTGTATTCCAAAAAATGCCATAACAAATCTATAAAATAGAGTTTGCCTTATACTGGAATTGCTTGTGTGTATGTCTGTGTCCATCCTCAAATATATACATTAAGCTCTATGCCCTCAGAGAGCAGTTCCCATGAGATTTGCCTGTAGATACCACATGGTGTCTGACACAGAGAGGGCTCAGTCAGCATTGTTTGATTTGAAATGGTAAATTAAACAAGTTTAAGATTCTAACACCTGGAGTGCACATAGGGATGCTGAGAGCCAAATCCACACATCACTACTACCATCCCTCCTCTACATGTTTGTCCTTTTTGTGCTTCATATTATCTGGGAAACACCATAATGGTGTATTTGCATTCTTGGCAATTCTGTCTCAACAGAGTCATCCCAGGGACTAAATTCCCTAAGAGATTGACCTGGTCCCACTATTCAGAGACTCTCAGTATGTCAGAGCTGGAAGGAACCTCCCAGTCTATCCAGTCTTATATCCAAATGTACAGAAGGAAAACTTGGAACTTAGAGGAAAGCTGGGACTCAAATCCAAGTCCCATGACACCCAATTTTGAGTTCTACTACATCACCCTTATTCCCATCTGAAACAAAACTCTACTCCTCAAGGTCCAGAGGCCCCCTGCCCACTTCAGTGCTTTTCTCCTGTTTGATAAATACCACTGAGAGAAGCTCCCTTTCAACCCTGGTGCCCACAAGCAGGATTCCTGTGCCCAGACTAACTTCACAATCTAGGCCTCACCTGCCCAGGAGAGAATGGAATGACTCACCCATATTCCTGTGCACAGCAGCCTCAATCCAAAGGATCTGCACAGCACAGATCTTGCCTGATCTCCTCCTTGAGTTCAGTGAAGAAGTTCCTAAGAGGGTCTTGAGTCACTGTAAACAGATATAAATGACTGAGTTCTCTGAGCCCTGAATTCCAAGTGGACACTCAGGGCAGTGTCCCATCTTTGGGTAACTTCCCTTCCTATAGAACTGTGGGCAGTAAGAAGGATCATTTCCAGTGTAAAGATGAGGGAATGAAGCTCCCAGGGATTGAACGACTTGCCCAAGGTCCTATAGCTAGTGAGTGATTAAAAAGCCTTCTGTGTCTTCAGGAAATCCTAATTCCATCACACCACAGCCTCCCCTTTTCACCTGCTCCATTGATATCTAAAAGCTTCCATATTCTCATCTAACTGCAAAATACAATGCAGTGGAGAACTTCCTTGCAATCCAGCTTTCCACAGAAAGTCTGCACAAGGGGGATGAGAGGGAGAACTTTGCTGAGTCAAGTGTCTTTAGGAAGACAGAAAGAAACAAGTCTTTAAAAGAGCACTAGAAAAAGAATGTTCCTTTTTTCTGTTTACCCATTTCTTAGGATTACTAAGCCTCAAATATGTTTTGTGTTTCCCCCTCCAGATCCCCAGGCTCTGCTTCTAACCCTTGAAGTTTGTTTCATTTCTCCCCTACTAGAATTTAGTTCTGTCCTGTACACAACCATAACCCCAGGACCTAGCACACTACTGGGTTAGTGCTCAATAAATATTTGTTGAATGAATCAATGAATGAATGAGTAACCTTGGGCAAGACTCCGTCCTCTTCTCTGGGCCCCAGGTTCCTCACTGGTAACGGGAGGGATATTGGACTGGTGATTTGAGTCAAATACTCAGGGGCTGTGGAGTCCTGAGAGCCTAGGCGGGACTCGACCGCTACTACCCGGAAGGCCCACTGCCTAGGAGCGGGGACGACACAGTGCTGTCACCACGGCCAGCCTGGTCCAAGCGAGCAGCTACGAGGAGTCAGAGACTGGACCCAAGACAAAGGGGCAGCACTGAACGAGAGAAAGGGGAGGCCCACAACGACCCCTTGGCTGCCGCGCCCATCTCAGCAGCGGGCAGCCGCAGAGGAGCCCTGGCCTCCTGGCTTGCGTCTCCCACACGCTCCCAGAACCCGGCCCGACCCCCCACGCCAGACTGTAGAGCACCCCTCACCGAAAGCGCCAGACCCACATCTTGAACAAAGCGCAGAAGGAACTGCGTCAGCAACTCCCAGCTAACTCCCAGCCTGTCCCTCCGGCCCTTCTAGGCTTCGTGAGGTTTCCACATCTCTGTGCCCGCGGGCTGGAGTCCCCCCGCCCCTCAGAAGCCCCGCGCGGTCGGCCGACGCTCTGGCCCTGCCTCCCTTCCGGGCTTTGCCCTATCATTGGATGGAAGGGCTTGGCGACTTCAGCCAATGTGAGGAGGGCCCTGGAAGTGGTGGAAGCTGGGCAGGGGGCTTGGTTAGGGCGGAAAGAGACCGAGCATCTGGGTGGCCAGGCTGCCAGCCTCAGGCTGAGACTCCCTAAAGTTACACCCCCAGCTCCGGTTGCTGAGCAGAGAGGTCATCTTTCCTTCCACAGATCTGGGTCATTCAGCCTCAAAGCCAGGATCAGCTATGGTTTATTGGCAGCATATGAAAAGACGTTTTGGGTGCCTACTATGTCACTCACTGTTCCAGGCGCTGCGGATACAGTAGTGAAGAAAATGAACTCTCTGCCCCATTGAGTTTACATTCAAGTCAAGGAGACAATGATAAATAAATATGTAGAACGTAGCAGTAAGGGGAGAGAGGGAGTAAGGGGAGAGAGGGAGATAGTGGTGGGACTATTTTACAGATGACAGGGAGGGCAGAGACAGGAAGTGGGCAATTGAAGCATGTGGCTATCTGGGGAAAGAGTATTCCCATAGTGGGCCATTAGGAGCAAAATTCTTTAATCAGGAGTGGGGTGGAGAGGTGCACATTTAGGATCTTGTAGACTATGATAAGGGCTTTGGATTTGCTCTGCATAACAGCTGGAGGGCTTGGGGACAGAGGAACGACATGATCTAACTTTTTTTCCCTTACCACATATTCAAAGACTTGTTAGCTATGAGACATGAAAGAAGCCAAGAAGCCTGTTACTATAAATTCTGTGAATTCTTTGCTGTCTGTCCTTAGCCATTCTAACATAAACCTTGCATGAATTTTGCTCTTTGACTTATATTTTTAGTTTGCTTTGGCTGTCTTGTTGAGAACGGTCTGAAGGTGGGTAAGAGTAGAATCAGGGAGATTAAGAGGCCATTACAATATTCCAGATGAGGACTGATAGTGGCTTGGACAGGCTTAGAAGTGATGCAGGTAGTGAGAAATGGTTCTGCATATATTTTGAAGGCATGGCCTGCATGATTTGCTAATGAATTGAATGTTGGTTACTGATGACTCCATGGTTATTGATCTGAGCAACTAGCATGGGATGGTCTTTTAGAAATCGAGTAGCTTGAAAGGAACAGGTTTAGGGAGAGGGATTAATAGTTTTGTTTTGGATGTGTTAAAGATGCCAATTAAACATCCAAGATGAAATGCCAAACAGGCAGTTGGAATAGGAGTCTGGACTTCCGTGAAGAGATCACAGCTAAAGACATAAATTTGGAAGTTGTCAGGACAGGATGAGACAATCTAGGGAATGATTTATCTAAGAAGGAGTCTGAGAATCAAGCTTTTGAAGTACTTCGTCAATTGACAAATATTCAGTATTTAATATTGTTGAGTACTTAAAGTATACCAGGAGCTTTCTTCTCCATTGGCTCATGTAGGTGGCACAACTCCGCCACATTGTATAGAGATTGAAAAAGAGATTCAGACAAAAGTCCTCCACAAGTTCACACCCTCAGTTGATGTGGGACGTAGAACTCGGGACACTCTCCTGAAGAGCACAAGACTACTGCCACTACATCAAGAAACTTAAAAAGAATAGGCTGGGTGTGGTGGCTCACGCCTGTAATCCCACCACTTTGGGAGGCTGAGGCGGGTGGATCACCTGAGGTCAGGAGTTCGAAACCAGCCTGGCCAACATGGTGAAACCCCGTCTCTACTAAATATTACAAAAATTAGCTGGGCATGGTGGCAGGCGCCTGTAATCCCAGCTACTCAGGAGTCTGAGGCAGGAGAATCGCTTGAACTCGGGAGCTGGAGATTGAAGTGAGCCAAGATCACGCCATTGTACTCCAGCCTGGAAGACAAGAGTGAAACTCAGTCACACACACACACACACACACACACACACACACACACACGAATATTCATGTACATTAAGGGAGCTGTGATCTTTAACTTACTTAGTCTTCCCTTTCACCTACTCTTTCATTTGGGTGGGTGGGGCCATTCATTCTGATTCAAGCTGCTAACCCTACATCTGGTCCCAGGGAGGAATGATTACTCCTTAATATTCTAGTCCAGTAATTCTCAAATTTTAGAGAACGTAAGGGTCACTAGAATATATGTTAAAAATAGATTCCAGCCTGCCTGTATCCAGCTTCTATTGCCCTTATCCACAAGCATACTTTTTCCTACAAAAATCTATTCATTCAGTCAAGTATAATGTCACTGCTCAGAAATCAGGGTGTTTTTTTGTGTGTCATAATTGCCTAAATACTCAGCAATTTCAATCTTTATTATGACATCTATCTGCCAAAGAAATTCTAACTCATTTGGGTAAATGAAATCAACGTCTAGTTGGTCAGGTCTTTTTAAGTTTGTGGACTAGGCCATCTAAGGGGAAAAAACATTGTAATTTTAGTCAGTTGACAAGTCTTAACCAGGCATCATTTCAGGAATACCCACAGGCCAGAAAGGTGGGCCGTCATACATTGCTCTCCTATTGTGTTTTCATGTAAAGCACTCACATGCCTTAAAAGGGAGTCTGCATCTCACCCTACTTGGCATCCACCTGGGTAAAGTGACCCTGTGCATATATTAGTGGAGGACTGTTATGATTTGGTGAATAATAAATCTAAAATGTCCTATCCTGGATCAAGTACTAGCACCACTAGGTGCTTGTGGAGCCAGCTGTAATCGTTAACACCTTCCCTGTATCCAGCTGTGGCAAATTCTACTGGTCCCCATCAGGGCAGAGCATGACCTGATGTTAGGGATAGGGGATTTACTTTCAATTCTTTTTATAGTGCCACCATGTGCGTATTCACAATTGACAAATTCACAACCTGTCCCTAACCCCTAGAGGTTTTCAGGAATGCACGCTCTGTAGTACTCCAGAAAAAGGTCAACATCTTGACAGAACTGTCTCCCAACATGGGACAGTACTCAATAACTTGTTAACATCCACCATCTCTTGACATTTCCTACTGCATTTAGAAGCTGAATGACCAGGGCTGGAGTTTATGATAAGGGTTTGGCTGTAGAATATTTTCATTGCATGTTTAAGAGGTAAGTGAGTAAGTATACCACTCCCAGCACCTTCACTGGGTCTGACCACCACCTAAACTGTCCTTGGGTTTGAATTCTGTTTGACTAAAACATATATATATTAAATTGGAAGTTCTGTAACACTGTTTACTGATACCTTTTTTCGTGGGTTCCCTCATGTACCAGGAACTATGTGTTGTATAACAAAACTTTTCCACTTCAGGAATATTTTTCAGAAATATGTGCAAAATATGGAAGCTCATGATGAATGATTCCTTGACCTCTAAAAACCAAAAAGTTCTCTAACCCGTGTGATTTATCTGATGTCAAACAAAGTCTCTGGTGTATGATGTTTGCTACAACTGAATGGTTTTTCACATATCTTAAGAATTGGTCATTTGCAGCGGCCGCGGGGCGCTGAGGGCAGCTGTGGCGGCGCGGACGAGCCGGGACGGCGGCGACCGGAGCTTGAGAGGCGGGCCGCAGCGGGAAGCAGCGGGCCCGAGGCCGCGTCCTTGGGCCCACGGCGGCTGGGCGGCGGCGGTGCGGGCGGGAGCTGGGCGTCGCGCGCGCTGTGAGGCCCGGGCGGCTCAGGAGCCTCGGCGCGTGCAGCGAGCCGCCCGCAGGGAAGGAGGCCGGTCAGGGCCTGTGGCAGGGCCGGCGAGGGATGCGGCGGCGGCCGCGCTGAGCCCCTAGCCCGCCGGGAGCGCCAGGCCGGCCGGGCCTGCGCCGCCGCCGCCGCCGCGCCGACCATGTCGGCAGCCAAGGAGAACCCGTGCAGGAAATTCCAGGCCAACATCTTCAACAAGAGCAAGTGTCAGAACTGCTTCCAGCCCCGCGAGTCGCATCTCCTCAACGACGAGGACCTGACGCAGGCAAAACCCATTTATGGCGGTTGGCTCCTCCTGGCTCCAGATGGGACCGACTTTGACAACTCAGTGCACCGGTCTCCGAAATGGCAGCGACAGTTCTTCATCCTTTACGAGCATGGCCTCTTGCGCTACGCCCTGGATGAGATGCCCACGACCCTTCCTCAGGGCACCATCAACATGAACCAGTGCACAGATGTGGTGGATGGGGAGGGCCGCACGGGCCAGAGGTTCTCCCTGTGTATTCTGACGCCTGAGAAGGAGCATTTCATCCGGGCGGAGACCAAGGAGATCGTCAGTGGGTGGCTGGAGATGCTCATGGTCTATCCCCGGACCAACAAGCAGAATCAGAAGAAGAAATGGAAAGTGGAGCCCCCCACACCGCAGGAGCCTGGGCCTGCCAAGGTGGCTGTTACCACCAGCAGCAGCAGCAGCAGCAGCATCCCCAGTGCTGAGAAAGTCCCCACCACCAAGTCCACACTCTGGCAGGAAGAAATGAGGACCAAGGACCAGCCAGATGGCAGCAGTCTGAGTCCAGCTCAGAGTCCCAGCCAGAGCCAGCCTCCTGCTGCCAGCTCCCTGCGGGAACCTGGGCTGGAGAGCAAAGAAGAGGAGAGCGCCATGAGTAGCGACCGCATGGACTGTGGCCGCAAAGTCCGGGGGGAGAGCAGCTACTTCTCTCTGGAGAAGACCAAACACGACTTGAAGGCCGAAGAACAGCAGCTGCCCCCGCCGCTCTCCCCTCCCAGCCCCAGCACCCCCAACCACAGGAGGTCCCAGGTGATTGAAAAGTTTGAGGCCTTGGACATTGAGAAGGCAGAGCACATGGAGACCAATGCAGTGGGGCCCTCGCCATCCAGTGACACACGCCAGGGCCGCAGCGAGAAAAGGGCGTTCCCTAGCAAGCAGGACTTCACCAATGAAGCCCCCCCCCAAGCTCCTCTCCCAGACGCCTCGGCTTCCCCCGTCTCCACACCGAAGAGCCAAGTCACTGGACAGGAGGTCCACAGAGCCCTCCGTGACGCCCGACCTGCTGAATTTCAAGAAAGGCTGGCTGACTAAGCAGTATGAGGACAGCCAGTGGAAGAAACACTGGTTTGTCCTCGCCGATCAAAGCCTGAGATACTACAGGGATTCAGTGGCTGAGGAGGCAGCCGACTTGGATGGAGAAATTGACTTGTCTGCATGTTACGATGTCACAGAGTATCCAGTTCAGAGAAACTATGGCTTCCAGATACATACAAAGGAGGGCGAGTTTACCCCGTCGGCCATGACATCTGGGATTCGGCGGAACTGGATCCAGACCATCATGAAGCATGTGCACCCGACCACCGCCCCGGATGTGACCAGCTGGTTGCCAGAGGAAAAAAACAAGAGCAGCTGCTCTTTTGAGACCTGCCCGAGGCCTACTGAGAAGCAAGAGGCAGAGCCGGGGGAGCCGGACCCTGAGCAGAAGAGGAGCCGCACGTGGGAGCGGAGGCGAGAGGGCCTCTCCAAGACCTTTGACTGGGCTGAGTTCCGTCCCATCCAGCAGGCCCTGAATCAGGAGCGGGTGGGCGGTGTGGGGCCTGCTGACACCCACGAGCCCCTGCGCCCTGAGGCGGAGCCTGGGGAGCTGGAGCGGGAGCGTGCACGGAGGCGGGAGGAGCGCCGCAAGCACTTCGGGATGCTGGACGCCACAGGCGGGCCAGGCACTGAGGATGCAGCCCTGCGCATGGAGGTGGACCGGAGCCCAGGGCTGCCTGTGAGCGACCTCAAGACGCATAACGTCCACGTGGAGATCGAGCAGCGGTGGCATCAGGTGGAGACCACGCCTCTCCGGGAAGAGAAGCAGGTGCCCATCGTCCCCGTCCACCTGTCTTCTGAAGATGGGGGTGACCGGCTCTCCACACACGAGCTGACCTCTCTGCTCAAGAAGGAGCTGGAGCAGAGCCAGAAGGAGGCCTCAGACCTTCTGGAGCAGAACCGGCTCCTGCAGGACCAGCTGAGGGTGGCCCTGGGCCGGGAGCAGAGCGCCCGTGAGGGCTACATGCTGCAGGCCACGTGCAAGTGAGGGTTTGCAGCAATGGAAGAAACGCACCAGAAGAAGATTGAAGATCTCCAGAGGCAGCACCAGCGGGAGCTAGAGAAACTTCGAGAAGAGAAAGACCGACTCCTAGCCGAGGAGACAGCGGCCACCATCTCAGCCATCGAAGCCATGAAGAACGCCCACCGGGAGGAGATGGAGCGGGAGCTGGAGAAGAGCCAGCGGTCCCAGATCAGCAGCGTCAACTCGGATGTTGAGGCCCTGCGGCGCCAGTACCTGGAGGAGCTGCAGTCGGTGCAGCGGGAACTGGAGGTCCTCTCGGAGCAGTACTCGCAGAAGTGCCTGGAGAATGCCCATCTGGCCCAGGCGCTGGAGGCCGGGCAGCAGGCCCTGCGGCAGTGCCAGCGTGAGAACCAGGAGCTCAATGCCCACAACCAGGAGCTGAACAACCGCCTGGCTGCAGAGATCACACGGTTGCGGACGCTGCTGACTGGGGACGGCGGTGGGGAGGCCACTGGGTCACCCCTTGCACAGGGCAAGGATGCCTATGAACTAGAAGTCTTATTGCGGATATAGGAATCGGAAATACAGTACCTGAAACAGGAGATTAGCTCCCTCAAGGATGAGCTGCAGACAGCACTGTGGGACAAGAAGTACGCAAGTGACACCACAAAGACATCTACACAGAGCTCAGCATCGCAAAGGCTAAGGCTGACTGTGACATCAGCAGGTTGAAAGAGCAGCTTAAGGCTGCAACGGAAGCACTGGGGGAAAAGTCCCCTGACAGTGCCATGGTGTCCGGATATGATATAATGAAATCTAAAAGCAACCCTGACTTCTTGAAGAAAGACAGATCCTGTGTCACCTGGCAACTCAGAAACATCAGGTCCAAGAGTCTGAAGGAAGGCCTGACGGTGCAAGAACGGTTGAAGCTCTTTGAATCCAGGGACTTGAAGAAAGACTAGGTGTGTCCCATCCAAGTTGAGCACGCACCTTCCCCAGCTTGCAGCAGCACACCCCGAGCGCTGCTTTTCACCTGTACCTTTGTTTTACTGCTGTTGTTGTCATCGTTAACTGTGGGCATGGAATGCGTGAGGCTGGCTTCTGGGTTGTCCACACCACTCTCTGCTGTGTTGACTTCCTGTTGTCTTCATCAAAGCTTTTTTCCGTGGTATTCTAAAATTAGGCCAGCAGTGGGGGCTGGGCGGGCATCTGTGTTAGTCCCTTCCTGGCTGTGACCCCCCACACTCACTGTCAGTATTAAGGCCCAGCAGCCTGTTGATAAGCTACCCTGTCTCACCATGTGCTGGTGTGGAAACGGGGCCCAGCCAGCACGCCTCAAGATAGATGGAATCCCCACTGGTCAGAGAAAAAGCCATGCGGACACTCCAGCTTGGCCTGGGTCACAGCACTGACTCCTCACCCGCTAGTCTGGCTGTTAAGAGGAGAAAGTGCACTGCCTTCCAGCCTGGGAGGAGGACAGCATTTTGTATTTGTTCCACTGATGCAGCTTAGAACCACACCCCTGAGAATCGTGGCAAACCTTTCACAACCTGGAAAATGTTGAAAGCAACCATTCCTAAAAAAAAACAAAAAAAAAAAGAATTGGTTATTTGGGCTGGGCATGGTGGCTCACACCTGTAATCCCAGCACTTTGGGAGGCCAAAGCAGGAGGGTTGCTTGAGGCCAGGGGTTCAAGTCTACTCTAGGCAACATAGTAAGACTCCTGTCTCTATAAAAATTTTTTTAAAAATTAGCCAGGTATGGTAACATGCGCCTGTAGTCCTAACTACTCAGGAGGCTGAGGTGCAAAGATCCCTTGAACCTAGGAAGTTGAGGTTGCAGTAAGCCATGATCATACCACTGCACTCCAGTCTGGGTGACAGAGTAAGACCCTGTCACTTAAAAAAAAAAAAAAGATTTTGTTTCCAATGTGGAGTAATGACTTGTGACTGAAGGGTTTTCCACATTCAGTTCTTTCACAACCAAGCTATTTCCAATGAGGCAGAGAACTTGGAAGGAGGCTCCACTGGATAACTAGCCTGGAGGCTGAGCCAAAAAGAAAGCTAGATATAAAAGTTGGCCCTGAGTGAAAAATTTTCAACCAGCTTAGCAAAATTGAAGCTGCTTCTCTACTGCTGAAGTGCAGAGTTACATAAATTTACAACTAACCTTTTAGCTTCAGATCTAAAGGGACAGTTTTAATAGCACCTACTTGGAATGTAAAGGGAAATCCATTTCCCTATCTGCAGACAAATATCAGGACTGGAAAGCCCTTGTCATTCACTAATGAGGAAAAAGCAAATGTATGTGAAGGCAATGCAAAGCCTTGGCAACTTAAGGCAGTAAAAGAACATATGAAAAAAAAATTCAAGAGAAATGAAATTCAAAAAGAGAAACAAGATACACTGCCTTTGGTAATCCTGAAAGTAAAAAAAAAACTGAAGGGAAACCAAAATGCAAAACATCATACAGTTGGCCCCCTGTATTCTTGGGTTCCGCATCCACATATTCTGAGGATATGGAGGGCTGACTGACTGTAAAGGAGCATCTGAGGGCTTTGATATCTGAGATAGGGGCATCCTGGAACCAATTCCCTGTGGATATGACTATATATGGAAAAAGAGGTCAATTACATATACAGAACAGAGGAAAAGAATCTTACAGAATACTAGGTGTAACTTTATGCCAACGTTTGACAGAATAGTAAATACGATTTCCAGATACATATTAGAAAAATTTACACAGAAGTAGAAAACCTGAAGAACAAAACCACTGAAAAAAACTGCAAGGATGCTACTGCCACATCCAAACACCAGGGGAAAAAAATTATATATATATCAGAATGCGTCATTTCTAGCTAGCCTTTAAGGAATAACTGCTATATTATGCATACTGTTCCAGAGTAATAAAAGAAAAAAAACTTCCAAATTCATTTTGCACAGCCAGCAAAATATTGGCAAATTGAATCTACTTCTGAACTTTAAAAAATAATAATAATAATAAGGCCAGGCGCAGTGGCTCATGCCTGTAATCCCAGCACTTTGGGAGGCCGAGGCGGGCGGATCACCTGAGGTCGGGAATTCGAGACCAGCCTGACCAGCATGGAGAAACCCTGTCTCTACTAAAAATACAAAAATTAGCCTGGCATGGTGGCACATGCCTGTAATCCCAGCTACTCAGGAGGCTGAGGCAAGAGAATTGCTTGAACCTGGGAGGCGGAGGTTGCAGTGAGCCGAGATCGTGCCATTGCACTCCAGCCTGGGCAACAAGAGTGAAACTCTGTCTCTAAATAAATAAATAAAATAGATTTATCCCAGGAATACAAGAAAATTTCAATTATTTGGGAACTTTTAGATTTTTTATAACTTGATAAAACTTAGCAACTATTCCTAATAAAACTTTTATTATAGTGTATACTATGTGTCAATCACTGTTTTAAGTACCTTACACATACTGACTAATTTAATCCTCACAACCCTATGAAGTAGCTCCACTTTAGAGACGGAAGAGCTGAGACACAGGAAAGCTAGGTGATTTTCCCACAGTTACACACCTAACAAAGTGGTGGACATGCAGATTATTTTTTAAGACAGGGTCTCACTCATTGCCTAGGCTAGATTGCAGTGGTGCAATGATAGCTCACTGGAGCCATGGCCTCCCAGGCTCGGGCAATCCTCCTGCCTCAGTCTCCTGAATACCTAGGACTAAAGGCATGCACCAATACACCCAACTAATATATTTTTTTATTTATTTAGGGACAGGGTCTTGACGTGTTGCCCAGGCTGGTCTCAAACTCCTGACCTCAAGTGATCCTCCTGCCTTCACCTCCCAAAACGCTGGGATTACAGGTGTGAGCCACCACACCTGACTGGACCCAGAATTTGAACATAGGTTGCTGGGCACAGACATGTTTTTTGTTTGTTCATTTTGTTTTGTTTTGTTTTTCTTTTGAGATGAAGTCTTGCTCTTGTCACCCAGGCTGGGGTATAATGGTGAGATCTTGGCTCACTGCAGTCTCCACCTCCCAGGTTCAAGCAATTCTCCTGCCTCAGCCTTCCAAGTAGCTGGGATTACAGGTGCCTGCCACCACACCTGGCCAATTTTTATATTTTTAATAGAGATGGGGTTTTGCCATGTTGGCCAGGCTGGTCTTGAACTCCTGACCTCAAGTGATCCACCTGCCTCAGCCTCCCAAAGTGCTGGGATTACAGGCACATGCCACCGTGTCCACCCCAAACCTGTGTTGTTAACCACTATATTACCCTGCTTCCTCTAGAAATAATATTAGAAGGAAACTTCCTAAACGCAACAGAATATTTATCAATATCCAACAATGAACGCAAATGAAAATGTGAAATACTAAAAACATCCCTCCTGAGATTTTAGAACAAGACATAGAAGACCTGTTATCTACTACTCAACATTTTTGGAAGTTCTTGCTAATGCACAACATAAGTGGCATAAGATTGAAAATAAGGCCAGCTCACACCTGTAATCTCAGTACTTTGGTAGGCCAAGACAGGCGGACCGCTTGAGCCCAGGAGTTCAAGACCAGCCTGGGCAACATGGTGAAAACCCATCTCTACAAAAAATATCAAAAAATTAGCTGGGCATGGTGGCATGCACCTGTAGTCCAAGCTACTTGGGAGGCTGAAGTGGGAGAATCACCTGAGCCTGGAAAGTTGAGGCTGCAGTAAGCCATGATCACATCACTGTACTCCAGCCTGGGTAAGAAAGTGAGACCCTGTCTCCAAGAAAAAAAAGAAAATTTAAAGCTAAAGGAGCCATTAATTTATTATATACCTAGAAAATGAAACTAAAAAACCATTAAAACTAAAAATAATTCAGCAACATAACAGTCCAGATTTAAATTTTTTTTAAGTTTATGCTAGCAGTAACCAATAGAATTTGAGGTATGGCTTTCAAATGCAGCCAATTTTCCTCCATTCAAAAGCCTCAGGCTTTTAAGGATGTCAAGGCACACACTGGTGTAGAATTCCCTACATCTACTCTTTTTTTCCCTACTATTCCCACCTTAGTTATGAATAGTGCAGGTTTCCAACCTCTAGAGGGTTAGTGTGGTAGGCGATGAGCAGACAAGAACCAGAAGGTAAAACTGCAACATCCAATAAGCAGGAACGTTCTATTGAAGACTTAACCAGAAATGTCCAGCTCAGGGTAGAGGGCTGGACCCATGTGCTCATATAGGGTTGGGCTTGTCCCTGGGATCTGGGAGCTTCCAAACTAAAACAATGAAAAAGTCCTATCTGCATATCTTCTAAAGGAAAATGGAAACACATACTAAATATAAAGTTGAAAACAAATTTAAAATATATATTCATAAGTGGCAAATTTTCAGTTCTGTCCTGGGTTCAGTGTTTTCAGGATTCCTATTATTCTTTCTAAACTTGCCTGAGATATGTCCCTAGAATCACATCTAATCTTATTTTCCTATGCCTCAACTCCACCCTTTCTTCTATGTTAAAACATACACCACACCTCAAAAAAATCTCCCCTCCAGATTATATAACTCGCATGGCTCCTCTAGCCTCCTCCTCTACTCTGTCACACTGTGGATCCTCTAAACCTATTAAGTTTAAGGGATGGAAAGAGAAGGAGGTAGACAACAGAGGCAAACGTCCCCCAGATCTGGGCCATATTGCAAGGGTGGAAGGGAAAAGTTGTTCAAGCTCATGGACTGACATGTGATGGCAGAAGGACAGAAAATCTTCTGAGATTTCTTTTCTTATGTCTTCGGGGAATGAAAAGATGGTCCAGAAGACAATTATGATAATTAAGGGTACAGCTCTCATCTTTAAATTAAGATGGCAGTTGTAGGTAGATAGGACTAGTCGATAAGGAAAACAGATTCCTGTGAATCTATTATCTTGCCACAAGCCTCGTCATAGTGAATTCCAAGCATCAGGGAATGCTGCTAGCTGGATTTTCAATAATCTGTACCACTGCTATGAAAGTCAAGTCTTCGGTGCAGTAAATTTTGACACAGTTCTTTTTTTTTTTTTTTTTTTTTGAGACAGAGTCTCGCTCTGTTGCCCAGGCTGGAGTGGAGTGGTGCGATCTTGGCTCACTGCAAGCTCTGCCTCCCAGGATCATGCCATTCTCCTGCCTCAGCCTCCCGAATAGCTGGGACTACAGGCGCCCCCCACCACGCCTGGCTAATTTTTTGTATTTTTTAGTAAAGACAGAGTTTCACCGTGTTAGCCAGGATGGTCTCCACCTCCTGACCTCGTGATCCGCCTGCCTCAGCCTCCCAAAGTCCTGGGATTACAGGCGTGAGCCACTGCGCCCAGCTGACACAGTTCTTAATCTGTTGATTTAGGAAGCAGGGTACAGTTAGCAAATTCAGAACTAGAATCAGCATGTAGGGGAAAGTCCGTACCAGTGGGATATGACTGCCCAACCCAATACCTAGATACACACACATTCACACACATACACACACACACACACTCTCTCTCTTTTGCATACATACACACACACACACACACACACACACACACACACACACACACAAAATCCATTCGCATTTTGAGGCTGAAGTAACAGTAGTAAGACTTCCAGGAGTATATGTAAAAGATATCAGTAAGACCTCTGTATGTGATATTCTATGATGAGATGGACTTCCATCTTTAGAAGCAGCTGGTCCAGCTGGGGAGGGGAGAAAGATCGTGCATACTTTAAGGATAATTCAATGTGAGAGCTGAGATTTTAAAAATTATTTATTTAACAACTGGTATGTACAAAATACTATCTATATGGGAAAGAAATACATACCTGACCTCAAAGAGCCTACAATAAGTTGGTATAAAAGTATACAGACACGCAAAATTTACAAGGCAATTAACCACAGTTACATATTGTAGCACCAGTGAATTCAAAGCACTGAGGTCAAATCAAGAGAAGTTGAAGAAAAATAAAAAAGTACTTGAAGAAGAAAGTATTTCAGTGATGAGATGGATTTCAAAAATTGTGAGGGACAAAGATTAGCAAACAGAAGAAAATGTTTTCTAGATAGGGAACAAAACTGATGAAAAGTTATAGATTAAAGTTTAAAGAGTAGATGGGGAGGGCCATAGCCAAGAGGCAGGAAGGCATGAATCAGCCTTTTTGAATGACTTTGTATAAATGGTGAAATGGAGGAAGTAGAATAGAATAGAGAAGATATTATCTCTGTCTTTAAAAAGCATGGAGTCTGATTATGAGATGCATAACTAAGAAATGAAATAGATTTTAAAAGTTAAAATTTAAAAGTAAAGAAAAAAAAAGGAAACCTACAATTCAATGACATGTGTAGTCCTTACCTTCCTAATAATGGGTAAGAACTGGAATAAGTTACTCCTACTCTCCCACCTTAGTGATCCAAGGAAAAGCAAGTAGGGAATGGTCCACCGTGACTACTGGCTCCGGGAAACCACTATGAGCATCCTGCTTATAAAGACAGCTTAACTCAAAGGTCGTTGCTCTCTGTCTCAGAGAACCATACCTTAAGAAACTGACCAAGCCAGACCTGAGGACTTCTCTCCAGTGTGAGTTCGCTGGTGGTGATTAAAAGTGGAACGCTGACTAAAGGCTTTCCCACATTCACTACATTCATAAGGTTTCTCTCCGGTGTGGACTCTCTGGTGTACAATAAGCTGTGAGCTGTCACTAAAAGCTTTCCCACAATCATTGCATTTATAGGGTTTTTCCCCAGTATGGGTTCTCTGATGTACCATAAGGCTGGAGCTATAACTGAATACCTTCCCACACTCATTACATTCATAGGGTTTCTCACCAGTGTGAATTCTCTGGTGTATAATAAGGTGTGAGTTTTGATTGAAGGATTTTCCACACTCATTGCATTTATAGGGCTTTTCACCCGTGTGAAGTCTCTGGTGCCGAATAAGACATTTACTCAGACCAAATGCCTTACCACACTCGCTACATTCAAAAGGTTTTTCTCCAGTATGAATTCGCTCATGCTCAATGAGTTGAGAGTTCTGATTGAAGGCTTTCCCACATTCACTACATTTGTATGGCTTTTCCCCAGTATGGAGGCTCTGATGTCGAATAAGACATTTACTCCGACTGAAGGCTTTGCCACATTCACTACACTCATAAGGCTTCTCCCCAGTGTGGATTCTCTGATGGTCAATGAGATTTCTATTGGAACAGAATGCTCTCCCACACTCATTGCATTTGTAAGGTTTCTTACCAGTGTGCAGGACCTGATGTCGAGCAAGACTTTTGCTTCGAATGAATGCCTCTCCACACTCATTGCATTCATAAGGTTTCTCCCCAGTATGGGTTCTCTGGTGGTCAGTGAGTCGGGAACTCTGAGTAAAGGCTTTTGCACATTCATTACATTTATAGGGTTTCTCCCCATTATGGAGTCTCTGGTGTTGAATGAGATGGGAGCTGTGCCTATAGGCCTTTCCACACTCACTGCATTCATAGGGTTTTTCCCCTGTGTGGGTTCTGAGATGAACAATGAGCTGGGAGGTTTGCCTGAAGGTCTTCCCACACTCATTACACTCATAGGGTTTCTCTCCAGTGTGGATTCTCTGATGGCCAATAAGGTGAGAACTCCGATTGAAAGCTTTGCCACATTCATCACATCGATAGGATTTCTGTCCCTTTAAAACTCCTTCATGTTCAACAGGACTGGAAGACAGAGGTGGATGTTCCCCAACTTCCTTATATTTGTCATATCTGTCTTTTGTGGATTTTTTCTTATCTTCATCTGTTATTTCCAAGAAATCATTTTCTAGTCTGCTCCCTTCTTCATCTGAGGTTTGTCCTTCTAACTCCTTGAAAGTATCTTCACAAACATCTCCAGTCTCTGCTGCCCCAGGAACCACCCCAAAGAGTCCCCCTGATGTCCTGTTAGATGACTCTGATCCTTTAAAAAATTCCTGCTTTGGAGTCAACTCTGAACCCTTCATCATGTTCTCACCTGCTGCCCAAAGAAAGAAGACAACAACTTTTACCCATTTCTTATCCTGTTTAAGAAAGAGAATCATTAAGAGCTAACATACCTGAAAAAAAGTCACATTATGGTTAAGAAATGAGATGACACATTGAGAACAAGAGCAAAATGGGAAATATTAATAGCTCAATTTTTTTTCCCTAGGGACAGGAAAACAAGGAAGGGGAAGGTGGTCAGTGAAAACAGGTGGAAAAAAGATACTAAGCCAGCACAACCAAGTCAGAAGGGCCACTGGAAAGCAAAAAAGTGGATTGCAAAGCATGCTGTGATCTTACAGAAGTTACTCTCGTGCTATGTCTCCTTAGTAAAGTGATGAACTCTAAGATCCCTTCCAACCATAACATTGCATGGTTCCATTGTTCTCAGAAAACATGTTGGGAGAGAGGAGGCTGGCAAATACCTCAAGCCAAACATAAGAAAGAGACAGGGAAAAAAATGAGAGTGAATTGACTGGAAATTTATATTATGGAGGTATGATAAGGAAAGTGTACAAAAAGAACAGATCTTACATGATAGGACAGTAAAAAGACTGCCCTAAACTCGTCAACCACAGGATCTGCCCTTCCAAGAAGCCCTTTCAGGAAACTGTTCTGCCCCAGTGTTTGCAGAGAGGGATGCTTAGGCAACCATGCTTGGTGCCAAGTGACCCTGAGCATCCCACGATGGGCCACAGGTGATTGGACTGGCACCAGGTACTAGACTGAAGGGTCTATTTGTAGGTTAGGCTTCAGCCTCTGCTGTGGCCTGGGCCAAACCCCTGTGCCCAAATGAGATGATGCGTAATGGCTATAGCAATGAAAGTCCATCTCTGAGGAAATTTGGAACTGGAGGTAGGGCAAAATTAAGGCACTTACGAGTAGCAATGGAAGCTGAAGTGGCGCATGGAGAGAAGCCAAGCCATTAGGAAACACAGCAAGCAACAAGTGTAAAAGAACAGAAAGTAAAATTAAAAGAGCTATGAAAAGGACAAAAGATTCACAGTGAAGAAAATGGGCAAGAGGAGGAGGACAAGCAGAGAGAAAACAGATACACTGCGAGCAGCTGCATTACATTCACACTGGAACACAGGCATCAACATGCATTTGCTTTTGCAGCTCAGGCTCCCAGGGTCAAGGCCCTGCTTCCCACAGTCTGGTCTAGCTCATCAGTTTCTTCCAGGTTCTCATTCCTTTAAGCCTATGACTCACAGCTCCTTACTTACAATAACTTGAGTGGCTCTCTGTTCCTTACAACTAAGAAGCCCTACCTAAACCACACTATATCAATTCATAATGAGGTGAAGAGTATGCTGATCACTGTTGAATCTCAGTGATGAATGCAGAAAGGGTCCCTATATTATTCACTCTAGTTTAACTATGTTTGGAAATTTTCATGGTAAAAAGTTTAAAGAGACAAGGAATATAGAAAAGAGATTGTGCAGCATGCAGACTTTAAGTGACTAGGAAACAGAATCATTACCCAAGGAGGCCATGCTATGGTGATTTTCTGGCATCATGTTCCACTGCAGGGCTCTCTGACTGAGTGTGAGACTTTTCCATTTCTTCTGAGTGTAGTCTACAGATAGGTCCTCATATGCCACAGTATCCTGGAATGACAAGCTCCAATCGCTCAGGAACATTCACAGCCTGAAGGGCAGAGTCATCAGGGGTACGAAGGGCACAGGGTATGGGCTCTTCATGGGCAAAAGTATGGGAGAGAGGAGCTGAGATGACACCTCGAAAAGGACAAGTCCAGGGCAAGATAGAGTCCATTACCTCCAGGGGAAGTAATGAGGCAGGAGAGCCACAGGAATAGTCTTAGATGGGGCAGAGTCCTGGGGGTGAGACCTCTAGCCATTCTTGGACCAGACTCATGGGGACTTGGTAAAAACACAAAGAACCAAGCTCACCTGGGGCCTGACCATCCGAAGTACAGTTGCCCCTGCTTGGTCTCCTGAGTTCCCCACTTGAGGAAGGGTAGGAACTGGAGAAGTACATTGAGCTGAGGGAGGAAAGAAAGCTATGAGTGGGACAAGCCCTGCTTCTGGCTCCCATAAGATCTATATTCCCAATAAGTGGATTCAAGAGAACCCAGGCACCTCCACACACACTGACTCTTAACCTCTTCCATAAGGCATTATCCCAAGAGTGGTGTGAATTTTCCCTGGAGGGTACAGTACAAGGTCCCGGATCAAGCTGAGAACTGGGTGTTCCTCCAAGCCCTCACTCTCTTCAACTTTTTTCAGGGAAGCTATTCTGGCCACTCTCTCTCCCATGGTTTCCCTAGCACCAGCCAGCCCTGATTTTCCCCTCACAGTTGTGGTTCCTCATGCCTGCTCCTGCCCTCTCATTATGGACACTCCTTGCAACTCAGGCCCTAGTGCTTCCTTGTTCTTTCCGTCAGCAATCTGACCAACTCTCATTGCTTTAATACTGCTCTCACAGTTCTTACTTCTCTCCTAGACCCCTACCACATGCCTCCTATTGCCTATGGGACATTTCACTTGGGTGTCCTGCAACACTTTAAGTTCAGTGTCTAGAATGGATGGATGTTCTAGGCTAAGGTGGGAGGCTGGCTTGAGGCTAGGAATTCAAGACCAGCATGTACAACATAAGGTTGTCTTTTTCTCCCTTTCCTTCCTTCCCTTCCTTCACTCTTCCCTTCCCTTCCCCTCCTCTTTTCCTTTCCTTTCTTTTCTTTTGCTCCCTCCCTCCCTCTCTTTCTTTTCTCTCTTTTCTTTTCTCTTCTCTTTTTCTTTCTTTCTTTCCTTTCTTTCTCTTTCTCTCTCTCTCTCTCTTTTTGTTTTGAGACAGAGTCTCACTCTGCTGCAGTGCAGTGGCATGATCATGCCTCACTGAAACCTCTGCCTCCCAGGCTCAAGCAATTCTCATGCCTCAGCCTCTGGAGTAGCTGGGATTACAAGTACCTGCCACTATGCCTGGCTAATTTTTGTATTTTAGTAGGAAGGGATTCATCATGTTGGCCAGGCTGGTCTCAAACTCCTGACCTCAAGTGATCCACCTGCCTTAGCCTCCCAAAGTGCTGGGATTACAGGTGTGTGTGCCACTGCTCCCAGTAGGAGACCCCATTTCTATAAAAAGTTAAAAAAAAAAAAAGAGCTGGTCATGGTGGCATGCCTGTAGTTCTAAGAGGCCATGGTGGGAGGATTTCTTGAGCCCAGGAGTTCAAGGCTACAGTGAGCTATTATGATCGTGCCATTGCACTCCAGCCTGGGTGACAGAGTGAGACCCTATCTCTCTTTAAAAAAAATAAATAAATAACATTAAATAAATAAATAAAATGTTCTTATCACCTTTCTTTCAGATTTCTCAATTTCCCTCAATGATTCCATCATTGGCCAAAACATTCTAATTCCCCTGCCTCCCCTTTCAAACTCAAGTCCCACGGATGTTTCCATGATAATATTTTTCAATTTTATCCTTGCCCGTTCCTCTCTTTGCACTTCAGGCATTAATCACATCTATTCTACCGCACCAGCCTTTAACTAAGGCGCCTTCCCCTTCAATCCATAATGCTCACCTGTGCCAGAGTAATCCTCCTGAAATACTATTTCTAACACATTATCCTCTGACTCCCAAAATCTTCCTGCCTCAATCTCAAGGTCCTGTACAAACAAGGCCCAGGTTCCCAAATACAGTCTTTCCTGACTCCACCTCAATCAGGGCTCAAGGAATCTCCAGCTTAGGGTCTTTGTTGTGTCTTCTAATGGCATGCCTGCTACTTTTTTCTCCCCTTCAAAATTCTTCCACATTTTTACTGCCCAATACTCTGCTACCTCCTTCATGAAGCATCCCTTACCAGTTCCAGCCCACAATGATCTTGCTTTTTACCCAGTGATCACTTTTTCCAATGCCCACATTGCTCATTTGTGACAGGATCAAATGCTTGAGGATAGATATCATTCATGTGCATCTTATGAGGTTGCCTCTTCTTACACATGACTAACTCATCCTACCATCTAGATAACAAGCTCTTTGAAATCAGTGACAATAGATGTACTACATCTCTCTGGTCTCTGGCAGTGCCTTTCCTACGACATGCCCTTGATGAAAACTTACTAACTACACGAATGATTAGAGAATAAGCAAAAGGAACAAACAGGGTCACTAGGGAAGAAGGACAGACAGCAGAGCAATGAGGGATTCCATGGAGTAGGAGATGGGCAGATAAAGGAAAGGAGACTCCAGAGGAGAGAAGGGAGGCATGACTTAAGGCCAAAGCTGGGGAGATAAGTACCGAAGTCCCCACTGGGGAGGTGGTGTGTCCCTGGGTCATAAGGAGGCTCCAGGTGGGCTCCAGGGGCTGAGCCCCCACTGAGGGGTGAGGTAGGAGGAGATTCCTTTGTTGTACCCAGAGCTGTTGTCTCCTCAAAATGCATTTCCTGTTTCTGTGCTGGGGCTGAAACCTAGAGAGAGGGAAATACAATTGGGTTCAAAAGAGCATCCTTGAAGGTACTGAACCCAAAACCTCTAAGCAGCTCCCTCCAGAAAGAAAGCCAGGGAAAAGAAGAGCCAGGGTGTCCTTCCAGCCCCACCACTACAGTCTACTGGGGGAAAAAAAAAACTGTGAAAGCAGAATCTAAAGCTTGCAATTCTACTTGCCATCCCTCTGTTGACCCTTTTGGTAGGGGCTTGAGGACCAGATTCTATAACCATTTCCACTCTGTGTCAGGTCTTCAGACACATATTTTCTTATGAAGAACCATTTAAAAAGGGAGCCAGGAGAGCAATTCAGTACATTCTCTAGGGCCTTAGCTGACAGAAAGGAATAATCAGAAGTACAAAGGATAGGCCAGGCGCAGTGGCTCACATCTGTAATCCCAGCACTTTTGGAGGCCGAGGTGGTTGGATCACCTGAGGTCAGGAGTTCGAGACCAGCCTAGCCAACATGGCGAAATCCTGTCTCTACTAAAAGTACAAAAAAATTAGCCAGGCATGGTGGCACGCAGCTGTAGTCCCAGCTACTTGGGAGGCTGAGGCAGGAGAATCACTTGATCCTGGGAGGTGGAGTTTGCAGGGAGCCGAGATCACGCCTCTGCACTCTAGCCTGGGTGACAGAGCGAGACTCCGTCTCAAAAAAAAACAAAAACAAAAACCAAACAAACAAAAAAAGAAGTACAAAGGAGGTAAAAAAAGATAAGTGTAAAAAAAGATAAGATTTGTGGATGTGCACAAATAATGCTACTGACACTAACAGCTGAAGCAATACCCAGAACAGTGGCTGGCATACCAGGAGAGCTTTTCCAATTTCTCTGAGCAAAAGTATCTCCTCTTCAGAGAAGCTTTCTCTGAGCACACTGACAAAGCAGGGATAGTCAGACTCAATTAACCAATTATAATTTCTAGATTGCATGTATTAATCTTTAAGTAATCTTACTTATGTCTTTATTGTCTATGTTTCCCCAACAGAGTGTGAGTTTTTTGAGGGTAAGAACTTTTGTCTTGATCACTAGCTCCAAAACAACATATAGCCCTACAATGGTGTTCAATTAATATCTGCTGACTGACTTCCTGTTGATATTTTGCTAAAAGACTTTAAGGTTATCTGCAAACTCAGTTTTCAATATGTACTACTTCTCCCCAATAATTTATATTTTAAAAGCCAAATAAGATCAGACACACTAATCTGTAGAGATCTTGAGAATACCTCAGAACATAGACATTTTATTTCTAACCCTTGCTTATTGTCATCAAACCAGCTCCTCACAATCTCATGGTTGCTCCTTTTACCAGCATGTAGGGCAGAAAACCTAAAATATTATCTAAATAAGGCACATTTTAAAGTTCACTTGCTCTGGTATGTACATAGCACAGCATGAGGTAAAAATAACTTCTCCTTCAATAAACCACACAGGATTCACCCTATTAGGCTGCATCTGCTGAGATGTTAAGGGACTCTCTCCTTTAATATATATCTCACCAGTGTAGTGGTAGGACCAGCAGGCTCCCTGGATTCTGTAGTTCCCAAGCTCTCCTACTGAAAGGTTCTTTGAAACTGAAAGACTCTCTAAAATGGAAGTCACAGCTCTTCAATACAGGAGCTCTGGGTATTGGCAGAAGGTAGAACTTACTGCACTGTGATAATTCAACTTTGTAATCCACTAATAATTTAATCCTGGTAAAGTTCCTGTTCATTATCTAGGACTTTGATATGGTTTGGATTTCTGTCCCCGCCCAAATCTCATGTTGAATTGGAGGAGGGGCCCAGTGGGAAGTGACTGGATCACGGGGGGTGGGGGTAGGGGGGGAAGATTTCCCCCTTGCTGTTCTTGTAATAGTGAGTTCTCATGAAATCTGATTGTTTAAAAGTGTGTGGCACTTTCCTCTGTGTGCTCTCTCTTTCCTGCCACAATGTGAAGAGGATCCTTGCTTCCTCTTCAACTTCCACTATGATTTTAAGTTTCCTGAGGCCTCCCAGTCATGCTTTCTGTTAAGCCTGCAGAACTGTGAGTCGACTGAACCTCTTTTCTTCATAAATTACCTAATCTCAGGTAGTTCTTTACAGCAGTGTGAAAAAGGACTAACATAGAAAATTGGTACCAGGAAAGTGGGGCACTGCTATAAAGATACTTGAAAATGTGGAAGCAACTTTGGAACTGGGTAACAGGTAGAGGCTGAAACAGTTTGGAGGGCTGAAAAGAAGACAGGAAGATGTGGGAAAGTTTGGAACTTCCTAGACACTTGTTGAATGGTTTTGACTAAAATGCTGATAGTGATATGGATAATGAAATCCAGGCTGAGGTGGTCTCAGATGGAGATGAAAAACATATTGGGAACTGGAGCAAAGGTCATTCTTGCTATGCTTTAGCAAAGAGACCAGCAGCATTTTGCCCCTGCTCTAGATATCTGTGGAACTTTGAACTTGAGAGAAATGATTCAGGGTATCTAGTAGAAGAAATTTCCTTTTTTTTTTTTTGTTTTTTGAGATGGAGTCTCATTCTGTCACCCAGGCTGGAGTGCAGTGGCGCGATCTTGGCTCACTGCAAGCTCCGCCTCCCAGGTTCATGCCATTCTCCTGCCTCAGCCTCCCGAGTAGCTGGGACTACAGGCACCCGCCGCCATGCCCAGCTAATTTTTTGTATTTTTAGTAGAGATGGGGTTTCACCGTGGTCTCGATCTCCTGACCTCGTGATCCACCTGCCTCAGCCTCCCAAAGTGCTGGGATTACAGGCGTGAGCCACCACGCCCAGCCCTCTAGCAGAAGAAATTTCTAAGCAGCAAAGCATTCAAGAAGTGACCTGGCTGTTTCTAAAAGTGTCCACTCATATTTGTGAACAAAGAGATCTGAAACTGGAACTTATATTTAAAAGGGAAGCAGAGCATAAAAATTTGGAAAATTTGTAGCCCGGCCATGTGGTAGAAAAGAAAAACCCGTTTTCTGGGGAGAAATTCAAGCCTGCTGCAGAAATTTGAATAAGTAAAGAGGAGCCAAATTTTAATAGCCAACACAATGGGGAAAACGTCTCCAGGGCATTTTAGAGACATTCACAGCAGCCCCCTCTCATCACAGGCCTGGAGGCCTAGGAGAAAACAATGGTTTCATGGGCTAGGCCCAGGGCCTAGCTGCTCTGTGCAGCCTCAGGACATGGTCCCCTGTGTCCCAGCCACTCCAGCTCCAGCTGTGGCTAAAAGAGGCCAAGGTATAGCTCAGGCTGTGTCCTCAGAGGGTGCAAGCCCCAAGCTGGCAGCTTTCACATGTTGTTGGGCCTGCAGGTGTGCAGAAGGCAAGAGTTGAGGTTTGGGAATCTCCTCCTAGATTTCAGAGGAGGTATGGAAACACCTGGATGTCCAGGCAGAAGTCTGCTGCAGGGGCAAAACTGTCATGGAAAAACCTCTACTAAGGCAGTGTGAAGGGGAAATGCAAGGTTGGAGCCCCCACACAGTCTTGCTGAGGCATTCCCTAGTGGAGCTGTGAGAAGAGGGCCACCATCCTCCAGACCCCAGAATGGTAAATCCACAAGCAGCTTGCACCATGTGCCTGGAAAAGGCACAGGCACTCAATGTCAGTTGGTGACTGCAGCCATGGGGGCTATAACCTGCAGAGCCACAGGGGCCAGGATGCCCAAGGCCTTGGGAACTGATCTCTTGCATCAGCATGCCCTGGATGTGAGACATGGAGTCAAAGGAGATTATTTTGGAGCTTTATGACTTAATGACTGCCCTGCTTGGTTTTGGACTTGCATGGGACATGTAACCCCTTTGTTTTGGCCAATTTCTCCCATTTGGAATGGGAGCATTTACCCAATGCCTATATCCCCATTGTATCTTGGAAGTAACTAACTAGTTTTTTATTTTACAGGCTCATAGGTGGAAGGGACTTACCCTGTCTCAGATGAGACTTTGGACTGTGAACTTTTGAGTTAATGCTGAAATGAGTTAAGTCTGGGGGACTGTTGAGAAGGGATAATTGTATTTTGCAATGTGAAAAGAACATGAGATTTGGGAGGGGCCAGGGCAGAATAATAGTGGTTTAGATTTGTGTTCCCACCCAAATCTCACAACGAATTGGAGGAGGGGCCTGGTGGGAGATGACTGGATCATGGGGTAGATCTCCCCTTGGTGTTCTTGTGGGTTCTCATGAGATCTGATCATTTAAAAGTATGTGTCACTTCCCCCTGCATTCTCTTCTGCCACAATGTGAAGAAGGTCCTTCCTTCCTCTTTGCCTTCTGCCATGATTGTAGGTTTCCTGAGACCTCCCAGTCATGCTTCCTGTTAAGCCTGTGAAACTGTGGGCCAATTAAACCTCTTTTCTTTTTAATTACCCAGGTAGTTCTTTATAGCAGTGTGAAAACAGACTAATACAGAATCACAGGTTTCCCTTCCTTGAAGACATGAAAACCTCATTCTAATATGGCATTCCACAGCAAGACCCTAGAGAAAAGCTGTTGGCTTAGAAACTAGGGAGATGGAAAATCCTGGTCCTCCCACTTGATGGTAATCAGAAACAACCACACCTCAGCTAAATCTTTCGGGCAAGGGAATGCTTACTACATGTGCTCACTTCACTTGTCAAATGGAGATAATGATTACTGCACTGCCTGTTTTGTAACCCTGGCAGGAGATGAAAAAAGATACAGGAAACAGGCCAGGCGTGGTGGCTCATGCCTGTAATCCCAGCACTTTGGGAGAACGAGGCGGGAGGATCATGAGGTCAGGAGATCGAAACCATTCTGGCTAACATGGTGAAACCCTGTCTCTACTAAAAATACAAAAAATTAGCTGGGCGTGGTGGCAGGCACCTGTAGTCCCAGCTACTCAGGAGGCTGAGGCAGGAGAATGGCGTGAAGGAGGCGGAGCTTGCAGTGAGCTGAGATTGTGTCACTGCACTCCAGCCTGGGCAACAGAGTGAGACTTTGTCTCAAAAAAAAAAAAAAAAAAAAAAAAGATACAGGAAACAAAAGAATTCTGCAAGTTGCATGACTCTGCAGCCCAGCAGGGATCACTATACAAACCTTTCCCAGCCACAATGTGCACACATGTACATGCTCCTTCTGCAGCAATAAAGTGGCTTGCTCCTGATAAGCAAAATGACTCCAATTTACCTGGACCCTCCTTAATCTCCTCTTGGCAAACTTCCATGGAAAAGCTTGTTTATTCATTTAGCCATTCTGTAAACATTTTCTGAACGCCTGCTGATGAAAGATAGTCCTGCCCTTATGTCTTCGTGTCAGAAAACATAACACTGACAGTAGTGGGAGATTAAGAAATGGACTCCAAAGACCCTACACCCAAGCTGGAGCCATGAGCATTCAGCTGCCTCACTGTCTACTGTTAGTCATTTTCTTGGGTTGTGACTCAACAGTCACCCTTTTCTGAGGCTGCTAGCTGGATAAAGCACTAAAAGTTTTAATGGAGGAAGCATTAACTTCTTAAGCAAAACCAAGCAGGAAATAGGGACATTTTCCTTCTGCCACCCTCACTAAATGGTTCTCTAAATATGTCTTCAGCCACCTGTCATTGCCATGGCTGGCCCAGCTGCTCTCTAGACCCTTGTGATGGTTGATTTACTCATATGTGCTTACTTGTTTACACAAAGAAAATGATGGTTGATAATGACAAATGTGTACTGCTAATAATCCTGGAAAAATGTCTAGCCCCAGGATCCTGATCAACTAGAACTGATTCCCTAGTGATATGTAATCATTTTTTAAAAAGCATTGAATAGGCTGAGCGTGATGGCTCACACCTGTAATTCCAGCACTTTGGGAGGATGAGGCAGGTGGCTTTCTTGAGCTCAGGAGTTCAAGACCACCCTGGACAACATGGTGAAACCCCGTCTCTACTAAAAACACAAAAATTAGCCAGGTGTGGTGGCTCACACCTATGGTCCCAGCTACTAGGGAAGCTGAGGTGGGAGGATCACTTGAGCCCAGGAGGCAGAGGTTGCAGTGAACCAAGATTGTGCCACCACACTCCAGCCTGGGTGATAGGGTGAGACTCTCTAGGAAAAAAAGCATTGAATAAAATGATATATTGGGTACTTGGGAAATTCTCTATACTGTTTTCCCCTGATAAAGTACAAAGGGGTAGAGGGGACCTCTAGTTCACCCTGCTTCTATTATAGGGGAACAATTTGAAACTCATTAGGAAGAACTAACTTATCCATGGTGTGATGATCTTTTGATGTGTCAACTTGGTACTAATCAAACATCAATCCAGGTGTTGCTGTAAACTATTTTAAAAATGTGATTAAAGTACATAATAAGTTTAAGTAAGGGAGATTATACTAGATAACGGATGAATGCATGAGCCTGATTCAATCAGTTGTAAGCCCTTAAAAGCAAAGCTAAAAGTTCCATGAAGAAGAAATTCCAGGCCAGGCGTGGTAGCTCATGCCTGTAATCGCAGTGCTTTGGGAGGCCAAGGCAAGAATATCATCTGAAGCCAGGAATTCAAGAACAAGCCTGGGCAACATAACAAGACCACATGTCTACAATAAAAAAAATTAGCCTGGTGTGGTGGCACATGACTGTGGTACCAGCTACTCAGGAGGCTAAGGTGGGAGGATCACTTGAGCCAGGAGGCTGAGCTTGCAGTGAGCCATGTTCATGCCACTGCATTCTGGCCTAGGCAACAGAGCAAGACCCAAAAAAAAAAAAAAAAAAAAATGAAGAAGAAAGGAGAAAGCAGACGAGGAAGAAAGAAGAAGAAAGAGAATAAAAGGAGGAGGAGGAGGAAAAAGAAGAAAGGACAAAGAAGAAAGAAGAAATTCCACCTGTGCACTGCAGCTTCAGCTTGTGCCACTGTTTTGGGCTGCCCTTGTCGATGGCCTGCCTATGGGTTTCAGACTTGCCTAGTCAGCCTCACAATTACGTAAGCCACTTACTAGCAATAAATCTCTCTTTCTTTTCTTTTTTTTTTTTTTTGAGATGAAGTCTCGCTCTGTCACCCAGGCTGGAGTGCAGTGGCGTGATCTTGGCTTACTGCAACCTCTGCCTCCTGGGTTCAAGTGATTCTTTTGCCTCAGCCTCCCCAGTAGCTAAGATTACAGGTATATGCCACCCTACCTAGCAAATTTTTGTATTTTTAGTAGCAATGGGGCTTTGCCATGTTGGCCAGGCTGGTCTCAAACTCCTGACCTCAAGTGATCCACCCCCTTCGGCCTCCCAAAGTGCTGGGATTACAGGCATGAGCTACCATGCCCAGCCACCAATAAATCTCTTTACACATGCACATGCATGTGTGCCCATGCCCACACACACACACACACACACACCCCTCTCTCCTACTGATTCTACCTCTCTGGCTAAACCCTGACTGAAACACATGGGCACAGAGCTAGTTGGCTCTATGGTCCTAGAAACCAGATTTTCCAATGTGTCTTACTGCTCACTCTTCCCAACTATTCCTCTAGTTTAAATTACCTTGGTATTACATTTGCAAGAACTCCAGGAAATAGGGAAAACTTAAATTAGAATTAAAGATGCAAAAAGATCCCAGTTAGGTTTGGAGAGCTAGCAAAAGGAACAAATAATTACAAGGCCCAAAAATGTCACCTTTCAGGGAATCAAAGAGGCAGAAAAAGAGAAAATTGACTCTGAGAAGTCCAAGGAAGTGAGCAAAGAGAATGTCTCAAATGAAGGCTCGTATTATCAGCATACCCAAAGGCCCGCCTTCCCCCGATCGCCCTATTCTAACCAGCATGCAGATCCCCCGCCTGCCAGGAGTACCATGCGAATCTCCAGGATGAAGCTAGGCTCAGAACACAGTATTTCACAGGGTGAATCACAGAGCTTAGCTGGGATGTGCACTTGTGTTTATGGCTTGGAGCACAAAACTATTTTCCCTCTATCCACAGGACAAGTTCAGCAACCCTAAAGGCAAACTGGCCTAGGGCCTGGGAAGTGGAGAATGCCTATTCCTAGGCTAACCCAAGCATTAGAGAAGCATCAGGCCGCCATTCTAGACTCAACTGCTCACCTCCTCTGATCCACTGAGGTGTCTCTGGAAATCCTCCACCACAGCCACAGCCTCCTCACCACTCTCAGGGTGATGCAGCTGCACCCAGGTCCGGAGCTCCCCAGGGAGGATGCTCAGGAACTGCTCAAGCACCAGCAGCTCCAGGATCTGCTCCTTGGTGTGCACCTCTGGCATGAGCCACCAGCGGCAGAGCTCCCGAAGCCGGCTCAATGCTTCCTGCGGCCCAGACATCTCGTGGTAACACAATTGCCTGAAGTGTAGCCGGAAGATTTCGCAGACAGGAGGATAGTTCTTCTGGAGACTGCTGCCCTGCCCCCAGGTCTGGTTTGCTGGCTCCTGCTTCACAGTCAGGCGCCCCTCTTGCTTCTGGAAAGCAGTGCTCCTGGGGATGAGGCCTAAATTTCCCCTGCCTGCAGTGGTCATTGTGACCCCAAAGAGAAGCTTGTTACAGCTGCAGTTGGTCCGATTAAAATGATGGTCAATAGTTCAGGTCTCAGGAACTGTTTTTCAGGGTTGGAGAAAGGGGTGATGGTAGTGTGGCCTACAGAAACAAGAGTGAAATCAGAGTTCTTGGAGTATTCAGCCCCAGGCTGATGACAATCCTCCACTGAGTTAAAAAACAAAGCTCCAGGAAAAAAGAACACAACCAGGCATTCTTAGTAAGCATCTCTCCAAATGATGCCCTTCTTAAAGTTTCAGTGGCTCCCATTACCTACAGGATAAAATCTAAATGTCTATGCCTTGCATTCACAGCCCTTCACAACCTGGCCTTACCCCCTTCACAACCAGCCACACCCTCTACCACTCACCCCAAGTACCCATGCTAGAAAGACAGCAATGGTCTCCAATGTGGGAAATGCAGGCTATCCCAAAGGGTGCAAGAGAAAATACTAAGTTATTTAACTCCTATTTAATGTATGTTTTATAATGTGCATTACAATTTGTATAGTAGTATTCATGTTTAAATTACAAATAAACCAATGTAGGGAGTAAGTGATCAAACCTCTTCTACTGATAGAAATGCAAAATAAAGAAAGTTTGGAGCTAAAGCTCTAGAGACACACTTAGAAGCCACACATACTCTTTCTTTGAATTTTTCTTCTTCAACTTTTGGCAAACTTGTCTGTCAAGACCATGAACAAAGGCAACTTTTTCTTGGTTTTCCTGATTGCCCCATCAGGAAGAGTGCTGGTAGCTTCCCTTTGTGTACCTCTCACTATAACCCTTTAACTGGTTTATGCACAACTCACCACTCTCACCCTCCAAACTGCTGCACGGCCACCAAAGGAAAGGAACCAAATGGAATCAGAAAATACTAGACCTTTTTTTACTCAATGCACCTCCCCTAGAAAGCCTTCCTGATCACGCTAGGCTTAGAGAGGTGGTTATTGTCTCAGTGATCCCAAACTACCTTTTTCATTCAAACCTCTAGTAGAGCACATCTCACACTGTAATCGTTTGTGGTTTACACGACTGTCTCCCCTGCTTTCTGGGAGGATACAAAGGGCAGAGCTGACTTCCAGTCATCTTTGTACACGTGTGCACATGGCACACATAATTGGGAAATGAATGAATATGATACATTTAGCTGACACTGAAGTGGAGGAAAACTTTGAACGTTTTAAAATCAGCACCTTACTGGTAACTAGGGCATCTGTGCTGTGCTTCCAGTTCACCAAGAGCCCAGATCCCTGTGTCTCAATCTCTTTAAAAAGACAAAGAAGGACTTTAAAATAATCTGTAAACTCTGCTCTAAGATCCCATATATGTAGAAAGTTCAGGCCATTCTCCTGCTTCCCATAGTGTTCCGAATGCTCAGCACTTTAAAATCTCAATTGGATTTTTGCATTTCCAAGTCACGCTCCACGTTTGCGATTCTGAGCCTGGGTCTGACCCAAATATGACAGTTCATACAGTTTCCTACTGCAAGAGCTGGGAAAACAGCGATCTACCTTTCGTGTTAAACCAGGCTTCAGCAGCGCCGCTCACCTGGCCACGTCTGCCCTGTTCATCGCTGTACCCGCAGATACCCGGCTCCGTGCCACGCACGAATGGTCAGGGGTATGAGACAAAGAAGCGGCTCTACATCGGGCGGCTTCTGAGAGTCACGGGGACCGCGCCGCCTGCCGCCGGGAAGAAGCGCGGTCCTGGCCAGCGTCGGCGACCCGAGCTCCGGCCGCGCCTCCCTCCGCGTCTCGGCCCACTCGCGGTGGCACTCGGCACCGAAGCCGGACACTCTACTGCCCGTTAGACCAAAAACAATGGCCGAGCCGGAAGCGAGAGAGGCCTCGACTTCCGCCCCCTCCGGGATCCCGGAAGTCTCGTTTGCGAAGGTGGGCGCGCGCGTCCCCGCACCCGGGAGAGCTGGCAGGGCTTACTTCTCGGCTGTGCCCGGCCACCTGCCGCGGGCGGGGTCGGGGTCTCGCGAGGGCCCAGGCCACTCACATCCCGCTCTCAGGCCATAGTCGGGGGATCCAGACGCGTCCCAGCTCTACACCTTCTCCTCCAGGTGTCCTTGGGAAAGATACCCAACCTCCAAGCCTGTTTTCTCATCTGAAAAAAATGCAGAGCATAATGCGTACCTCACAGGGCTGGGAGCACCGCATGAGGTTAACAGACACTACATAGCAAAAGGCCTGGCATATCCTGAGCAGTCAGTTATACCATGTGTGATGCCCAATCTGAAGTCTCAGTGAAGGGAGCAGCAAGCATCTCCCATCTTAAAAATGAAGAAGCATGTCTAGAAATTGTGATATTTTGGCCCATAAATGTGGTTAATATTTCGTAAGACAGCACCAGCATTCTGGTGTCCATGTAGAGGTTCCTAGGGAGACCAAGAAGCAGATAAACTGAGAAGGTGTGGGGACAGTTTGTAACCTAGTAGGCAGTTGTCTAGCCTCTGGGTGGCAGGTGGTACCCAGGTGACTTTCACTTTGAAGAATGGTTTGCATACAGAAGGAGGATATGAACTGGTCCTTGTTACAAACATGGTTGAGCAGGCCCTGTGTGTTAATGACCACGGGTGAAGGGCAAAGGGTGTGATGAAGTTAACTGTGTATCTTTATTATAGCACAGGAGATAGGTCCTTTACAGGGCCCAAAGTAAACAGTCTCCTGGACTGTCTAGGGATGGCAATATTTCAAAGGTGCCCTGGGCCTAACCCTGGCCCTGACATATGTTCCTCATATATCTGTGTGAGCCAAGATAGAAACAAAGACACCAGAAGTCCTGCTCCAGAGTTTCCACAAGCTTAAAAGTAATCTCTTGGAGCAATCTTTGTCCATTGATCCTAATGGTGGTTTCCTGTCATCAAGGTCCCCCTCTCCATTTGGAAATCTCACAAGGAGGTTTTGGCTATTTAAAACCAGGAACCCCAGCCTCTGCCTGACATTGATGCTAGACATTGCCTACTGGCAAATCAAGGCCTCAGAAGCTTAGGATTCTTGAGGTGGAAGGCAAATCAAGGCCCCAGAAGCTTAGGATTCTTGAGGAGGAAATCTCCCAAGGCCAGGCTAAATGCTCTCAGACCTGATTTTCAGGTCTCCTTGACCACGTGTTGTCCTGCAGTCCTGGCTTCCTATTATAGGAGACACAAGGATTTGGAAACCAAGATTGAGGTTTTTTATTCTTCAGAGCTGTTTCATGCACAAGTGGTTGGCTTTCATTGGCTGTAAGGACCAGGCCCATCTGAGCAGTGTGTTTAGACTTCAGAGGCACTTCTGTGACCAACACTGTGGGCCTGGCCCGATCTACCATGACTGGGTTGGGCCCCAGTGGGCAAGACACTTGATGATGCCTCGATATAGCACCTTAGGACACCTACCTTTGGGCCAAAGACAACCACAGAAGGCTTTTAGGAATTCTGTACTCCAACTCGATTTCTCTTGAAAATCATCACTCAAGCTTTGGTATGAGAGCTAACAAATAGGTAACTCAAATTCTACATGCCTGAAACGAAACTTACCATCTATCCGCAACCCTGAAGCTCCAACCCATATCCCCATCACTGTAAAAAGTATTATCATTCACCCAGGGACCCAAACTAGAACCCTGGGTGTCATCCCATGAGCTGAGTGACCATGGACAAGTTACTTAGCCTCTCTGTGCATAGCTTCCTTATTTGGAAAATGGGGATAATAATATACTTGAATTGTAGAGTTGTTGTGAGGATTGGATGAGATAAAATACATAAAGCACTTAGAATGGTGCCTGACACATTGTAAGTATTATAGGTGTTTTCTAGTATTGTGTTTACTATCCTTGTTTCCTCTCAGTTCATCCCCTGTATCCATTAATGTTAAGGCCTGCCACGTTTGCCCTATATGTATGTAATAATAAAAAAAGAGAATATCTATAGCAATTACTGTGCTGCTCTGCATCATCACTATCACTTCCCATGTTAAATCCTGCTTGGAGTGAGGGCAGCTGTGAGAAGTGTGTCCCCAGGAACTTACTGGATTTAAGACCACAAAGAGGCTGGGCACAGTGGCTCACACTTGTAATCCTAACACTTTGGGAGGCCAAGGCGGGTGGATCACTTGAAGCCAGGGGTTTGAGACCAGCCTGGGCAACATGGTGAAACCCTGTCTCTACAAAAAATTTAAAACTTAGCCGGGCTTGGTGGCACACACCTGTAGTCCCACCTACTCTGGAGGCTGAGGTGAGAGGATCACTTGAGCCCAGGAAGTTGAGGCTGCAGCGAGCAGTGTTTCTGCCACCACATTCCAGCCTGGGTGACAAGACCCTGTCAAAAACAAACAAAACAAAACAAAACAAAAACCCACAAAGAGAGGAGCACAGGTCTGGAGAGTCTCTGCCCCCAAACCGCTCAGATGTTCTGACATCATCTGTGTGGATAGTCCCTTTTCAACAGCCAGAACTCTCCTGTATACCCTGAAAAGAAGGTGGGGCCCTAGACACATGGGATGGGGGGACTTGCCATGATATGGGAAGAAAACCCCAGCCCACTGTGAATGGGAGTGAATGGGGCCCAAGCCCTAACTAAGAGAATGGAGAGACCCTCCTTTCACCTCGAAAACTCCTACTTATCCTTTAAAACACTGCCAAGAAACCCCTTCTCCAGGAAGCCTTTTCTGCACCCCACCTAGATTAGGTGTGGCTTCCTTTTTGCTCCTGTGGTGGCCTGCAATGCTATGCTATTGCCATAACCAATAGGTTATGGTCCCTATTGGACATACTGCACTAACACTGTCTACTTACTGGCTTCTCTACTGTACTGTAAGCCCCATCTTGGCTGACACCATATCTCTCTGGTTCACAGTTGAGTCCCCTGACACTAACTCTTGATGTGGTTGTTCCCTTAGCTGGATGTGAGTGCCCTACGGTCAGGCCACCATTGTTTTCGTGGCATCCAACACAAAGTCCAATATAGCTTCTAAGAAATGTGTCCTTGATCCAGGTTGCTGTGGAAGGCTTTTAGCAGGGAATGAGCTGATCAGTCTGGGTTGTAGAAAGTTGCCTGTGGTGGCTGGCTATATAGACGGGCTTGGAGGGAATGAGACACGGACATCCCTTATAGCTGCTTATCTGCTTTGCACTGTTAGTGCCTCTACAACAGTATCATAGGATCATTAGTTTGCAGATGAGGATCCTGAGGCTTGGCAAACAGCCTAGTAGCTGAGTAACATTTTACTGGCTGAGACGGGTAAGTTAGGCTTTGATTTCTGGTCTTTAGACCATTCCTTCTTCTCTTCTTTCTATTGCAAGATGCTTTCTCTGACCTTCATTCATTCCTGTTTCTTAATTCCTGTCAGGCTTCTTCCTGCCAATGGTGTTAGGAGAGCAGGGAGGGTCAGTGATGGTCACCAAACATAGTCTTGGGGATGACTTGGTGAGAGGAAGGGTTTTCTTGGTGCTGGGGTCTCAGGGACTCCTTCGGGGAGCTGATCTCAGGTGAGTGAATCACCAAACCCCACAGGCCTCTGACCTTCCTAGAGGGAAATGGAAGTTGTTCCAAGTGTGCAAAGAACAGGGAGGGAGTGGTGATATGGTTTGGATTTGTGTCCCTGCCCAAATCTCATGTCGAATTGGAGGAGGGGCCCAGTTGGAAGTGATTAGATCATAAGGGCAGACTCCCCCTTGCTGTTCTCATGATAGTGAGTGACGTCTCATGAGATCTGATCATTTAAAAGTGTGTAGCACTTCCCCCTTTGCTCTCTCTCTCCCCTGCCACCATATACATAAGGTACTTGCTTCCCCTTCGCATTCCGCCATGATCGTAAATTTCCTGAGACCTCCCAGTCATGCTTCCTGTTAAGCCTGCAGAACTATGAGCTGATTAAACATTTTTTCCTTCATAAATTACCAATCTCAGATAGTTCTTTATAGCAGTGTGAGAATGGACTAATACAAATTTCTTCTGGTGCTCTTTAGTTCAGGACTTGTCTCAGGCAATTGCCTGTGGGCAAGCCATCTGGGACCCCAGCATGGGAGCTGTGGCCCCAGGCTGCCCCCACTTGCCATTGGTACGGATTCTCCCTCATGATGACAGGTGAAGCCAGCTGGAATTCCTGGGTCAAGTGGGGACTTGGAGAACTTTTCTGTCTAGCTAGAGGATTATAAATGCACCAATCAGCACTCTGTGTCTAGCTAAAGGATTGTAAATGCGCCAGTCAGCACCCTGTAACATTGCACCAATCAGCACTCTGTATCTAGCTAGAGGATTGTAAATGCACCTATCAGCACTCTGTAAAATGGACCAATTAGCCCTCTGTAAAATGGACCAATCAGCAGGACATGGGCAGGGACAAATAAGGGGATAAAAGCTGGCCACTCCAGCCAGCAGTGACAACCCGCTTGGGTCCCCTTCCATGCTGTGGAAGCTTTGTTCTTTAGCTCTTCACAGTAAATCTTGCTGCTGCTCACTCTTTGGGTCCATGCCATCTTTAAGAGCTGTGACACTCATGGCGAAGGTCCACAGCTTCATTCTTGAAGTCAGTGAGACCAAGAACCCACCAGAAGGAACCAACTCTGGACACATCTTGTCAACCATGAAGGGACTATCGCCAAGCAGTGAGTACCATTGAACCCCTTTCACTTGCTATTCTGTCCTATTTTTCCTTAGAATTCGGGGGCTAAACACCGGGCACCTGTTGGCCAGTTAAAAGCGACTAGCGTGGCCACTGGACTAAAGACACGGGTGTCAGGCTTTCTGGGAAAGGGCTCTCTAACAACTCCAGACTCTACGGAGTTGGGAGCATTGCTTTGCCTGGAACCAGCTTCCACTTTTCCTGTACTTCTGGGCTGAGCCGAGGGTCAACAGAGAGGAAAGACATTCAGCTCTGGGGTCCTGACAAAAAGTTCGTTGACCCTGTAACCGTGAGCGGAACTCTCAAAGTCATGTCGCCCAAGCAAGACTCACCCATCTATCCTATCTACCCTGACCCTTGCCTCCTGGGTTCTAAGCCTGTCAGACAAACTTCCCCCTGCCTGTCTTCTCTGAGGCTACTCCCGCTTCTAAAAACCACTCCCTGTCTCTGGTGCTTTCTAGTTTCTCCTATAAAAATGATTTCTAATATAAATTTTGGGACTGTTCTTTAGGCACCTGGGCTCAACAATCAGAAAGACATAATTTTTGCCCAAAACCCCATCAGTGGGGGGGACTATCTGGAATTTTAGGATCCCTCCTCAGACTAGCAGGCCTAACAAAAGCTATTCCTGAAGCTAGGATATGGGTAGCCTCAGAAATTATATTCTCCCTATTTGTATGATGAGAATTGAGGACAAAAGCCATCATTCTCCCAACCCTGGAGATCCCTTCCCTCCCTCAGGGTATGGCCCTCCACTCCATTTTGAGGCATAACATCTTTATAAGACAAGGGTAAGTTCCTAATACTAACAGGAAAAAACGCTTAGGACTCTAACAGGTTTTCAAGAATGTGTCGGTAAGGGCCACTAAATCCAATTTTTCTTAGTCCTCTTTGTGGTCTAAGAGGACAGGCAAGGTGCAGGTTTTTGAGAATGCGTCAGTAAGGGCCACTAAATCTGAATTTCCTCAATCCTCTTTGGGTCTAAGAGGAAAACTAGTGTTTCTGCTGCTGTGTTGTGAGTGCAACTATTCTGATCAGCAGGGTCCAAGGGACTGTTTTGGGTTCTTGGGCAAGAGGGGGATCTGGTGCTGCATTGGTTAGCACAACTATTCCAATCAGCAGGGTCCAGGGACTGTTGCGGGTTCTTGCAGGGTTGGGGGGTGGGGGTAACAAACAAACCAAAACCATGGGCAGTTTTTTCTTTCACATGGGAAACACTCAGGCATCAACAGACTTACCCTTGAAATGCATCCTAAGCCATTGGGACCAATTTGACCCACAAACCCTGAAAAAGTAGTGGCTTATTTTTTTCTGCACTATGGCCTGGCCCCAATATTTTCTCTCTGATGGGGAAAAATGGTCACCTGAGGGAAGTATAAATTACAATACTATCCTATCCTGCAGTTTGACCTTTTCTGAAAGAGGGAAGGCAAATTAAGTGAAATACATTATGTCCAAGCTTTCTTTTCATTGAAGGAGAATCCACAACTATGCAAAGCTTGCAATTTACATCCCACAGGAGGACCTCTCAGCTTACCCCCATATCCTAGCCTCCCTATAGCTTCCCTTCCTATTAATGATAAGCCTCCTCTAATCTCCCCAGCCAAGAAGGAAATAAAGAAATCTCCAAAGGACCACAAAAACCCCCAGGCTATCGGTTATGTCCCCTTCAAGCTGTAGGGGGAGGGGAATTTGGCCCAACCCAGGTACATGTTCCCTTCTCCCTCTCTGATTTAAGGCAGATCTGGGGAAGTTTTCAGATGATTCTGATAGGTACATAGATGTCCTACAGGGTCTAGGGCAAACCCTTGACCTCACTTGGAGAGATGTCATGCTATTGTTAGATCAAACCCTGGCCTTTAATGGAAAGAATGCGGCCTTAGCTGCAGCCCGAGAGTTTGGAGATACCTGATATCTTAGTCAAGTAAATGATAGAATGACAGCCAAAGAAAGGGACAAATTCCCTGCTGGTCAGCAAGCCTTCCCCAGTATGGATCCCTACTGGGACCCAGACTCAGATCATGGGAACTGGAGTCGTAAACATCTGCTGACCTGTGTTCTGGAAGGACTAAAGAGAATTAGAAAAAGCCCATGAATTATTCAATGATGTCCACCATAACTCAGGGAAAGGAAGAAAAATCCTACTGCCTTCCTCAAGCGGCTACGGGAGGCCTTAAGAAAATACACTCCCCTGTCACCTGACTCCCTCAAGGGTCAATTGATCCTAAAATATAAGTTTATTACCCAGTCAGCCCCAGATGTCAGGAGAAAGCTCCAAAAGCGAGCCCTGGGCCATGAACAAAATATGGAGGCATTATTAAACCTGGCAACCTCGGTGTTCTATAATAGGGACCAAGAGGAACAAGCCAAAAAGGAAAAGTGAGATCAGAGGAAGGCCGCAGCCTTAGTCGTGGCCCTCAGACAAACAAACCTTGGTGGTTCAGAGAGGACAGAAAATGGAGCAGGCCAATCACCCAGTAGGGCTTGTTATCAGCATGGTTTGCAAGGACACTTTAAAAAAGATTGTCCAATGAGAAACAAGCTGCCTCCTCACCCATGTCCACTATGCTGAGGCAATCACTGGAAGGTGCACTGCCCCAGAGGACAAAGGTTCTCTGGGCCAGAAGCCCCCAACCAGGTGATCCAACAACGGGACTGAGGGTGCCCGGGGCAAGCACCAGCTCATGTCATCACCCTCACTGAGCCCTGGGTACGTTTAACCATTGAGGGCCAGGAAATTGACTTCCTCCTGGACACTGGCATGGCTTTCTCAGTGTTAATCTCCTGTCCCAGACAGCAGTCCTCAGGTCCGTTACCATCCAAGGAATCTTGGGACAGCCTGTAACCAGGTATATCTCCCACCTTCTCAGTTGTAATTGGGAGACTTTGCTCTTTTCACATGCCTTTCTTGTTATGCCTGAAAGTCCCATACCCTTATTAGGGAGGGACATATTAGCCAAAGCTGGAGCTATTATCTGTATGAATATGGGGAACAAGTTACCCATTTGTTGTCCCCTGCTTGAGGAGGGAATCAACCCTGAAGTATGGGCATTGAAAGGACAATTCGGAAGGGCAAAAAATGCCCACCCAGTCCAAATCAGGCTAAAATACCCCACCACTTTTCCTTCTCAAAGGCAATATCCCTTAAGGCCTGAAGTTCATAAAGGATTACAGGATATTGTTAGACATTTAAAAGCTTGAGGCTTAGTAAGAAAATGCAGCAGTCCGTGCAACACCCCAATTCTAGGAGTACAAAAACCGAACAGTCAGTGGAGACTAGTGCAAGATCTCAGACTCATCAATGAGGCAGTAATTCCTCTATATCCAGTTGTATGCAACCCCTATACCCTGCTCTCTCAAATACCAGAGGAAGCAGAATGGTTCACAGTTCTGGACTTCAAGGATGCCTTCTTCTCTATTCCCCTGCACTCTGACGCCCAGTTTCTCTTTGTCTTTGAGGATTGCACAGACCACACGTCCCAACTTATGTGGATGGTCTTGCCCTGAGGGTTTAGGGATAGCCCTCATCTGTTTGGTCAGGTACTGGCCCGAGATCTAGGCCACTTCTCAAGTCTAGGCACTCTGGTCCTTCAGTATGTGGATGATTTACTTTTGGCTACCAGTTCAGAAGCCTCATGCCAGCAGGCTACTCTAGATCTCTTGAACTTTCTAGCTAATCAAGGGTATAAGGCAACTAAATAGTAGGCCCAACTCAAGTCAAATAACTAGGCCTAATCTTAGCCAGAGGAACCAGGGCCCTCAGCGAGGAATGGATGCAGCCTCTACTGGCTTATCCCTGCCCTAAGACATTAAAATAATTGCAGGGGTTCCTTGGAATGACTGGCTTTTGCCAACTATGGATCCATGGAAACAGTGAGATGGCCAGGCCACTCTATACTCTAATCAAGGAGACCCAGAGGGCAAATATTAATCTAGTAGAATGGAAACCAGAAACAGAAACAGCATTCAAAACCTTAAAGCAGGCCCTAGTACAAGCTCCAGCCTTAAGCCTTCCCACAGGACAAAACTTCTGTTTATATGTCACAGAGAGAGCAGGAATAGCTCTTGGAGTCCTTACTCAGACTCGTGGGACAACCCCACAACCAGTGGCATACCTAAGTAAGGAAATTGATATAATAGCAAAAGGCTGGCCTCACTGTTTATGAGTAGTTTCGGCAGTGGCCATCTTAGTGTCAGAGGCTATCAAAATCATACAAGGAAAGGATCTCGCCAACTGGATTACTCATGACGTAAATGGCATACTAGGTATCAAAGGAAGCTTATGGCTATCAGACAACTGCCTGCTTAGATACCAGGTGCTACTCCTTGAGGGACCAGTGCTTCAAATACGCATGTGTGCGGCCCTCAACCCTGCCACTTTTCTCCCAGAGGATGGGGAATCAATCGAGCATGACTGCCAACAAATTATAGTCCAGACTTATGCCACCCAAAAGGATCTCTTAGAAGTCCCCTTAGCTAATCCTGACCCTAACCTATATACCAACGGAAGTTCATTTGTGGAGAATGGGATACAAACAGCAGGTTATGCCATAGTTAGTGATGTAACAGTACTTGAAAGTAAGCCTCTTCCCTCAGGGACCAGCGACCAGTTAGCAGAACTAGTGGCACTTACCCGAGCCTTAGAACTGGGAAAGGGAAAAAGAATAAATGTGTATACAGATAGCAAGTATGCTTATCTAATCCTACATGCCCATGCTGCAATATGGAAAGAAAGGGAGTTCCTAACGTTTAATGGTGGAACCCTCATTAAATACCACAAGGAAATCATGGAGTTATTGCACGCAGTGCAAAAACCCAAGGAGGTGGCAGTCTTACACTGCCAAAGCCATCAAAAGGGGAAAGAGAAGGGAGAACAGCAGCATAAGTGGCTGGCAGAGGCAGAGAAAGTCAAAGAGAGAAGAAAAGAAATAGAGACAGAAAGTCAGAGAAAGAAAGAAATAAAGAAGGAAAGAAAGAGAGAGAAAGTCAGAGAGAGAGAGGAAAAGACAGAGAGACAGAGAGAGGGAGGAAAGACAGAAAGTCAAAGAGAGTCAGAGAGAAAGAGAGAGAGACAAAGTCAAAGAGAAGGAAAAAGAGAGAGAGAAGAGATGAAGAGGAAGAGAGAAAGAGAGAGAAGTAGTAAAGAAAAAACAGTGTACCCTATTCCTTTGAAAGTCAGGGTAAAGTTAAAACCTATAATTGATAATTGAAGGTCTTCTCCATAACTCTATAACACTCCAATACCACCTTGTTGTCAGTGTAAACAAGGGTGTAGCCGGAAAGCACTGAGGCCACTGACAACCCATAGGCTTCCTATCAAAAATCCTTAACCCAGCAGGTTTCCTAACAGGGGATCTGAATCTTAATTACCATACAAAGTTCAGAGCAGACCTAGGAGGAACTCCCTTCAGGACAGGATGATAGATGGTTCCTCCTGGGTGATTAAGTGGAAAAGACACAATGGGTATTCAGTAAGTGATAAGGAAACTCTTGTAGAAGCAGAGTTAGGAAAATTGCCTAGTAATTGGTCTGCTCAAACCTGCAAGCTGTTTGCACTCAGCTGAACCTTAAAGTACTTGCAGAATCAGGAAGGAGCCATCTATACCAATTCTAAGTTAATATGGACTGAATGAGGTCTTATTAATAGCAAAGAATAATTAAAATCCCAAACTTACAAGGTTTTCAACAAAAGTAAAGTTTGCTAAAAGTTAACAGTGTAACATGTATTACCCTACTACCACGCACTCTCAAAGGATTTCTCAGACAGTTTGCAAGAAATAACAAAATCTATCCTTACTCTACAATCCCAAATAGACTCTTTGGCAGCAGTGACTCTCCAAAACCGCCTAGGCCTAGATCTCCTCACTGCTGAGAAAGGAGGACTTTGCACCTTCTTAGGAGAAGAGTGTTGCTTTTACACTAACCAGTCAAGGATAGTACAAGACATTGCCTGGCATTAACAGGAAAAGGCTTCTAAAATCAGACAACGCCTTTCAAACTCTTATACCAACCTCTGGAGTTGGGTGACATGGCTTCTCCCCTTTCTAGATTCCATGTCAGCCATCTTGCTATTACTCGCCTTCAGGCCCTGTATTTTTAACCTCCTTATCAAATTTGTTTCCTCCAGGATTAAGGCCGTCAAGCTACAGATGGTCTTACAAATGGAATCCCAAAGGAGCTCAACTAACAACTTCTACCTAGGACCCCTGGATCGACCCACTGGCCCTCTGTCTGGCCTAGAGATTTCCCCTCTGGAGGACACTACCACTGCAGATCCCCTTCTTTACCCCTATCCAGCAGGAATTAGCTAGAGCGGTCATCACCCAATTCCCAGCAGCAGTTGGGGGGTCCTGCTTAGAGGGGAGGATTGAGAGATGAAGCCAGCTGGACTTCCTGGGTCCAGTGGGGACTTGGAGAACTTTTCTGTCTAGCTAGAGGATTGTAAATGCACCAATCAGCACTCTGTGTCTAGCTAAAGGATTGTAAATGCACCAGTCAGCACTCTGTTAAAACGTACCAGTCAGTGCTCTGAGTCTAGCTAGAGGATTGTAAATGCACCAATCAGCACTTTGTAAAATGGACCAATCAGCAAGACATGGGCAGGGACAAATAAGGAGATAAAAGCTGGCCACCCCAGCCAGAAGCAGCAACCTGCTTGGGTTACCTTCCATACTGTGGAAGCTTTGTTCTTTCACTCTTCACAAGAAATCTTGCTGCGGCTCACTCTTTGGGTCTGTGCCACCTTTAAGAGCTGTAACACTCACCGCAAAGGTCCGCGGCTTCATTCTTGAAGTCAGCAAGACCAAGAACCCAGTGGAGGGAACCAACTCCAGATGCAATGACAGGTGGACAGATAGGCCTAAAGAACAGCGGTGACCTGCTGGGGACTGAGTGCATTAGCAATGGCATCTGGGACCCTGTGGGCCTCTGGCTCCTAACCCAGTACCACCCCTGCTCTAAGTGCTTCCTTCCTGGGGGTTCTACACATTGTTCTTCCAGGGGTGGGGCAAGGAGGGTAGAGCCATCCTACTCCTGGTACTCTGCCCTGACTAAATCCCTGTCCTGGGGTCTGTTGTCCTTTTCCCAATCTCCCCAATGGCCCTAGAGCTCGGCTTCTGGCCCTTCCTGCTACAAATCTGTGAAGGGAAAGGAGTATTTTCAGGCCAGCCTACCCACAACTCCCATATACCAGTTGTTAGCATGCATGCAGGGAGGATCCTTAGAGTTGCTAATCCAGTCACTACCTTCCTATTTTACAGGTGGGGAAACAGGTCCATGGAGAGAGAGTAACCCAGGTCTCCTGCCCCTCACTGTAGGGACCTTGTCTGTTTTTGGGCCAGAATTCTGTGAGCTTGATTCTCCAAAAGCATGATTTTTTTCTTGGAAATAATAAGCTTGACATCATAGGTTGTAATCTATTCGTTTCTGGGTTTTGTCGGGCCTCAGATTTGAAATCCAGATTCTTCCAGAAGGGTCTCAAACATACACTGGAGTTTCTTTCCAGCCTGTAAATATGGCAGAATCTAGCTCTGCCACATACCAGCTGGGATTGATACCTTGAACAAGTTACATATACACTGTGAGTCTTAAGTTTCTTTCTTTGTGAAATGGAAAAAGTATCCATGCCTGCTACCCTCTCAGAGTTGGGAGGATTCAGTGAGGTAAGGTGAGAACTTTGACACATCCTGTTAAGCACTATACATCATCACTTACCGAAGACATCTATGCAAAAAAACTGAATTCCAGGGAGAAGGCAGTAAGCCCTGGACCTTGGAAATATCAAAGGCAAGGGCAGGTAGATACCAGTGACTCCAACAAAGTCGGTATGTGATACCCAACATAAGAGAAGTTCAGAGAGCCAAACAAGGGATTAATCTAGAGGCAACTTAAAAGGGAATAGCACTGAGTTGGGCCTTGAGGAAGAGGGAAGAGCATTTCTGGCAGAGGGAACAACATGATCAAATTGCTGGGTAAGGGTGGGAGTCATTATTTCAGTACAAGTTGTTTCCTGTTATAGGATGTAGGAAATTAACAAAAACAGTGATTCAATCTCTAGATGCATACAATTTGTGTGAACTTAAGCCACCATAATGTCCCCTGGTGATTGGTTCTCCCATCAATTTAGAAAATAGGTGATACTTACATTCATTCATTCATTTTTTTTTTTTTTTTTTGGGGATAGAGTCTCACTCTGTCCCCCAGGCTGGAGTGCAGTGGCACAATCTCGGCTCACTGCAAGCTCCACCTCCCAGGTTCACGTCATTCTCCTGCCTCAGCCTCCCAAGTAGCTGGGACTACAGGCGCCTGCCACCACGCCCGGCTAATTTTTTGCATTTTTAGTAGAGATGGGGTTTCACCATGTTAATCAGGCTGGTTTCAATCTCCTGACCTCGTGACCCACCCGCTTAGGCCTCCCAAAGTGTTGGGATTAAAGGCGTGAGCCACTACGCCCGGCCCATTCATTATTTCTTACTTAAACAATGGACAACAGCCAAGGAGAAGCTGATACCCTAGTGAATTTTTAAATTCCCTTCACCTATGAGGCCTCCAGGATGCCACCATATGCCCTTAGAACTCTTCTGTGGCTAAGCCCATATCTTCTAATAGTATCTAGAAGATTGCCCCATGCCCAATAACACCAATGCTCCACACACAAATGTTTCTACAAATTAAGTGTGCAGAACTCCCAAAGTGAGGGGATGTTTCATCTTCCCTCACTGTAAGCGTTCTGGAGGGCCAGGCTGGTTTTCCCCAATTAAAGGGGGACAGGAATATTGCTTCCTTTTTCCTTCTACTAGTAAGGTCTGGAATAAGCCTAGCCCCAGGGGTTGCTCACCTGAAATGGGTTGAGCCTGTTTCCCTTTCATCCTAATTCCCTGTCATTTCTGGCTTCTTTCACCCCAGAAGCTGTCAGAACTTGGAAAGGTGATAACTATGAAGAAAGGTGATAACCATGAAGAAAATTCTGTGATATTTCCCTAAATATTGTTTAGGATTAGAAAAGACGGCTTTTTTTTTTTTTTTTTTTTTTTTCAGTCATTGGCATCAAGTTTACTGAGAGGGATGAAAAATAAGGCTTGGAGAGTAAAGCTCTAGTAGAAACTACTCTATGGGAAAAGGTCAGTTATGTATTGGAATTTGGCTTGTTTCCTCTCTGCTTCTTGGACTAGGATTAATGCTACAACTCTTCTCTAAAAGAAACACCCCCAATGACTTTATGTATACTTTCTTTTAGGACTTTTCTAGCCCTATCACTAGAATTCTGTTTCATCTCACTAATCCTAGTCATCCAACCCATTCCAAACAATTCTGCTCTGCTGCGATGTCCTCCAGTCTCAAAACCCTTGGCAAATACCAACCTCTAAAGATTTCTGCAAGCACTATTTGGAAAACAAACATGTCATAGCTGGCTTCTGTCTATGGCTTTGGATTCCTTCCTCCAGTTTACATTATACCAAGCAATTTCTAGAGTCAGCTTCATTAGTTCAGCCGGTTATTACATACACATATTTGTATTAGCATTCTCCAGAGAAACATCATATATAGAACGTTTGCATATTATATACAAGACAATATGTAATAATATGATAAAGTTATATAATATAGTATAAAAATAAAAATATATATGATATATGTAAAATAAAAATATATGTACAGGGGAAGCCCTCACTTAAAGTCATTGATAGGTTCTTGGAAGCTGTGACTTTAAGTTAAATGATATATAACCACCAATTTTGCCATAGGCTAATTGATATAAACGAGTTAAGTTCCTACGGCATATTTCTGGTCACAAAACCTTCACCAAAATTTTAAATAAAGACCCCAAACATTGCTAATATTAAGCATTGAAATAAATGTGAGTTATATATACATTTAAGTGGGGTGCAGTTATATATACATTTGAGTGGGGTGCAGTGGCATGTACCTATAATCTCAGCTACTCTGGAGGCTGAGGCAGGATGATCACTTGAGTTCATAAGGCTGCAGTGCACCATGATTGTGCCTGTGAATAGCCACTGCACTCTAGCCTGAGCAACACAGCAACACCCCGTCTATAGACTTTTTTTTTTTTTTAATAAAAAAAAAAACCTATTGGGTAAGAGATGCCTCACCAAGGACTTTCTCCTACACATTAGAACTGTGCATTTGGCCACTTCTAGTTCCAAGAGAATCTGGGAGACCATTTTAGGTTTCCAACCTCTAGAGCAGCTTTGTCCAATAAAACTTTCTGTGATGATGAAAACGTTCTATACTTGCTCTAATAAAACAGCTTCTAGCCACATGTGGTGACAACACTTGAAACCTGGCTAGTATGACTGAAAAGCTGCATTTCTGATATTATTTGACTTAAATTAATTTGAATTTAAATAGCCAAATGTGGCTAGTGGCTACCATATTGGACAGCCACTATGTCCATTTGGAGACAGGATCTTGCTCTGTTGCCCAGACTGGAGTGCAGTGGCATGATCATGGCTCACTGCAGCCTCGACCTCCCCAGCCCAAATGATCCCTCCACCTCAGCCTCCCAAGTAGCTGAGATTACAGGCGTGTGCCACCACACCTGGCTAATTGAAGAAAAAAAATTGTAGAAATGCAGTCTCACATGTTGCCCAGGCTGGTCTCAAACTCCTGGGCTCAAAAGATCCTTCCACCTGAGCCCCCAAAGTGCTGGGATTACAGGCATGAGCCACCACACCCAGCTACAATAGCTAGACTTTTGAAATGAAGGAAGTTCAGGAGAAAGAGAGTTAGAAAAGATGTTGGGTGAGCCAAGCTACGGTGCTTGTCACAGGACCACTCTTAATTTATTGCACTTCTCTTCTGTCTTGACTTCAGTAATAACATACTTTGTCAGTTCTACTTCTTTGACACAACTTTCCTAGTACATAGCATCAAACATCTGGGCTCTCAAAATGGGCTGATCTTTTCCTCCATCCACCTCTTAAATGTTAGTGTTCCCCAGGGTTTCCCTGACCTTTTCACTTCGTTTTTAACACCCTCCCTCTCTAGATGAGCTCACTGACTCCTTGCTTCACCCACCTCTCATAAGCTGATGATTTCCACATCTGTATATCTACTTCAGTGAATTCCAACTCCATGCATTTGTCTCCCTACTTGTCTCTCCCTAGATATCTCACAGACACCTCAAGCTCAGCACATCTCAAGTTGTATAGATACTGATGGAACAAATATTCATTTTGCACCAACTGAATGTCAGGCAGCGAGTTAGATGCAAGTAGGCTAGACATGAGCCCTTTGGGTGTTTGCAGTTTAGCAGGTGCAATAGGCAGGTTTTCTCTACTATACTGGCTTCAAACTGTCTTCTTCTGGTTCTGTTCATTCTCACCCAAGTGCAGAGTTGGTTGTTGTTGTTGTTGTTGTTGTGTTTTTACTTTCACAATTCCGTCCTTCTAGATCAGAGGTTCTCAAGCTCTTTAGTCAAAAACTCTTGACACCCCTAAAAACTATTCAGGACTGCAAAGAACTTATTGGTGTTCACTTATAAGTAAGATAGACATTTTAAAATATCCATTAATTCATTCAAATGCAATAATAACTTCATTATATGTTAGTATTTACATTATTTACAACATTTTAAAATGAAAATAACTGTATTTTTCAAAACCAAAGATTAGTTAGAAGAGTGGTACCATTTTACTTTTTTGTAAATCTCCTTAGAGACTGGTTAATGGGAGTTGGCTGGATTGCTATATATTCTTTTGCATTTAATCTGTTGGGATATGACAAATATGTAGCCTCTATACACTCATATGAGAATGAGAATAAGGGAGGAAAAGAAAATCTTAGTTCTTTAAGAAAATAGTTTGTGAAATTATTGTGAAAATAGTTTGGGCTTCACAGAGCACCTGAAGGGGTTCCAGGAGTCCCCACATCATGTTTTGAGAACGGCTTGCTCTCCAGAACACCAGGGCCACTTTCTTATTTTAGGCTTGCAGATGACCTAGACTATTGTAAAGGTGGTTTGTTACATAGGGTGGTTTGGTTGGGCTGTGCCTACCTCAGGTCATAGATGAATTCTCCCTTGTTGGTTGACCAAGGGCAGGCTGCAGGCAGCTGTCAAAAGAAGACCCTCAACAGTTGGCTCCTGGCTACAGGAGTGTGCACTTGAATTGTAAGGGGTGGTCTTGGGCCACTGACACAAACTCGTGCACTGGTGATGATAATGCATGCACATGTGGGAAGCTGGACACACTCCACATCTGTGTTCCACCTCCTCGCTTTGTGGTCTCCCCAGTTCAAAAAGTCCTCACAAAGGTCCTCCCTCCTCATGCTTCTTCATTTCTCCTGTGGTCCTCAGGTCTCTCCCCAGTCCCAGACCGAATCCCCTCTTATATTATTTTCTTTCCATTATAATGTTAATTTAAAAAAAATCACTTGTTCCTTTTATTGGCTTTTGTTAATCAACATCTTGGTTTTAAAAACTTATTTCTGATGTGCAGTTTTAGGAATCTTATTTGGATATTAGAACTAAATATTGTTTTATTCTCCTTGCGTTCCTGCTGCAACAATGCCAGATTTTTCCTGAACTGCCTCTAACTGAATAGGTAAGGGACTCCTACATGGCAGGATAGAGGGAAAAAATTAAGTCAATTAACATTTCAACTGATTATCCGCCAAACAGGGAGTTGCAGACTTCATCTCCCTGTCCCCATAAACCTATTCCTCCTGGGTTCCCCAGTCTGATGGATGGCCCCAATGTCTTTCCACCCAAACAGTGGCAACAAGGAGAATAGAAGTCAGATCTCCATTCATTCATTCATTCATTCATCCTCTCATTTAGCATAAGAATACTTACTATGTGCTGGGGATAGAATGGTGATGAAGAAAAACACAGGCCTTGTTCTCATACAGCTTACCTTTTAGTGGAAGAGATAAACAATAAACAATTTCCATTATTAAAGATACTGTGAAGAAAAACAGATTATAAGGTCAGAGATGGCTGATGCCAGTGTTGGAGTGTTCTCAGTACACTCTATAGCTCTCTGTAGCTCCTGGCACATTACCTGGCACCAGTGGTCATATATTGAATGAAAGTACAAGAAAAACAGATGAGCTCATACAAGTAAGGGTTAGTGAATGGGCCTCTGTGGCTGAGCTGTGTTTTCCCCTTCACTCCTGTACAAGCTGTTCTATTCTGACCTCCCTTCCACAGAAAACCTCCAGGTTTCTAGAATGGGATTCCAACTTAATGGCCTATGTAATTTTCAAAATAATAAAAAAAGGAAGGGTTTCATTGTTTTGGGCTAAATTCTAGGTACAGGAGTGGTGAAGATGTAAGACCTTGTTGAATTTTGGAAACTAATCTACCTTTATCGTGGTGGTTAATTTTACATGTCAACTTGACTAGGCAAAGGGTGCCCAGATATCTGGTTAAACATTACTTCTGGATGTGTCTGTGAGAGATTAGAATTTGAATTGGTGGGCTAAATAAAGCAGATGGCCCTCCCCAGTGTGGGTGGGCATGATCCGTTAAGGGCCTCAATAGAAAGAACAAAAAGGCACAGGAAGGTTGAGTTCTTGCTCTGCCTGACTGCTTGAGTTGAGATATTGATCTTCTCCCTTCCTTGGCACTCTTGGTACTCAGACCTTCAAACTCAAACTGGCATCCATACCATTGGCTCCCTGGCTTTCTGGCCTTCAAACTATGCCACCAGCTTACCTGGGTCTCCAGCTTGCAGTTGGCAGATTGTGAGATTTAGCCTCCATAATTGCATGAGCCAACTTCTTAAAATAAATTTCTCTCAGGGCATCTATATCTATATCTAATCTGTTGGTTCTGTTTCTCTGGAGAACCTTGACTAATACAACCATCCTTATGAGATTTTTGAAAAGATGTGGAGATGTGGCCGAAGGTCACTGAAGGCTTCTGATCTCCCACATGGTTTCTGTGTAGGTGGAATAAAAAGAGATCTAGAAGCTTGGGAAGGTGGTGAAAGAGGAGTTTTGGTGTTGTATTCTCTTCCTGGGAAATCTGCTCTAGCCCCGAGGTTATGAGAGAAGTTACTGCCTCAGGGTGATGACAGCAGCGAAGGAGTGAAGCAGGCCCTTCCAATGTGATGGCTGAGCCATGGCACCTTTGTGTGGAGCTGGCAGTGTTTAGACCATATAGCAATGTCACCACCTCTGAGATAATTCTAGTAAATAAGAACAACCAGCAGGGCTGTCCAGCCACAATGACTGGGCACAAGCTGGACTTGGAAGGTGCCAGGGACCCAGCACTAATGGGACTAAGGAATCCCCAGAACAGTTTCCTCTTGAGGAGAAACCATAATGCATCTGTACAGGATCATTTCTTGACGCTGTAACTCCTAATGTAACATTTCCTAATATTAGGAAGTGTGTGATCTTGGGCATGGGGAGTCATCTCTCTGAGCCTCAGTTTCTTCTATCTATAAAATGGGCATAGCTATACTTAGGTGGCCATGAGGAATAAATGGGACAACAACGCCAAGGAACCAAACACAATACAAAGTGCACAGTAAGATTCTCAACAAATGTTAGTTCTTTTCAGTTTCCCTTGTGTCTGCAGGCAGATGAACCCCATGCCAATTTCATTCAGTTATTGGAATGGATACAGCAACCATGCTTTTAAGATCTTGAAGTTTGAAAACCAAAGAGCTCTGAAGATCTCCCAGCTTCCCAAAGAGGGGGGGCAATGTTATTAGTGGGTTAGCAGGGTGACGTGCATGAATTGTGGTTGGGCTGGTGCCAGGCCTAAAGGGGTTGGCCTGGGAGGGTTCCATTGTTGTAGGGCTTGGGGGTGAGTTGTTCTGTCCAACTGGGAGTAATGCAGAGGAGGGGACAAGGAAGATCCCAAGTGAAAGGGGATGGGAGGAAGTCCCATTCCTCCTGGGAGCACTTTTGTAGCTGCTTGGTCTGGCTAGTCACAGCTGGAGGGAGAGCAATTCAGTCAATTTGACATTAATTCACATCTACCAGGCCTATTGGAAGGGAACATCTATTAAGACCAATTTGTCCTGGTCTCAATCACAGAAATTTAGTTTGCCCACACTAGAAAGAAAAGCAATGAACATTTTGGATTATTCCCAGGAAGATAGTCTGTGATTTGCAATAACATCATAAGGAAAATAATTTAAAAATATGGGCCCAATATGTTCTTTATTTGGCTCCCCTATGAGTCCTCAAACAGAAGCACCCCTGGGTGGAGTCAAGAGAGGCAACAAAGGAAAGGAGGTTTTGGGTTTGTAGAAATGCCTAAAGTCATCCTGCTCCAGTGCCTGGAGGGCACTGCAGAATCACTGGTGCTGCTGTTAAATCTAGTGCAGATGACAAGTTATGAGAAAGTGTATTTATGTTGCCTTATCTGTTACAGTGATTGTTTGGGGAAACCAGCCCCACACCACCTGCTACCCTGAGTCCAGCGGAGACAAAGGAGTTAGAAAGAGACAGAATAAGCGTTTAAAAAGCAGGTCCAGGGGACCTGAGCATCGGAGGCTTGCTCACAGCCCAGGCTCTGCCTGATTTATTGGTTTACAAGCTCTTTGTTCTTAGGGCAGATGGGAGGGGTAGGAAGGGATGAGGAAAAGGATTAATCAGTGAAGGAGAACTCATGAGTCATTCAATAATATGTGTAGCTGTGGTGGTTTCTGTGAATTTCCTTGAGCAAAGGCATGTGTCTAAACTACTTAAGATCTTTAACTTATCGGGACTGAAATGGGTGGGAGTGGCTTTCAGGAGGGGCCAAGATGTTTGATTATACTCCACTGCTTCAAGGGAGTGTTACCTCCTTGAGCAACTGTGGAATTCTGCTGAGTGGTTATGCTGTCGGGGCATAAAGACATGAAGGCAATAAGAAGACTTTTCTCCTCAGAGGCCGCCCATGGCTCCCCTTGGGTGTCTCACACAGGGAAGACCAACTCAGCTGGCACCGCAGAAACTCTCTTTCCCACAGTGATCAGTATAGCTGCCCAAAAGATACTGTGGATGGAAGGGCCAGCTGCCACATACCCTCCTGATGGAAGTACCGAGTACATTGGCCTGAGACTGGAGTCCTCTCCAATAGCCCACTGTCCAGCCCCTGGCCTTACCAACGCTCAGGACAGATTAGAAATGGACCGTAAGTCAACAGCACCCTCCTTTCCTCAACTTGCCACTTGGGTGGGCATTAGCTCATCCAGAGAATTTGATTTGGCAGATACCATGCTTCTTTTATATCATTTCTTTGCCACCTAATTTGTACTTATGATTGTAGAAATATAAGAAAATATAAAGAAGTAAAAGAAGAAAATAAAAAGAAATTATATTTCAAAGATAACCAGTTAAGCTTTGGTCTTTTTTAAATAGACATTTAAATTAAGGAGTAGTGCTAAAAAAAATACATAGAAGCACATACTTTTTTTCCTTACAAAACCAGATGGTGGGAGAAATGAAGCTCTGCAGGGCATTAGGTCAGATCTTCCTTTCACTTTATTGTAGAGTAGCCTCCACTGCAGGGAGAGAATTCAGCCTGGCACGTCACCTCATGCTATCCAGTGAACCCTGCCCCTCACAGAACACAATTCTGGTCACTCTGGGTGACAGAAGGGGACTTGTAGTCAGTTTCAGCTGCAGAAGGGGTTACTAGCCATGTATAGAACTTTTTTAATTCCAAGAAGTTATGATTTTTAGAATAACTCTAAACAGGCTGGGCGTGGTGGCTCACACTTGTAATCCCAGCATTTTGGGAGGTCAAGGTTGGCAGATCACCTGAGGTCAGGCATTTGAGACCAGCCTGGCCAACATGGTGTAACCTCGTCTCTACTGAAAGTACAAAAATTAGCTGGGCGTGGAGGTGCAGGCTTATAATCCCAGCTACTTGGGAGGCCGAGGCAGGAGAATCACTTGAACCTGGGAGGTGGAGATTGCAGTGAGCTGAGATCATGCCACTGCACTCCAGCCTGGGTGACAGAGCAACACTCCGTCTAAAAAAAAAAAAAAGAATAAACCTAAATATAATCCTAATGTTATACACCTTCCTGTCACCTTCCATCTTGGTGTGCACTTAACACCCCTGAACAGGTTTGACCAGCTCCTTAGAACCATAGTAAAAGACTTTACAATTTGAGAAGGGAACATGAAGAAAAATTTAATCTCATTTATCAAAGTAATACATATTAATCCTGAAAAAATAATTCAGAAATACAGAGGGTAAAAGCAGTCATTCTACTTTTGCATTTAAAAAGTTCTTTGTTGTTTTGGGTTTCCCTAGTATGTTTCTAAGGGGTGTGGGTTGGCTTCACACTCGTCTCTTTCTTTTTGTAGACCCATTTGCCTTATATATTTTAAAGCTGTGCTGATAGGTTCAGGGTGCATGTAAGTTTATGACAAATCATTCAATAGTTACGGAACGGTTGCTGTACACCAGGCACTGTCCAGGGTCCTGAAAAGAGTCAAGAACAGGATAGAACAGGCTAGAAGCGCCATCTAGTGGATGGTACTTGTTTTATACAAAATTTAGCCGGGTGTGGTGGCGCACGCCTGTAATCCCAGCTACTTGGGAGGCTGAGGCAGGAGAATTGCTTGAACGCTGAAGGCGGAGGTTGCAGTGAGCCGAGATCGCACCACTGCACTCCAGCCAGGGCGACAGAGCAAGACTCCGTCTCAAAAAAACAAAAAAGAAATAAATTGGACTATTTGAAGGAGAATCCTTAGTGTTCCCCCCTACCCCCATTTGCTCTCGCTGTCTCTGAGACAGGGTCTCACTCTGTCGCCCAGGCTGGAGTGAAGTGGTGTGATCATAGCTCACTGCATCCTTGACCTCCTGGGCTCAAGCTGTCTTCCCTCCTCAGCTTTCTGAGTAGCTGGGACTATAGGTGTGTGTCACCACGTCCAGCTGATTTTTATATTGTTTTTTTGTAGAGACAGGGGTCTCACTATGTTGCCCAGGCTGGTCTCAAACTTCTGGCCTCAAGTAATCCTCCTGCCTCAGCCTCCCAAAGTGCTGGGATTACAGGCACGAGCCACCGTGCCCAGCCTCTCAGTTCTCTGTTTTCATCATAATTCAACATTTCACAGATTAGTGTTAGTAGTCTATGTCATAAGAAGTTTATTTATAAAGGTAACAAATAGGTTGAAAGATAATTACAGTAATTCTTATGCTCCTATATTAACAAGTATTGAAAAACTTCACCCTCCTTTCTTAGGGGGTGCCATTTAAACTAACAGATGAATTTTAAAGGACTGCTATACCCCTGAAGGTGTGAGAAAGGAGCATTCTATGCAGTGGGAAAAGTTGCTGCAAAGGCTCAAGATGTAACTGATTGGGCTGATCAGGTGACAGAAGGGAGGCCACTGTGCCTGGATGAGAGTCACAGTGTCAGAGGTGCAGTCAGAGTTGGGCAGAGGCCTGCCTGCGGAAGACCATGTTGGCCAGGTTAACCAATTTGAAGTTGCTTGGGGGAGATTAATTTCAGTGTCAGGAGGCCAGTTAGAGCACCATTGCAGGACTACATTTGAGAGAAGATGGTGGCCAGGACTAGGGATGATGTGCTGTGGAGATGGAAAGAAATGGGTGGATTTACAATGCATTTTGGAAGAAGAATAAACTGGACTTGCTGATGTTTTAGATGTGAGAGGGTGGAGAATTAAGAGCAACTTCTAGACTGGGCGTGGTGGTTCATGCCTGTAATCCCAGCACTTTGGGAGGCTGAGGCAGATGGATCACTTGAGGTCAGGAGTTTGAGACCAGCCTGGCCAACATGGTGAAACCTTGTCTCTACTAAAAATACAAAATTAGCCAGGCATGGTGGTGTATGCCTGTAATCCCAGTTACTTGGGAGGCTGAGACAGGAGAATCGCTTGAACTCAGGAGGCAGAGGAGGTTGCAGTGAGCCGAGATTGTGCCATTGCACTCTAGCCTGGGCAACAAGAGGGAAACTCCATCTCAAAAAAAAAGAAAAAAAGAGTAACTTCTAGGTTTCCTGACTTGGACATTGTTCGACAACTTAGGGATTGATTATTGGTTTTTTATCAATATGAAATATTCCATTCTATGCCCATTAAATGCTTAGCCTTAGAGTCTGTTTTGTCTCATATTAATAATTCTACACAGCTTTTTCTCTTGTTGTTAGAACTTGCTTGGTGTACCCTTTTTCCTTCCTTTCTTTTCAACCTTTTCTATTGTTTGGTTTTATTGTAGGTAAATCTCTTGTAAAAAGTCTCCTCCCTTCTCTGTCTCCCTCCTTCCTTTTAATGAGGAAACATAACATGTTTGTATACATTGTGATTAAGGATAGACTTGGACTTTGTAACACTATATTAGTGTCTTTTATGGCCCATGCTTTCTCTCCTATATTCCTCCTTGTCTGCTCTTTGGTGCAGTAAAAATTGAGTGGAAAAACCAGAAACAGGGAGACTTAGAAGGCTTACACCCGTAGGCACACTGGGTCTTTCTAGAGTCACCTTCATCTTTTCTGGGCCCACCTCACATGCAGAGCTTTCTGGTTTAAGACACAGCGAGATAGCTCCCTCTTCATGGCCTGTACCCACTCCCCATTGAAAGCATTGTTTCTCATTCTTTCAAAGACTGTGTTCCTTTCAAATTTTTTTTTTTTTTTTTTTTTTTTCCTGAGACAGCCTTACTCTGCCACCCAGGCTGGAGTACAGTGGTGCAATCTAGGCTCACTGCAAACTCTGCCTCCCAGGTTCAAGCAATTCCCTGCCTCAGCCTCCTGAATAGCTAATTTTTGTATTTTTAGTAGAGACAGGTTTTCACCATGTTGGCCAGGCTCGTCTCGAATTCCTGTCCTCAGGTGATCCACCTGCCTCAGCCTCCCAAAGTGTTAGGATTACAGTCATGAGTCACCACGCCTGGCCTTGAATGTTCTTATTTCCATCCCTTGCCCCCATTTAATTATTGGGCCTCCCAGTCCAACAGAGAATCACTCCTCTTGTCCTGTATTAGAAATGAAATATTCTGATGAAGGATCCGGGAAGACTGACTCCTGCTCTGCCAGTCCCACTTCCTCCATGCTGAATTCCCAAAGGAGATCCATGCAAGGAACAGTAGCCTGTTAGGAAATGGAACTTACCAACTGTATCTCATCATTACTGAGTTGGTGCCTGTTTCCCTAATTCAGGCCCTCTGCTGAAGATGAGTTTGATGACATGACTCTTGGATGACCATAATTTATTGTCCAAACTGGGAAACTCTGTAGAATAAAAATGAGTGAAAGAAAGGGTCTGCCATTAATAATCATACCAAGAAACCATGAAGATCAGTATATGCTGTCCTGCTTTTTAGATCAGACTCAAGCAAGACTTCTACTGCCCTCTGGAGGCTGCAACCAAATCTCAGGCTATTACCCTCTGCCCTGTCCCATAGCAGAAGAACAAAGTCACAAAAAGAGAGGGCAATGAAGGTCCCAGCTTTAAAAGAAACATTTATCATGTCCACTAAATAAGGTTGGCCAGCTAATGTCTGGGACTCTGACTCATCCAATTAGCAACGGCCTCTCTTTTGCTGGGGAACTTTAGAAAGGGGGTGGGAAGGGCAGTTGTCAAAGTAAGCTTTCTCATCAGGAAGAGAAAACAGAGTTTTCCTCCCTGTACAGTTCTCTACTGTGAGAGTTCCTGTCTTGGCTTTCCCTCATCACCTGCTAGCCTTCCCTTGTTTGCTACCGAAGAGTTCAATTCCTTGTAGTTGGTTTGCTGACCCCATCTCCTTGGTGTGCTCTCCATTCCATCTTCTCTGCACTGAGTCTCACAATGGTCTCTGACCTACCCTCTCAAAGGGCCCCACTAGTGTTCTAGTAACTTTCCTGTATGCCTCTTGTATTTGCCTTTTCTATTCTTGGCAGAGGGTTAGAACAGAACTCAGAGCAAGATGTTGATTCTGGTTCAGAATATGATGATAAATTCACTGACATTAATATCAGGGGAAAAACAGATGTTTGAATCTGGAGCAGCCTGTGAAATGAAAAACAACTTAGAAAAGATACAGGGAAATCCTTTAGGAAAGAACATAAATAGCAAGAGATCTCATGTGAAAACAACTAAGGATTAAAAACAAAAATCTCCACAAGTTAGGGAGGCCAGAAATATAAGGGATTTGGACAAAGATTCAGTTCCAGCTCCAACTTAGTTCAACATCACAAGGTTTCCATAGAACGCAAAGCTGTAAATATGGTGAATGTGGTAGAGTTCCCCTGCATCTAGCTTTTCATCATTGAGAGAGAATTCACAGTGGGGTAAGGTTCTGTCAATGTGAGTGTGGGAAGTCCTTCACTCTGAGCTCTATCCCTTATGCCCCACCAGAGGAGACATTCTGGGGCTAGACTCCCCTGAAAGATTTGCCCAACTGTGGAAAATCTTTCAGCCAGATTTCATATCTTAGGCAACATCAGCAAGTGCATACTGAAAAAAAATCCTATGTATGTAATGAGCATGGGCAAGTTTTAACCTGGAGCTCAGCCGTTGCTGCCCATCAAAGAGTCTACATCAGGGAGTGCTCAATAGGGCCAGGGGCCTCATGGTGCAACTCAGGGCAGGGTTGGAGAAACCATTTGAGGGGCATTGAGTATGGGAAAGGCTGAAGTGGGCACCAGAGGCCGTGCCTGCATCAGCAACCACACTGGGGAGAAACATGTGAATGTGAGGTGTGTGGGAAAATCTCAGAGCAGAAACCTGACAAGGCACCCACACTGGGAGAAACCCTAAGGAAGCAGTGGGTCATGGCTTTGCCACTCTCCCTGCAGGCTTCTCCCCACTGCAGCTTCTGTGATGTGAGAGGAGACCTCTGACCCAGAGGAAGCCTTCCCCACACTCACTGCGCTGAGTGCTTCTCCCCAGGGGGATTTGCTGGTGGGCACCAAGAGCAGAACTCAGAGTGAAGGAATGTTTGCCCACCTTCACTACACACATAGAATTTCATTCCAGTGCATGATTTCTGACATTTCCTAAGGCCTGAAATCCGCTCTAAAGACTTCCTATAACCAGAACAGGTATAGCCTTCTCCTCTGAGTGACTCCATTGGTGGGTGAGCAGCAGGGATGGAGCAGAGGAAGAAGGCTTTCCCACACTTGCTGGAGGTTCTCTCCAGTGTGGAGTTTCTGATGCTGACCCAGGCTTGAAATTTGACTGAGAGCTTTCTCATGCTCCTCACCTACATAGAGTTCTCTGTGATTTGGATTTCCCGATGCCTCAGGATAGATGAGCAATGAACGGAGGCCAAGGTCTTGAGGTATCTGCAGACATCAGAATTGCTCCGCTGCCCAGAGGTAGTTCTAGGTGAGCCTGCTTGAAATCTGACCAGAAATGCCTTCTTGGAAATGACTAGCAAAACCATGCTTTGGGGATTTGCCCTTCTTTTTTTGTCAAAAGGTTATTTGGTCTCCTCACTATAAAAACTGGTTCAAGAGTTATGTTGGCTGGAAGAAACAAAGCATTTTGATCACATAAAGACAGTATAGCTCTTTCTCACTTTCCCATTAAGCAGTTGCTTAAATGATAGCAATAAAAGGGCCTTCAGAGTTGACTGTGGATACAATAATATGGGTTTTTATTTTTCTTTAAATTTTTTTTACAGACAGGGTCCCACTATGTTGCCCAGGCTGGTTTCGGACTCCTGAGTTCAAGAGATCGTCCTGCCTTAGCCTCTGAGTAGCTTCTGAGTGCTAGCTGACTACAATGGCACCTGGAGCCCAGCACAATAATAACTTTTAAAAAATAGCTTGGGCCAGGCGCAGTGTCTCACACCTGTAATCACAGCACTTTGGGAGGCCAAGATGGGCAGATCAACTGAGGTCAGAAGTTCGAGACCATCCTGGCCAACATGGTGAAACCCCATCTCTACTAAAAATACAAAACTTAGGCAGGCCTGGTGGCAGGCGCCTATCATCCCAGCTACTTGGGAGGCTGAGACAGGAGAATCGCTTGAACTCCGATCGGGAGGTGGAGGTTGCAGTGAGCCGAGATTGCACCACCGTACTCCGGCCTGGGTTACAAGAGTGAAACTCCATCTCAGAAGAAAAAAAAAAAAAAAAGCTTGCCCACTCCAAGTTTTAAGCTCATTGGCATTTCTCTGTCACAAACAAGAAACTTCAGAACTCTGAAGCATGACACCAAAGCCTCTCCGTGCTCTGGTTCACACCCTCTTTTCTGGCCTCCTATACCCACTGCCCCTCACCTTGTTCTCAGGGCAAACCTATCCACAGGAGATGAAATCTCACCAGAAGTTCCCGTTGGAACCACCAATCTGCCTCTGTCACCCATGCTTAACCAACTGAGAGGAAAGCAGCAACCACTCTTTCTGTACCTTGGGCTACATTTATAGGGCCCAGTCCTTTTACATCCCCGGTTCCCACTAACGATGCTTTTTTTTTTTTTTTTTTTTTTTGAGACAGGGTCTCACTCTGTTGCCCAGGCTGAAGTGCAGTGGTGCGATCACAGCTCACTGTAGCCTCGACCTCCTGGGTCCAAGCGATCCTCCCAACTCAGCCCCTCCAGTAGTTGGGACTACAGGCACGTGCCCCATGCCTGGCTAATTTTTGTATTTTATGTAGAGATGAGGTTTCGCCATGTTGCCCAGGCTGGTCTTGAACTCCTGAGCTCAAGCAATCCACCCACCTTGGCCTTCCAAAGTGCTGGGATTATAGGTGTGAGCCACTGTGCCTTGTCTGGTTCTTAACAATCTTTAATGTCAATGGGGGAAAGAAGAGATTTGGTCCTTGTTCCTCCAAGCGTGGCCCTCAGACTAACAGCTCTCCACCACCTGGGAGCTTGTTGGAAATACAGGCTTGTTGTGACACATTGAGGTGAAAAATAAAATTTTAAAAAGATAATAATACTAATACTAATAATAAGAAGAAATGCAGGCTCTGAGGCCCTACCCTAGTCCCACAGTATCAGAATCTTCTTTTTAACAGGCTCGCCAGGTGATTTGTTTGTACCTTCACATCTGAGAAGCACTGGTCTGGATGAAAACTTTTATTTACAATTCCTACTTCATCTCTAGGATCACTGATAGTCCCAAGGAGGAGAGATTGAGAAGCAAAGGGCACATAACAAGGTTAACGTCATCTCCTTGACAGCAACTAGCAGGTCATGCTGGAAGCTGTGGGCTCTAAAATCCCAAGGCAGAGGAGAAGGAAGCTGAAACCAGTGGAACCATTGGCCAGCCTTGGGGCCAAACATAACTGGGGGTGGAGCAGTTTTTTGTACAGCCCCACTCTCCAGTCAGGCAGAGGCCAACCTTATAACCTTATTGGTACAAACTGAAGAGGAGGTTTCTACTACCTTTTTCATAAGAAATCAGTTGGAAACCTTTCCACGGGGCCAAAACAAATTTAGAGCAGTGCTTCTCAACTTTAATGCATGGAAGCACCACTTGGGAGCTTTGCAAAAATCCAATGCCTGAGCACCACCTACAAGATTCTGATTTAATCGGTTTGAAATAAGGTAGAGAATTGCATTTAAAAAAATCTCCCTGTCTCTGCAGCCCAGGCATGGCCAATGTGGGCATAGCATCCCAACCCTGGGAGCACCCCGGTGGAGCAGGCTGCCTGGCACAGAGGAGCCAACTGGGCCCGTGGTGGTGGGTGAGGGGCCAGGCTGGAGCCGTGGTGGCAGAGCTGCAGGGTCCTTCATGATGAGAGATTGGGGGCACTTATATCTCCTCTGCGTAGTTGATAGTTTGGGTACTGACGACATGGCTGACAGTGTCAAAACCTTTCTCCAGGACCTTTCCAGGGGAGTCAAAGACTTCATCTGGGATATTTGTACCATCTCCAGCTAGACACTCCAATCCATCAAAAGAGGGGAGCAGCGTGGAAGAAGGGCAAGCATTGTCCTGGCACAGAGAATACCCCAGAGTATAGAGTGGGAGCAAGAGAGTGAGCCAGCAAGTGTTAGTAGAATTTTCCAGTGTTGCGCTTGGAGGGGTGGACTGCTCTGGTTCAGTCTACTCTTGCTTTATCGGGTGTTTATTCCTGGGCTTCAGTGAGTAACAGCGTGAATTACTTATGATCCATCACTGTGTGGAGATGCTTGGTCATGGCTGGAATTTTTCCTCGTATAAATTTCCAGGCCTTTGGGTGCTCCCCTTGTACATGCCTAGCAAAGTTGTGAATGCCATGTGGTTCCAAGATACAGCTGACCTGGCATTTGAAGCATCAGGGAGGAAGCCTCACCCATTCCCTAGTGTCCACAAAATAACTGCTGACATGCTCTCCAATCTTTTGCTGCAGGCTCTTTTCCCCATTCAAGGAATGTCTGTGAGTCTCTTTCCCACCCACCTTGTTGGTCAGCTGGTTACTCTCCGGCGTTTGTCTCTTCTTGACTCATTCTACTGCTTCAAATATGGTTGGTTCAGTAAAGGAATTGAAATGCACCAGCGGTTCCTCTAACACAGAGAGGAACTGGCTTTACTACTTTGGGTTTGGTTTTTTTGGCTTTTCTCACAGCAATGCAGTCCTCATATATTTTCCATGGCTGCCTTTTCTCTATCCTCTTTCCTTTATTCATTATCAGTGCAATGAGGCAAAGATCCCCGGCCAAGCATACCTCTTTGAGTTGCACCTCTCCTCCTTCGTGGTCTTCTTAAGCAACAGACTCTTCCACAAGACACTCTCACCTGCAGTCTGCCTTGAGCAGCTCAGCCTCTGCAGAGAAGTTCCCTTCACCACATATGTCTCTACCCAGATTGAAGGCTACTGAAGGCCTGAGTCACCTGCCATCGAGGGGATGGGTGGGATTGGAAGGAGGCTGTGGCAGCTCTTTTCCCATTTTACCTCCCCCTGCCAGGAAAGGCACGATTCATCCTGCCAAAGGCCCTCTGCATATTCCCTCTCTGAGGAATTGGAATCTTTATCTCTGGTGCACGTAAGGTAGAATCTTCCTGACACCAGCGTGTGGATTTTTAACACCACTGAGAGTCTGAAAGGACCACAGTTTTTTTAGTTTTAGTTTTTTTTTTTTTACAGCGATTTTTCTAGCATTTGCCAGTCCCTATGGCTGGATTGATTTGAATATTTTGTTTTTCTCCCTGTGCCATTTACCTTCCCACCTTTCCTTCCTGCCTTCTACCACCCTTGGGTGAATGAAATTTGTAATTCCAGCTGTTGCATTTTGTGGATTTGTTATTTTTGTCGTTTTTCTGTGAAGCACAAACATTGGATGTGGGAGGTAAAGGAGTGTCTCAGTTGCTCCTGGTCACTCCCTTTATAGCCATCACTGTCTTGTTTCTTGTAACTCAAGTTAGGTTTTGGTCTCTCTTGCTCCACTGCCAAAAAAAAAAAAAAAAAAAAAAAAGGTCTGAAGAGATGGGACAGGAAGAAAGAGAAAGACCTCACAGCCAGATCTTCAGACCTTCTGGGTTTTGGGGAGAGATTTTCTTTCTTCCCTTTGAAGGAGAAAAAGCTATTTTCACTGGTACATTTAAACTCCCCCAACTAGGCAGAGGTACCAATTCTGGACAAGTGCCACTGCAACACAATGCTCAGAGAGCTTGAACTTTTCATCTCTGTTGTGGGGTGCAGGGTAGAAATTTACTGTTGGCCACTGCTGGGTCTGTTTCATATTTCAAAGGAATATTGGGTGCTGGGGGCTACAAAGAGGAATTGAAGGGGTAAATTTTTTAAACTAATTAAACCTGTGATTGGTTGATGTTTTCCTGTCGTTTTAAGAGACTAAATGTGGGGGGCAGATGTCAAAATACTTGTACAATTTCAAAATGTCACAATGAAACGTGAGCTGGTTACACACACACAAATTTTCCCAGTGTTTTCTAAGTGCAGCTAAGGTTGAACTACCAATTTAGAGGTCTCCGGAGTGGTTCTCCAAGCATGGTGCCCCAAATGGCTGTGTCACCTGGGAACCAGTGATGAAGGCAAGTTCTCAGGTCCCTCCATAGACCTACTCAATCATAAATGTGAAAGTGGGGTCCAGTGATCAGAGTTTTAACACGCTCTCCAGATAAGACTACTGTGTTTCCGAACCATGTCATAAAGGCCAAAGAAACACACACAGGATGCAACTTGAAGGTCCCTTTTGTGGATTCCTGTAATAACCTACATGTGTTATTGAACCCCGATATTTAGATCCATGTACCTGATGTGCAGTAAGCCAAACACTGACACATCAGCACTTAGGAGCAGAGAAAGGTTTATTTAATTTGACCAAACAGAGTGGGTGAGAGACACTCAGAACCAAGTCTTATGTTCAAAGATTTCCCTTTGAACATAACTGGGGGCTTTTCTGAGTAAGGTAGGTAGGCAGGAGGTGGAATGCCTGACAATCAAAGCTGTTTGCATCTCTTGGTCTGATCAAACTTCTGGATGCCATCAAGAAGGTCTGCATCACCTAAGACTCATTGTGATTTATTTATTGTCACGTATGTCCATATAGAAGACCACCTAAACAGGCTTAGTGTGAGCAACAAGGCTGTTTATTCACTTGGGTGCAAGTGGGCTGAGTCCAAAAAGAGAGTCAGCGAAGGGAGATAGGAGAGGGGCAACTTTACAGGACTTGGGTAGGCAGTGGAAAGTTACAGTTGAAGGTGGTCATCTGTTGTCAGCAGGGGGAGGAGGTCACAACGTGCATGGTGGGGAGATCATGAGATCCATTGTCCTGGAGAAAAATGTCATAAGGTCGATTGATCAGTTAGGGTAGGGCAGGAACAAGTCATAATGGTGGAATGTCGTAAGTTTGGTTAATCAGTTAAGGCTGAAACTGGCTGTTTCATTTCTTTTGTGGTTTCTCGGCTGCTCCAGACTTCTTGGCTCCTGCAGGCCGTCTGGATGTATACGTGCAGGTCACAGGGGTTACAATGGCTTAGCTCCGGCTCAGAGGCCTGACATTTATTTGTTTGTTTATTTTTAGAGACAGGGTCTTGCTCTGTCACACAGGCTGGAGAGTAGTGGTGGAATCATAACTTACTGCAGTCTGCAACTCCTAGACTCAAGTGATCCTCCTGAGTCGCTAGAGTTACAGCACATCCAGCTAATTTTTTGATTTTTTTTTTTTTTTGTAGGGAGGGTCTTCCTCTGTTGCCCAGGCTGGCCTCAAACTCCTGGGCTCAAGCAATCCTCTTGTGTTGTCAGCCACCCAGAGTGCTGGGATCACAGGTGTGAGCCACATGCCTGGTCTCCTTGTTCTTTAAAAGAAAAACAAGGCCAGGCACGGTGGCTCACACCTGTAATCCCAGCACTTTGGGAGGCCAAGGCAGGCAGATCACGAAGTCAGGAGTTCGAGACCAGCCTGACCAACATGGTGAAACCCCATCTCTACTAAAAATACAAAAGTTAGCTGGGCGTGGTGGTGTGCACCTGTAATCCCAGCTACTTAGGAGGCTGAGGCAGGAGACTTGCTTGAACCCGGGAGGCAGAAGTTGCAGTGAGCCGAGATCTCACCACTGCACTCCAGCCTGGGTAACAGAGCGAGACTCTGTTTCAAAAAAAAAAAAAAAAAAAAGAAAGAAAAACAAGTTTATCAATCTTGCAGGCAGCCACAGGGGTTAGGATATGAAATTAATCAATTACTAGTGACTACCCTCTACTGAAGTGACTATGTGCAAGCATGCATGGAGGAAGGAAAAAAAAAAGTAAAACAGCTTATGATTCTTTTAATAAAGTCTTGGTTACATATGTTCTAAAAAGAACTTAAAGAGCTTAATCTAAACTCCAATTTGTTTAATGCCATGGCCAGCAAGCTTCATAGGGGATTTTGAAATCTGCCTTGGAAAGGTCTCATAGAACTTGTTTCAACCTCTTGAAGAACCTTGATAAGGGTATTTTTGTTTTTTGGTTTTTCTGTGTTTTGTTTTCACAGGAAATATGCCAAGTCCAAAAGGAGATCCCCCTACCTCCTTCATACCCATTATATCCATTTTCTCTTCAGTAAGACCTTCAGGACCTGAACTGCCAGCCTTCCATCAGCCCCTCATTTATTCTGGCCCCTCAGTATTAGTCACTCCAAATTCACTGTGTGGAGTGAGAACTCCAGTTGGCTCAGGAGGCTTATTTCCTCTTCCCTCCCGCTTTTCTCCCTTCTTGGAGAATTGGCTCAGCAGATCTGAATGGGCTTAGCAAAAAACAGGCTGATACCAGCCTTGAAGTTGAGATTCTGCTAACAAAAGCTGTACCTCCCTGCAGGAAGCTCCCATTTACATAGGCAAGCACCTTGCTGGTGTCTGTGGGTGATCCCTATTGATACATAGACCATTGTGGGATGGCACAGTATCTTTCTGGAGCCCTTTCCATGATGGGTGGAATCCTGGTATTTTTCTTTTTAAGCACTCTTCTCTGGGGGATGATGGGAACTCGGGAGCTCCTGTAAGGTCTATTTCTTTATTTGTTTGTGCCTCGTTCTCCTGCTCCTGAACTCTATAGCAGTAGTGGTGAGGATGTCTGTGCCACTGAGGGACTGTCTCTCTTCTGTTGTGTGTCCCCACAAGGAAGCAGAACAGAGCCTAGACATGGGCACTGCAGGTGTCTGGAGTTCAGCAGTGATACAGGACAAATGTCCCACTCTGTCTCTCTAGAATGTCTCTGTCCTCTAAAAGAATTAAGATAGGCTGGGCGCAGTGGCTCACACCTGTAATTCCATCACTTTGGGAGGCCAAGGCGGGCAGATCATGAGGTCAGGAATTAGAGACCAGCCTGGCCAATATGGTGAAACCCCATCTCTACTAAAAATACAAAAATTAGCCGGGCATGGTCGTGCACACCTGTAGCCCCAGCTACGCTACCTGGGAGGTGGAGGCAGAAGAATCACTTGAACCCGGGAGGCAGAGGTTGCAGTGAGCTGAGATCACGCCACTGCACTCCAGCCTGGCAACAGAGTGATACTCCGTCTCAAAAAAAAAAAAAAAAAAAAAAAAGAATTAAAATAGATTCCAGTTTTCCTTTCTTCAGAACTTTGCCTCTTTTCCTTTTTTTTTTAAAAAAAAAAAATCTTCTCCCCTGCCTTTGCTGTCTTTTCATTTCTTTTCTTTCTTACTTTTCTTTTCTTTTTTTTTTTTTTTTTTGAGGAAGTCTCATTCTTGTCACTCAGGTGGAGTGCAGTGGTGCGATTTTGGCTCACTGCAACCTCCGTCTACTGGGTTCAAGTGATTCTCCCGCCTCAGCCTCCCGAGTAGCTGAGATTACAGGTGCTAATTTTTGTATTTTAGCAGAGACAGAGTTTCACCATGTTGGTCAGGCTGATCTCGAACTCCTGACCTCAAATGATCCACCCATCTATCCCCCCACTCCCCTGAACCTTAACTAGCATTAGTTTATAACAGACGACCTGCAAAACTTACAAAGATAGCTCTCCAAAGAAGTGTCCTGAGAGTTGCCAAAAAGAAATTGCACCAAGGATCCAGAGAAACAGGCATTAATAATCGAACACATGCTTCCATTCCAACCCTAAGCTTCACAGCAGTTACACATAAAGAAAACTGTAGCCAGAAGCAAGAGCACAATCTGTAGCCTTCTCTTCTCACCTTACAAAAACTCCAATGTTTCTTTGGCTCAGAGATTTGCCTCATTTCGAGGTGCTCACTGATACACACATAAGCTGAATACAGCCTTTACCGACTATTTTATTCACTTTAGTTTGCTTTCTTTTTTTTTTCTTTTTTTTTTGAGACAGAGTCTCACTTTGTCACCCAGGCTGGAGTGCAGTGGCCACGGTCTTGGCTCACTGCAACCTCTGCCTCCCGGATCCAAGCAGTTCTCTGCCGCAGCCCCCCGAGTAGCTGGGATTACAGGCGCCCACCACCATGCCTGGCTAATTCTTGTATTTTCAGTAGAGGCAGGGTTTCACCATCTTGGCTAGGCTGTCTTGAACTCCTGACCTCGTGATCCATCCGCCTCGGCCTCCCAAAGTGCTGGGATTACAGGCGTGAGCCACCGCGCCTGGCCAGTTTGCTTTCTTGACAGTAACATTAGACTTGGTGCCAGAAGGAACTTGGAACATAAGTCTGTTCAACATTCTTTGGAGAACAAGAATCTCAATATAGTTCCCTGCATCCCAGGTAAACTATCGCCCTTTCATAACCTATAAATTGATAATAAAGGGGTATAACTGCAGCTGACACAGACAGAAATAGGGAGCTACCAGAAGCTGTAGGCAAGCAACACTGAGGTAATGAGTTCAGGGTTTTCCAGATAGCAGAAAAGGAAAACCAAGCCAGGGTACAGTAGTTTGTGCCTGTAATCCCAGCACTCAGGGAGATGGAGGCAGGAAGATCGCTTGAGCCCAGCTTGGGCCACATAGCGAGAACATTCCTGTTCTCCACAAAAGGAAAAAGAAAGAAAAGGAAAAACCAGCTTTGAACGAAGCAGTGACTGACAGTGCAATTTTATAGTACAAGTTAAATTTATATCATTGTAATTTTACCCTAAACATATCTTTAACAAATATGAAAAAGGTAGCTATTGGTATGTAAATGTAAGGTATTTTTATGACTAAATCACGTGCTCTTCTCACTTCTCTGCTCTGTATGCAGAAAAAAGGTCACTTATAAAGGTCACACCTATGAAGAGCTGTTGGACTTATAATTGCCTCAGAGAACCATTGCTGTTTTTACTTTTGACAATGCTGAATTTTACCTGAGCCCTGTGATTCTGGTTAACAGTGAAGGTTAAGAAATCTCCTCACTCTCCTGTGTTCCAGAAAATGACTTTCTACACAGAACCACCCTTCCCCATGTGACTTACGTAAGACTCCCAGATACCTCCAGTTTACCGATGACAAGGCCAGACACAGACCCTCCAAATTCCCATTCTTTGCCCCATGAATGATTAGCTAAAATGCTTGTCCCCACTGATCAAGTGGAACAAAATACCTGAGAGCCAAACTTTCCTCAGGCTTCTCTCCTTCCTACGGGTCCCAGAATTCTGCCTGACTCCACACCTAAGTGAATACAAACAGTGGAATAAACCCCTTTATCAGCCTCTCCTGGGAACTGGCACACCACAGGAAGATACCGTCCTGTCAGACCTCACTGGTTATTTCCGTTTGCTTGTCCAACTTCCCCTCAAAGATTCTGCTTATCTCTATTTACCTCCTCCTTGCCCTATACGAGAGAAACTTCTTCCTTTTGATTTGGAGACACTTGCATATCTTATGGTCACAGTGTGGAGTGTGTTGGGGTGTGGACTTAATCAGATGCTCAAAAAGAGGAACTGATCAGCTTCTAGCCAGGATCTCAAACTGAATCAAAGCAGCATTTTAAAAAGCATTTGCAGCTGGGTGCGGTGGCTCACGCCTGTAATCTCAGCACTTTGGGAGGCCGATGTGGGTGGATCACCTGAGGTCGGGAGTTCAAGACCAGCCTGACCAACATGGAGAAACCCCGTCTCTACTAAAAATACAAAAAATTAGCCAGGTGTGGTGGCGAGTGCCTGTAATCCCAGCTACTTGGGAGACTGAGGCAGGAGAATCACTTGAACCCAGGAGGCAGCTGCAGTGAGCCGAGATCGTGCCATTGCACTCCAGCCTGGGCAACAAGAGTGAAACTCCTTCTCAAAAAAAAAAAAAAAAAAAAGAATTTGCTTGCCTGGCGTGGTGGCTCACGCCTGTAATCCCAGCACTTTGGGAGGCCGAGGTGGGCAGATCACAAGGGCAAGAGATCAAGACCATCCTGGCCAACATGGTGAAACCCTGTCTCTACTAAAAATACAAAAATTAGCTGGGCGTGGTGGCATGTGCCTGTAGTCTCAGCTACTCGGGAGGCTGAGGCAGGAGAATCGCTTGAACCTGCGAGGTGGAGGTTTCAGTGAGCCAAGATCACACCACTGCACTCCAGCCTGGCGACAGAGCAAGACTCTGTCTCAAAACAAAACAAAAAGCATTTGCTTTTTTATATTATATTTATGTTACAAGCAGTACCTTCAGCAGAACCAGCAGCACGCTTATGCTGGGAACATCGGTGATGTGTGTATTTGTTAATGGCTGCCAGTGTTGAAATGATACTTTGCTGTGACCCCCACTTCAGGAGTATGGACCGCTATGTCTGTTGGGGGAGGAATGGAACAATGAAGCAAGTAGCCTAATTATCAAACTATAACTGGGGATAGGTGCCTGTTTCTGGTCCCTGTCAATCTAAGAGGAATGTTGACAAAAGAAACTTTAACCAAAAGAGACTTATCAGGCCTGGACAGGATGCATGAGAAAAAACTTTGATATCTTGCAATTTCACTACAGTGTGTCTAGGTGCAGATTTATATTTATTTATCCTGTTTAGGATTTACTGGGCTTTCTGAATCTAAGGATTTTGGTTTTTCAATAATTTTGGAAAATTAACAGCTATTCTATCTTTGAATACATGTGGTTAATTTTTTTCTTTTCTGGAACTCCTAATAGCTGTAGGCGAAACCTTATAATTTCTTCCTCTATGTCTCTTAGACTCTTTCATATTTTCTTTTTGTGTGTGTGAACCTCTGGATTCTATTGAAACTTTCGTATTTTAAATCTCTACATCTCTGTGCAGGAGAGTTTTCAGGTCATCTAATATGCAAAATTACTTGAAACAGAAGTCCTGCCCACAACTGTTGATTGGTTTAGAAATGGGCATGCAACCAGCTGGGCACGGTGGCTCACGCCTGTAATCCCAGCACTTTGGGAGGCCGAGGCGGGCGGATCATGAGGTCAGGAGATTGAGACCATCCTGGCTAACACGGTGAAACCCCGTCTCTACTAAAAATACAAAAAATTAGCCGGGCGTGGTGGCGGGCGCCTGTAGTCCCAGCTACTCAGGAGGCTGAGGCAGGAGAATGGTGTGAACCTGGGAGGCAGAGCTTGCAGTGAGCCAAGATCGCGCCACTGCACTCCGGCCTGGGCGACAGAGCGAGACTCCATCTCAAAAAAAAAAAAAAAAAAATAGAAATGGGCATGCAACCTCAATTGACCAACCAAAGCCTTTTCCTGAGATTCTTTTGAATTAGAACTAAAGGCAAAGCTATTAGATGTGTTCTAACCAACTTTCTAGTCTCTGGTTTCAGGGATTTCTAAGATCCAGCTGCACCCCTGCTGCTCAAGTGTTTATGTAAGATACTTCCTCTTTTGCTCCAAGTAGTTTGATCTGTGGCTCTTACGTATGATGAAGAGAGTCCTAACTAATGCGTAGGATTATTTCAAAATTTCCAAGTACCATTTCAGAGAGGGAGTGAGGAACTGCAGATGAAGGATAGTGTGGGAAATTTAAGAGATTTTTAAAAACTTTGTATAGTCATTATCTATGTGTTGCTATATAACAGATTATCCCCAAACTTGTGGCTTAAACAACAAACACTGCCTGTATCACCGTTTCTGTGGGTCAGACATTCAGGAGTAGCTTAGCTGATTTGTTCTTGCTCAAAGTCTGTCCTGAGATTTTAGCTGTGATGTTGACCGGGGCTGTCATCATCTTAAGGCTCAACTGGCTCTGGAGGAGCCACTTCCAAGATGGTTCACTAATGTGACCGTTGAAGAGGGGCCTGAGTTATTCGCTAGCACTTGGCAGGAGTCCTCAGTCTCTTGCCACGTGGGCCTTCCATGATGCTGCTTAAGTGTTCTCAAGGCATGGCAGCTAGCACCCTTTAATGTGAGTGATCTCAGAAACAGAGGACAAAGGAAGCCATAGACATTTTATAACCTAGTCTTGGAAGTGAGCCATCATCACTTCTGCCTTATTCTATTTGTTAGAAGCAAGTCACTAAGTCCAGCTCCATCTCTTGAAGGGAGAAGTAGCAAAAAATTGTGGACATATAGTTGACCCTTGAATAACTTAGGGGTTAGGAATACTGACCCACCATGAAGTAGAAAATCTGCATATAACTTTTGCCTCCCCCCAAATTTAACTACTAATCATCTACTGTTGACCAGAAGCCTTAGAGATAACATAAACTGTTAATTAACACATATTTTGTATGTAACATGTATTATAGACAGTATTCTTACAATACAGTAAATTATGAAAAGAAAATGTTAATGAGAAAACTGGGCAGGTGTAGTGGCTCATTCCTGTAATCCCAGCACTTTGAGAGGCCCAGGCAGGATTGTATGAGGACTGGAGTTCAAGACCAGCCTTGGCAACATAGTGAGACTCCATCTCTACAAAAAATTTTTAAAAAAATTAGCTGGGCATGGTGGCATGCACCTGTGGTCCTAGCTACTTGGGAGGTTGAGACAAGAGGAACCCTTGAGCCCAGGAGTTTGAGGCTGCAGTGAGCTGTGATCATGCCACAGCCTCAGCAACAGAGTGAGATCCTATCTCAATTAAAAAAAAAAATCTTCTCACACCTGTAATCCCAGCACTTTGGGAGGCCAAGGTGGGAGGATGACTTGAGCCCAGGAGTTCGAGAGCAGCCTGGGCAATATGAAGAGATCCCATTCCTACAAAAATTTTGCAAATTAGGCATGTGTGGTGGTGTACACTTGCGGCCCTGGCTACTCCAAAGGCTGAGATGGAAGGATTGCTTGAGCTAGGGAAGGTGAGGCTGAAGTGAACTATGATTGCGCCACTGCACTCTAGCCTGGGTGACAGAGCAAGATCCTGTCTTAAAAAAAAAAAAGTCATAAGGAAGAGAAAATATATTTACTATTTATTAAGGGGAAGTGGATCATCATATAAGCCTTCATCCTCACTGTCTTCACATTGAGTAGGTTGAGGAGGAAGATAAAGAGTAGGGGCTGGTCTTGCTGTCTCAGAGGTGGCAGAGGCAGAAGAAAATTCATGTATAAGTTGACCCAGGCCATTCAAATCCATGTTGTTCAAGGGTCAACTGTATTTGAAAAACACAATGTCATTCCTCCATGGGTTATAAAGGTCACGTTAGCCCCGGTACTCCATCCAGACCACCATTCCACCTGAATTTACAACCTTCCTTCTTGGGAGGATCCTAATGTCAGTCTTTATGCACTCACTACTCCTCATGTCAGGAATTACACCCATGTTTGCCAGTCACGAAACCTGCATGTTGGTCATGGCCAAGGCTGGAAGGCCTGATGAATTGTAACATTTCCTCCAGATCCCAGACAAACCTCAGATGGGTTGCCCCAGACCTCATCACTGACCCATATCCTTCACATGATGGCAGCAGATACTATGCGCACACTTCACAGGAGTCCCTCGTTTACACCAGTCATGGTGTTCAGCAGGGAGATGCCTCACCCCTGTGACTACCCAGCCATTTGATTTCTGTCTATTGTCTGCAGTCTGTCTCCTGATTTGGAAGGAACAGTTGAGGCATTCTGACTCTGTATTTAACTGTTCTCTGCCACCGTCCGCTGATTGATGACTATACATAAAGTGTCAACTGGATACTCAATGGTACACATCTTCCTACTAACAACTCCCCTAGTGCTTTCATCTTGCCTTTTATAAGTCTGCATCCAACTTGTTACACTCTAACACCCCAACAGAACAACTATGGTTTCTGTATCTCCCTGCTTCTCTGCACCCACTTCCTCCACTAACATCCTAGCGGCCAGGCCATACAAGACAAACTATTTTCTGCTGGTCTTGACATTAAGGTAACCAGAGCCAGGCCATGTGGGAGATCATAAGCACAGGACACATCCAGCTCTCCTTTTAGCAAGCAACCCATTCATCTCCAACCCACTCAGAGAACAATGACATAGGCTTGTTGAGAATAAAAGAGGCCCTTAACCCCATGGCCCTCTGACACCAGCTGTCCCCACCTTGTCAATCCACCTCATCTTTCTGACAGCAAGGCCAATCCTGAATCGTTCATATGGTCCAGCAACTAAAGGGTTAATTGGGTGATTGGGGGAGGGGCTAAAGGAGCTGTTTTTCCACCTTGTCTCCTTCTACCTATGAGGAGGGGCTGCAGGAAGGGAAAGAAATTGACCTCCTCAACGACTTCCTTCCAGTTCACAGACAGAACTGTTTCAGTTCTGTTACCTAGGTCTCTTTTCTTCTCAGGGATGATATTTAAAAGATTAACAACCAGTGGCTGGGCGCCATGGCTCACTCCTGTAATCCCAGCACTTTGGGAGTCCTAGGCAGGTGGATCACCTGAGGTCAAGAGTTCAAGACCAGCCTGGGCAACATGGCAAAACCCCATCTCTACCAAAAAAAAAAAAAAAAAACTTATCCGGGTGTGGTGGTGTGCGCCTGTAGTCCCAGCTACTCAGGAGGCTGAGGTGGGATGATGGCCTGAGCCCAGCAGGTGGAGGTTGCAGTGAGCTGAGATCCTACCACTCACTGCACTCCTGCCTGGGCGATAGAGCCAGACTTTGTCTCAAAAATAAATAAATAAGCCGGGCACAGTGGCTCATCTTGTAATCCCAGCACTTCGGGAGGCAGAGGCAGGCGGATCACCTGAGGTCAGGAGTTCAACACAAGCCTGGTCAAGATGGTGAAACCCCATCTCTACTAAAAATACAAAAATTAGCCAGGCATGGTGGCACATGCCTGTAATCCCTGCTACTCAGGAGGCTGAGGCAGGAGAATCGCTTGAACCCGGGAGGCGGAGGCTGCAGTGAGCCAAGATCGCGCCACTGCACTACAGCCTGGGTGACAGAGTGAGACTCCATCTCAAAATAAATAAATAAATAAATAATTATAAATAAGGCTGGGCGCTGTGGCTCACACCTGTAATCCTAGCACTTGTGGGAGGCCGAGGTGGGCAGATCACCTGAGGTCAGGAGTTCGAGATCAGCCTGGCAGACATGACAAATCCTGGCTCTACTAAAAATGCAAAAATTAGCTGGGGATGGTGGCCTGTGTCTGTGGTCCCAATTACTGGGTGGCTGAGGCAGGAGAATCACTTGAACCCAGGAGGGGAGGCGGAGGTTGCAGTGAGCCGAGATCACACCACTGCCCTCCAGCCTGGGTGACAGAGGGAGGCTCCGTCTCAAAATAAATAAATAAATAAATGAAGGAATTCCTAATGCTAAATGCCACATAATCAAACTGAAATTTTATAGAAGTATGTGAATCCCCTAACAGACCAGTTTTTCCTGCAAACAGGAGATTCATAGCAACCATTCAGAAAGGGCCCAGTTAACCCCAGTCAGCATAAGGAAGGCCCCCTCTGCTTTAATCCTTAAAAGAAAAGTAACCTGATGTTAATCAATCTATTTTTGCTATTGTTTGGTTCTCTTGTTCCCACCTTTAAAAACCCACTGTTCTGCCACATGCTGTTAGTCTACTTTATAGAAGTTTTTACTATTTTGTACCTGCTTCTCCAACTCATAATGTTACACAGCCTCTCCAGGTTGTAGCCCAAGAAGCAGCCTGCTCTTTCTCGTTCTCTCTCTTTCTTCCTTCTCTCTTTCATTCCTTTTCTCTCTTTCTCACTTCCCTCCCTCCCTTCCTCCCTTCCTTCCTTGGGTCTCGCTCTGTCGCCCAAGCTGGAGTACACTGCCCCAATCATAGCTCACTGCAGCCTCGACCTCCCCGGCCCAAGCGATCCTTCCGCCTCTGCCTCCACAGTAGCTAGGACTACAGGCGTGCACCACCAAGCTCAGCTAATGCTCTTTCTGGTCTGAGTTTTGACCCTCATCCTAACCTGTTGTTCTTTGAGTACACTCTGGGCCTTGATGCGTTGGGTCATTCCTGCTTTCCCAGGTGGTAACCGTTCCTGGGCAGGGATTTTAGTTTTCCTTGGAATCTTGCCCTCCTCACTATCCTGCCCACAACCTTCTACCCCTAGCTTCTGGGATCTCAGCTAGGAGCCATGCTATCCCCAACTCTCCCTCTACAGGGACGTGGGACGGGAGAGCTTTTATGAAGCACAGTAGTGAAAAGACCAAAAGATTTGGATTCAGTGGCTATTCCAGTTACTGACTCTATTTCCTTGGGCAACTCAAATCAATGCATGGCAGCCAGTGTGTTATGAGCTACCGGAAGTATACAGAAAAGTACCAGAAAAAATACAAGCATTATCATCAGTCGCTGTCAATTAAATAACTCTGTTACATTTCAACAGTGTTCGTAACCACTTGACATTGATGTATTTGTGTAATTTCTATTATCTGTTTTTCCCACAAAGCTGTAGCTCCATCCAAAGTGGGCAACTGAGTGTCTTGGTCAGTCATGTGCAGCCTGATGACCCTTGAACAGTTGCAAAAGTGCGCCTAGGGCTTGTAGCATTTACTTAAAAGGGGATAATAAACTCTCACGGCCAGTGCTGGGCTTATTGCCTTGTTTGGGAATTTCTCCATTCAAGGGTTTTATGTTTGGGGATGTGCTGGCCCTATTTTTTTGTTTGTTTGTTTTTTGAGACGGAGTCTGGCTCTGTCTCCCAGGCTGGAGTGCAGTGGCACGATCTCGGCTCACTGCAACCTCCGCCTCCCAGGTTCAAACGATTCTCCTGCCTCAGCCGCCGAAGTAGCTGCGATTACAGGCGCCGCGCCACCACACCCAGCTACTTTTTTTTTATTTTTAGTAGACACGGGGTTTCACCGTGTTAGCCACCGATCTCCTGACCTCGTGATCCGCCCACCTCGGCTTCCCAAAGTTCTGGGATTACAGGCGTGAGCCACCGCGCCAGGCCGCTGGCTCTATTTTCACCGCTAGCTTTGGATCCCTTTCTTCCCTGAAGGAAAAGAGGCCTCCAGGGCAGCCGTGCAGAACCGATGGGAGGGATGTAGGATAATACGCCAAAGCCGATAGAGTTCTGGAGCGCGCCTGGGCATCAGAGCGTGGAAGACAAGTGTCCGCGGAAGGAGGCGAAGGATGCTGGACAAGCCCCGCCGCCCGCCGCCCGCCGCCCGCCGCCCGCCGCCCGCCGCCCGCCGCCAGCGGCCCTGGGCCCAGGGAGAAGCAGAGATGTTGGCCCTCCCAGTTTCCTAGAGAGGCCGCAGAGGGCCCGGGGAGGCGACGCGCGTGCGCAACTGGGGAAGCTGGGAGGTAGGCGCGGGGCGGTCGGCTGCGGTGGCGGCGTTTGGATGATTGTCTCTCGGCGGCGGAGTCGGTGAGCGGCCCGGCGGGGCGCGGGGTGCGGAGCGGGGGCGGCTGTGCGTGCGAGAGTGGCAGGTGAGGCCGGGCCTGGAGGCTGCACCCGGGGCGGGGGTCTGGCCGTGGATCCCGCCCGGCCGCGCCGAGGGCATACCTCTTCGCCCCCCGGGCGTCTGGGGCAGAGAATCTGGAAAATTCCCGGTTTCTTCTGGCTTTATCTTTTCACCCAATTATGCGAATAAAGCGTACTTATTAGAGACAATTAGATAAGTGGAAGAAAAGTGAAAGTAGCCACCGTCCGGAAATCTTAGTCTCCAGGTCTCCTGACATTGAAAACATCTGGCATAGACTTCTCCCTTTTTCTTGTCTTATTTCACTTCCTGGCACCTGTCGCCGTCTAACATAGCATGTATTTGTTTATTGGTTATCTTCCCATAAGCCCCTTGCCAGGGCAGTGCTTTCTGTTTGCTTTATTAACTGCTGTTACCTTAGTGTATGGGAAATAGTAGGTGCTCCTAGAAGGTGTTTGTTAAATTAATGAAAGAAGGAATATCTAAACTGGGAGACAAGAAGAATTGACAGTTTTTAATGTCTTTTTTTTTTTTTTAAATAGCCCATTGCCAAGTTAAGAATGTAAGAGTGACCTTGAGCCTGGAACATTTCCTTGCAGAGTTAGAGCCCTCACAGCCTGTGCTGCTGCATTTAATGCCTTGTGTCTTTCAGTGTTTCAGGCTTCATGTGTACTCCTTTGTTGTGTTTAATCTCTTAAGTCAGTGGCCTTCATTCATTCTCTCAGCCTTCTGTATTTCACACCCCATAGGAGTGGGGAGGGTGGATTGAGATCTTTCTTCCTTACTAAGTGGGGTGTGTGCATCACACCAGCCCTATAGCTGTGGAGTGGATCTGCTGGGTGTGGGGGCTCTTTGCATTGCAGGAGGCTGGATCTTGTTCCCTGTTTCTCCTTTTGCTGTAAGTATACGCTGTACCTCTTGGGGCCTGATGTGGTTGGTATCTGTCCTCAGCGACCTCAAATCATGTGCTATCCCTTCCTTGGATGGCCTTTTAATCTTGGCAGCACAGCCTGGCCACCTGGTGAATAGTGGAACAGTCATGGTGATGCATAAGGATCTAGTATGTTCCTTTTAGGTGCTGTATGGTATTTCATCCTATAAAAATGCTACTTTTATTTAGCCATATTGATGGACAAGTAGGTTAAATCCAGTATTATGTTATTACAGAGAATATTTTAGTAAATACCTGTGTAAATGTCTGAATACCCGTGCAAGTGTTTTTCAGGGCAGATTCTTACAAGTTAAATTCCTGTAGCGTAAGGAATATGTCTTTTTAGTTTTACTGTGGACTTTCAAACTATCCTTCCTGTTGGCTATTACATTTCCACATCTATTAGTGGTTTGTGTTTGGTGTTTTTTTCTTTTGCTTTTCTTTTGGACAGAGATTTTTTTCATATTGATGTATTCAAATATATTCACTCTTTTCATTTTGTTGTCTTAAGAAATTCTTGGTTACACCAGGGTTCTTAGAGTCTTTATGGTTTTTTTCTTTTTTTTTTTTGAGACAGAGTCTCACTCTGTGTCACCCAGGCTGGAGTGCAGTGGCACAATCTTGGATCACTGCAGCCTCTGCCTCCTGGGTTCAAGCAATTCTCTGCCTCAGCCTCCCGAGTATCTGAGATTACAGGCGCCTGCCACCACATCTGGCTTTTTTTTTTTTTAAAGTAGAGATGGGATTTCACCATCTTGGTTAGGTTGGTCTTGAACTCCTGACCTTGTGATCCACCCACCTTGGCCTCCCAAAGAGCTGGGATTACAGGCGTGAGCCACCGCACCCAGCCTTTTAGCTTTGTTTTTTAAGTTTCTTTATTTTTTGTGTGATTTTACTTACTATTTTTATTTGCCTAGCCAATTGTCCCAACACAATTCATTGACTAGTTTAATTTTTCCCACTGACTTGTAATGCTACTGTTACCAACTCTCAAGGGAAGTCGTTTGACTTCAGTGGGTCCTTTACCTGCCTGGTGGTGTTCATGCCAATAAAATGAGACCAAGTTTCGTTAAGCAGTGCAGAAACTTTATTTGTTGATGAAGGAATGGAGAAGGAAAAGCTCATGCTCAAAGTACCCTCCTCTGGGTGTGGTGAAGAGGGATTTTTAAGGTCTCTTAGGGCATGTAGTGGGGCAGAGATCCTGGAAAGAGGTGGGGCCCTATGGGAAGAACTGGAGTGTGCTCAGTCTCATTCTTTTTTCTTTCTTTCTTTCTTTTTTTTTCTTTTGCGATGGAGTTTTGCTCTTGTTGCCCAGGCTGGAGTGCAATGGCTTGATCTTGGCTCACCGCAACCTCCGCCTCCCAGGTTCAAGCAGTTCTCCTGTCTCAGCCCCCCAAATAGCTGGGATTACAGGCATGTACCACATGCCTGGCTAATTTAGTATTTTTAATAGAGACGGGGTTTCTCCATGTTGGTCAGGAGGGTCTTGAACTCCTGACCTCAGGTGATCCACCCGCCTTGGCCTCCCAAAGTGCTGGGATTACAGACGTGAGCCACCGCGCCTGGCCAGTCTCATTGTTTCTTTTGTACCCAGCACTATATGTGCCTAGCAAGTGTATTTCTCCCTTCTAGGTGGAGATTTTAATATGGTAATGAAGCAAGGATTCAGGCCTGGGTAGCACTGCTGAGCTAAGTTCTCCTTTGTGGTTACTGATATTTAGCCTTTTTCTCTCTAAGCAAGCACAGCTGCTGGCACAGGTTAATTTTACAGGTTCTGGGGCTCTTTTTAAAAGAAGGTCTTGCTGCTATAAGTAGACAGAGAGGGCCTCCAGGGATCATAGGAATTTAATCAACTTGAGCAGTCAGCCAGTTTTACAGCCTTCTGCCCTGCAGCCTGTTTCTTCCTAAACCCTGTGTGGATTGCAGTCACCTAGTTAGTTAAAACCAGCCCCAGGCCGGGCGTGGTGGCTCACACCTGTAATCCCAGCACTTTGGGAGGCTGAGGCGGGTGGATCACAAGGTCAGGAGATTGAGACCATCCTTGCTAACACGGTGAAACCCTGTCTCTACTAAAAATACAAAAAAATTAGCCGGGCGTGGTGGCAGGCGCCTGTAGTCTCAGCTACTCAGGAGGCTGAGGCAGGAGAATAGTGTGAACCTGGGAGGCAGAGCTTGCAGTGAGCCGAGATTGCGCCACTGCACTCCAGCCTGGGCGACAGAGTGAGACTCTCTCTCAAAAAAACAAAAACAAAAACAAAAAAAAACCCCAGCTCCTGACAGACCCCAGCAACTTATAGATGAACCTGAGTGAACTTTTCTCATTACCATGCTAAAGTCTCCACCCGGGGAGTAGCTATAGCTTCATTACCATAACACATGACTTATGTGCTGGCATAATGACTCACTGCGTCTGTACCACTGGGACCCCTCCTATACATGGGATGATGTAGCCTCTCGCCTCTCCATTGCTCCATAAAATTCTCCTATTACTTTCCCTTGGAGAGATGCTGCTTTGGAAAATACTCCCAGTGTCCTCCTTACTTACACCAAGTAATAAAACTCCTATTGATCTAAACTTGCATTCTCACAAACAGTCGTTTGTTACTCGCCAGGTGAATGAACCTCATTTTTTTTTTTTAGGTAACACTGTGGTGACACTATCTCTGTCATGCATCAAACTTATAAAATTGGCTGGGCATGGTGGTGCATGCCTGTAATCCCAGCTACTTGGAAGGCTGAGGCTGGAGAATCACTTGAATCCAGGAGACGGAGGTTGCAGTGAGCAGAGATTGCACCACTGCACTCCAGACTGGGCAACACGGCAAGACTCCGTCTCCATAGAAACAAAAAAACAAAACTTACATATGTGTATAAGCCTGTGTCAGGATTCTGTACTTTTCCTTTTATCTACAGTTTGCATATTTATATTTCTTCAGTAATATATGCTGTTTCAAGTACTACAGCTTTATATTAAGCCTTATTGTCTGGTAGAACAAAACTTTCCACATCTAAAAAGTTTTCTTAACTATTATTTTTCTCATTCATTTGAATTTTAGAGTATGCTTATCAAGCTCTATGAAAAATTACATTGTAGTTGGCTGGGATTTTGTTGACTTTGCATGTTAATTTAGAAAAAACTGACATCTTGAAGGAGTGTTTTCCCATACAAAATGTATTTATATCTGTTATGTCTTTAGGCAGAGTTTTCTATTTATCCACTAAGGTCTTGTACATTTTTTATTGGCTTTATTTCTGAGTACTTTATATTTTTGTTGCTATTGTTTTAATTCATTTTCTGATTGGTTGCTATTGTGTTGGAAAGTTATTGAGTATATATTGATTATATATTCAATCTCCTGAATGTCTTATGACGTTCTGTTTTTTTGGTTCATTCTGTTTAATTTTTTAGGTGATGTTTCATATCATTCATGCGTATATTTGCTTTGCATCTTTCTTGTCTATTTTCTGCATTTTTTTTTCTGGTCTAATTACATTGTCTAGGATTACAATGTTTGTTCCTATTTTTAATTGCAAAGGTTTTTATGTCTTTACCATTTAGTGTCACGTCTGTTGGAGATTTCTTTCGTCTATTCTGCATGTCAGTTTAAGGATGTCTCTATTCCTGGATTGTTAAGAGTGTGCACAAAAAGAAGATATAGTTATTTAATTTTAAGAGAATACCAATACTGTAAATAGCTTTATGCCAATAAATATGAAAAGCTGGATGAATACTTGGATTGTTTCTTCCTTTTTACTATTATGTGTAATGCTGCTATGAACATTTGTGTATGAGTTTTTGTATGGACATCTATTTTCTTTTATCTTGGGTGTATATATATATAGGAGTAGAATTGCTAGGTCAATTAGTAAATGTATGTTTAACTTCGTGAGGAACTGTCAGACTGTTTTCATAAGTGTATGCATCAATTTACATTTCCACCAGCAGTGGATAAAGTTTCAATATCTCCACATTCTCACTGATTTTTTATTTATTTTTTTGAGACAGAGTCTTGCTCTGTCCCCCAGGCTGGAATGCAGTGGTGTGATCTTGGCTTACTGTAGCCTCGACCTTCCAGGCCCAGGCCATCTTCCCACATCAGCCTCCTGGGTAGCTGGGACCACAGGTGCATGCCACCAGGCCCAGTTAATTTTTTGTATTTTTTGTAGAGAGAGGATTTTGCCATGTTGCCCAGGCTGGCCTTGAACTCCTGGACTCAAGCAATCCACTCACCTTGGCCTCCCATGATTGCTTGTTATTATCGGATTTTTGTTCTAGCCACCTTACTGGGTGTGAAGTACTATCTTATTGTTCGGTTAATCTGCATTCCCTGATGACTATCCTGTGTACTTATTAGACATTTTAATATTTTCTTTGGAGAAATGTCAATTCAGACCCTTTGGCCATTTTCATTTTTATTTTTGAGATGGAGTCTCATTCTGTCACTCAGGCTGGAGTGTAGTGGCGCAATCTCAGCTCCCTGCAACCTCTGCCTCCTGGGTTCAAATAATTCTACTGCCTCAGCCTCCTGAGTAGCTGGGATTACAGGTGCCTGCCACCATGCCCAGCTAATTTTTGTATTTTTAGTAGAGACGAGGTTTCGCCATGTTGGCCTGGCTGGTCTCAAACTCCTGACCTCAGGTGATCTGCCTGCCTCAGCCTCCCAAAGTGCTGGGATTATAGGCGTGAACCACTGTGCCCTGGCCCTATTTTAAAATTTGTTATTTTTTTCTTTTTATTATTGAGTTGTAATATATAAAGAATATAAATATATATTCTCTCTATATAAAGAATATATATATATTAAAGAATATAAATATATTATTTATATATTCCAGATACAAGTCTTTATCAGATACATGATTTGCCAGTGTTTTCTTCCAGTCTGTGGATGGCTTTTCACTTTCTTCTTCTTTTCTTTTATGCACAAGAGGTTTTCCTTTTGGTAAAGTCCAATTTATTTATTTTTTATTATTTTTTCCTTGTTTTAATATGATTTTGGTGTTTACAAATCCGTTGTCATAAAGGTATAAGTCACAAAGACTTCTACACAGGTTTCTTGTAAGAGTTTTAGAGTTTTAGTTCTTTTTTTTTTTTTTTTTTTTTTTTTTTTTGGACTTAGAGTCTCGCTTTCTTACCCAGGCTGGAGTTCAATGGCGCGATCTCGGCTCACTGCAATCTCTGCCTCCCACATTCAAGCAATTTTCCTGCTTCAGCCTCCCAAGTAGCTGGGATTACAAGAGCCCACCACCATGCCCAGCTAATTTTTTCTATTTTTAATAGAGACGGGGCTTTGCCATGTTGGCCAGGCTGGTCTCAAATTCCTGACCACAGGTGATTCACCCACCTCGGCCTTCCAGAGTGCTGGGATTACAGGCATGAGCCACTGCACCCAGCAAGTTTTAGTTCTTATATGTAGGTCTTTGATTTTTTAGAAGTTATTTTTATAGATGGAGTGAGGTAGAGCACCATCTTCATTATTTTGCAGGTGCATATCCAGTTGTCTCAGCACCATTCATTGAAAAGATCATTCTTTCCACTTTGAATGATCTTGGCACCATTGTAAAATAATGACTAAAGATATATAGTTTATTTCTGGACTCTTAATTCTAATCCATTGAACTGTATGTCTATTCTTATGACAGGAATACAATAAATTGAAGACTGTTGTTCTGTAGGAAGTTTTGAAATTGAGAAGTTTGAGTCCTTCAACTTTATTCCTCTTTTTCAAGAAGAATTGTGACTGTATGGTTCTCTTGAGTTTCCACATAAATTTTAGGATCAACTTTCGACTTCTAAAAAGATGCCCCCTGGGAATCTGATAGGGATTGTGTTGAACCTGTAGATAAGTTTTGGGAGTATCCATGGGACTTGTGTTTGAAGAAAAGAGAGGAATTAAAATGTTTTGGCCAGTGTGTGAATTCATTGACATAACTTGGGAAATCCAGAGAGGAAGGTAGTAAGAACATGCATTTTAGACACTGAACTTGAGGTGTTGCAGGACACCCAAGTGCAATGTCCCATAGGCAACAGGAGGCATGTGGTAGGGGTCTAGGAGAGAAGTAAGAACTGTGAGAGCAGTATTAAAGCAATGAGAGTTGGTCAGATTGCTGACGGAAAAAACAAGGAAGCACTGGGGCCTGAGTTGCAAGGAGTGTCCATAATGAGAGGGCAGGAGCAGACATGAGGAACCACAACTGTGTGGGGAAAATCAGGGCTGGCTGGTGCTAGGGAAGCCATGGGAGAGAGAGTGGCCAGAATAGCTTCCTTGAAAAAGGTTGAAGAGAGTGAGGGCTTGGAGGAACACCCAGTTCTCAGCTTGATCCGGGACCTTGTACTGTACCCTCCAGGGAAAATTCACACCACTCTTGGGATAATGCCTTATGGAAGAGGTTAAGAGTCAGTGTGTGTGGAGGTGCCTGGGTTCTCTTGAATCCACTTATTGGGAATATAGATCTTATGGGAGCCAGAAGCAGGGCTTGTCCCACTCATAGCTTTCTTTCCTCCCTCAGCTCAATGTACTTCTCCAGTTCCTACCCTTCCTCAAGTGGGGAACTCAGGAGACCAAGCAGGGGCAACTGTACTTCGGATGGTCAGGCCCCAGGTGAGCTTGGTTCTTTGTGTTTTTACCAAGTCCCCATGAGTCTGGTCCAAGAATGGCTAGAGGTCTCACCCCCAGGACTCTGCCCCATCTAAGACTATTCCTGTGGCTCTCCTGCCTCATTGCTTCCCCTGGAGGTAATGGACTCTATCTTGCACTGGACTTTCGAGGTGTTATCTCAGCTCCTCTCTCCCATACTTTTGCCCACGAAGAGGCCATACCCTGTGCCCTCTGTACCCTTGATGACTCTGCCCTTCAGGGTGTGAATGTTCCTGAGCAATCGGAGCTTGTCATTCCAGGATACTGTGGCGTATGAGGACCTGTCTGAGGACTATACTCAGAAGAAATGGAAAGGTCTCGCACTCAGTCAGAGAGCCCTGCACTGGAACATGATGCTGGAAAATGACCGTAGCATGGCTTCTTTGGGTAATGATTCTGTTTCCTAGTCACTTAGAGTCTGCATGCTGCCATTCTCTTTTTTATATTCCTTTTCTTTTTAAACTTTTTACTACGAAAATTTCCAAACGGAGATAAGCTAGAGTGAATAAGAGTCAGTGTGTATGGAGCTGCCTGGGTCCTCTTGAATAGGACCTTCTCTGCATTCAGCTTGAACAATGATCAGCATTCTCTTCACCTCATTATTGATTGACATAAGGTGGTTTAGGTAGAGTTTTTTTAGTTGTAAGGAATAGAGAGCCACTCAAGTTATTGTAAGTAAGGAGCTGTGAGTCATAGGCTTAAAGGAATGAGAACCCAGAAGAAACTGATCGCTAGACCAGACTGTGGGAAGTAGGGCCTTGACTCAGGGCAGCCTGGGAGCCTGAACAGCAAAAGCAAATGCATGTTGATGCCTGTGTTCTGGTGTGAATGTAATGCAGCTGCTCGCAGTGTATCTGTTTTCTCTCTGCTTGTACTCCTCCTGCTGCCCATTTTCTTCACTGTGAATCTTTTGTCCTTTTCGTAGCTCTTTCCTAATTGTACTTCCTGTTCCCTTATATTTGTTGCTTGCTGTGTCTCCTAATGGCTTGGCTTCTCTCCATGTATCACTTCAGATTCCATTACCACTCGTAATTTTGCCCTACTTCCAGTTCCGAATTTCCTTAGAGACAGATTCCCATTGCTATAGCCATTACTCATCATCTCGGTTGGGCAGAGCTTTGGCCCAGGCCATGGCAGAGGCTGAAGACTAACCTACAGATAAGCTGCCCTTGGGTCTGGTACCTGGTACTGGTCCAATCACTTGCAGTCCATCATGGGATGATGTTCAGGATCACTTGCCACAGAGCATGGTTGCCTAAGTGTTGCTCTCTGCAAAGACTGGGGCAGTGCAGTTTCCTGGAAGGGCTTCTTGGCAGTGCAGGTGCTATGATTGATGCATATAGGGCAGTAGCCAACTCTGGAAAGGGTGGGCTTAGGAATCTTTCACCCAGACATCTTAAACTTTCCATAGGCTAACTGACATGATGGCTGTAGCCCCAATTCAGATGTGATTGAAAGGAACCCACATTTTGGTGTTTTTCCATGGCCATGATTACTCTGCCTTCTCCCAGATTTTGTATTCAGAATTCCAAAAGGCAAATATTTACCTGATCATTTCCTTTATATTCTAGATAATCAAAGGCATTTTAATTTATATTTCAAATGATTGATGTCCCTGTTATCTTTTCTGGGAGTGCACAACTGGCTCCTACCGGGCCAGTGCTCTGAGGGCCAGTGGCATCCCCACTTTTAGAACTCTGCTGTCTCCTTCAATACTGCTGTCCAGCTTTTCTCAACTGATAGCTTCTCCAAATCTTGTTACTGTCCTGTCATACAACATCTCTCCTTTTTGTACGCTTTCCTAATCATACACTCATAGTAGAAATTTCTCAACTCATTCCCATCTTTTCCTTGTCTCTTTCTTATATTTGACTTGAGGTATTTGCCAGCCTTCCCTCTCCCAACATCTTTTCTGAGAACCATGGAACCATATAATGTCATGGTTGGAAGGGAACTCAAAGTTTACCATTTTGCTAAAGAGACATAGTGTGAGAGTGACTTATATAAGATCACAGCATGCTTTGCAATCCAGTCTCTTGCTTTCCAGTGACCCTTCTGACTTGGCTGTGCTGGCTCAATATCTTTTTTCCACCCTCCTCCACTGACCGTCTTCTTCTTCCTTGTTTTTCTATCCCTAAGATACAATTGAGCATTTTGCTCTTGTTCTCAATGTGTCATCTCATTTCTTAACCATAATGTGACTTTTTTTCAGGTACATTAGCTCTTTATGATTCTGTTTCTTCAACAGGAAAAGAAATGAGTAAAAGTTGTTGTCTTATTTTTTTTGGCAGCAGGTAGGAACATGATGGAGAGTTCAGAGCTGACTCCGAAGCAGGAAATTTTTAAAGGATCAGAGTCATCTAATAGCACATCAGGGGGACTCTTTGGGGTGGTTCCTGGGGGAACAGAGACTGGAGATGTTTGTGAAGATACCTTCAAAGAGTTAGAAGGACAACCCTCAAATGAAGAAGGGAGCAGACTAGAAAGTGATTTCTTGGAAATAATAGATGAGGATAAGAAAAAATCCACAAAAGACAGATATGAGGAATATAAGGAAGTTGAGGAACATCCACCTCTGTCTTCCAGTCCTGTTGAACATGAAGGAGTTTTAAAGGGACAGAAATCCTATCGATGTGATGAATGTGGCAAAGCTTTTTATTGGAGTTCGCACCTCATTGGTCATCGGAGAATCCACACTGGAGAGAAACCCTATGAGTGTAATGAGTGTGGGAAGACCTTCAGGCAAACCTCCCAGCTCATTGTTCATCTCAGAACCCACACAGGGGAAAAGCCCTATGAATGCAGTGAGTGTGGAAAGGCCTATAGGCACAGCTCCCATCTCATTCAACACCAGAGACTCCATAATGGGGAGAAACCCTATAAATGTAATGAATGTGCAAAAGCTTTTAATCAGAGCTCCAAACTCTTCGACCACCAGAGAACCCATACTGGGGAGAAACCTTATGAATGTAAGGAGTGTGGGGCGGCCTTTAGTCGGAGTAAAAATCTTGTTCGACATCAGTTTCTGCACACTGGTAAGAAACCTTATAAGTGTAATGAATGTGGGAGAGCATTCTGTTCCAATAGAAATCTCATTGACCATCAGAGAACCCACACTGGGGAGAAGCCTTATAAATGTAATGAATGTGGCAAAGCCTTCAGTCGGAGTAAATGTCTTATTCGACATCAGAGCCTCCACACTGGGGAAAAGCCATACAAATGTAGTGAATGTGGGAAAGCCTTCAATCAGATCTCTCAACTTGTTGAACATGAGCGAATTCATACTGGAGAAAAACCATTTAAGTGTAGTGAGTGTGGTAAGGCATTCGGTCTGAGTAAATGTCTTATTCGGCACCAGAGGCTTCACACAAGTGAAAAGCCCTATAAATGCAATGAGTGTGGAAAATCCTTCAATCAAAACTCATACCTCATTATACACCAGAGAATTCACACTGGTGAGAAACCCTATGAATGTAATGAGTGTGGGAAGGTCTTCAGTTATAATTCTAGTCTTATGGTACATCAGAGAACCCATACTGGGGAAAAACCCTATAAATGCAATAGTTGTGGGAAAGCCTTTAGTGACAGCTCACAGCTTACTGTGCACCAGAGAGTCCACACTGGAGAGAAAAACCTTATGAATGTATTGAGTGTGGGAAAGCCTTTAGTCAGCGTTCCACTTTTAATCACCACCAGCGAACTCATGCTGGAGAGAAGCCCTCAGGTCTGGCTCGGTCATCTTCTTAAGGCATGGTTTTCTGAGACAGACAGCAAAGACCTTTGAGTTAAGCTGTCTTTATAAGAAGGATGTTCATCATGGTCTCCTTGGAGACCACTAATCACAGTGGAGACCATACCTACTTGCTTTTCCTTGGGTCACTAAGGTGGGAGAGTAGGTGCAACTTAGTCTGATCCTTACTTAGTAGGAAATTGGGGATTACATCTGTCATTAACTTGTAGGTTCCCTTCTTTCTCTTAAAAAACTATTTAAAACTCTATCTTGTTAGTATGCATTCCATAATCAGATTCTGCATTTCTCAAGAACAGCAGTTATATTACCTTTATTCTATTGCAGTTCCTCCACTGAACCATTTACGTGAAGTCACTTTTTAAGTCATTCTGCAAGATTATTCTTCCCTGCTCCTTGGCTATCTCCTTCCACAGCTACTTTAAAAATTTGTACTGTAAGCTACATCCTCTCATCATTTTTGTGTTTTCTAGCTAGAAAACTTTTTCTTCCTGTTTGCTAATCACTTCCTTCACAATGTTCAAGATTTATGCCATTTCTGAAAGACTTTCTTCTTCAAATAGTTTTTCGTTTCTTTTATACCTCTATTGATTTGGCCTTAATGCTTTAAATTAGCTGGTGCTACGATGTGTAACTGTTAAATGTTTTTGTAAATTGTTCTTAACTTACAAGGTGATATGTGTATCACATATGTACAAAGTATACACATATATAGTTGTGTATGTGTATACTTTCTTTTTTTTTTTTTTTTTTTTTGAGACAGAGTCTCAGTCTCCCTCTTGTTGCCCAGGCTAGAGTGCAATGGTGCAATCTTGGCTCACCACAACCTCTGCTTCTCGGGTTCAAGCGATTCTCCTGCCTCAGCCTCCCGAGTAGCTGGGATTACAGGCATGTGCCACCATGCCTGGCTAATTTTTTTTTTTGTATTTTTAGTAGAGATGGGGTTTCTCTATGTTGGTCAGGCTGGTCTTGAACTCCCAATCTCAGGTGATCCGCCCGCCTCAGCCTCCCAAAGTGCTGGGATTACAGGTGTGAGCCACTGCACCCAGCCTCAAATGTGTATACTTTCATACCAGCTTGTAAGCTTCTGAGATCAGGTATGGTATCTATTTCTTTATATGCATAATAGTTTGAATATGCTAGTTCTTAAGTTTTAAAATTCAAATTGAGCCATCATAAACGTGGGCACAGGCTCCCGTCTCCCTCCCATTACACTGGACTAGAAGCTTCTAAAGAAGGAAGTGGCATCGTAATATATCACATATAAAGGCTCACTGATATCTTCTACTTGTAGCCCTGGAAGTCTTACTACTGGTACTTCAGCCTTGAAGAGCTAATGGATTTGTGTGTGAATGAGTGTCTGTTTATCTAGGTATTGGGTTGGGCAGTCATATCCTACTGATAACATGCTTTGAGCTGCACACTTACTCCATTTCTGAACTATTTGACTGCATCCTGCTTCCTAAATAAAAGTTATAGTCGGCCAGGCTCAGTGGCTCACGCCTGTAATCCCAGCACTTTGGGAGGCCGAGGTGGGCAGATCACTTGATGTCAGGAGTTCGAGACCAGCCTGGCCAACATGGTGAAACCCCATCTCTACTAAAATACAAAAATTAGCCGAGTATGGTGGTGTGCACCTGTAATCCCAGCTACTTGGGAGGCTGAGGCAGGAGAATTGCTTGCACCTGGGCAGAGGTTGTAATGAGCTGAGATTGTGCCACTGCACCCCAGCCTGGGTGACAGAGTGAGACTACATCTCAAAAACAACAAACAAAAAAAACCTTACAGTCAAAATTTACTGCAAGAAGACTTGACTTTCATGGCTGTAATATAGATGATTGAAAATTTCAGCTAGCAGCATTCCTGGATGATTGGAATTCAGAGTGATGAGGTTTTTGGTAAAATAGTAGTATCAAACTAATCTGTTTTCCTTATCAGCTAGTCCTTTCTCACTACAACTGCTGTCTTAATTTCAAGATGAGAACTGTGCCTTAATTATCTTCCAGACCACCTTTCCTTCTGCAGTCATATGTCAGTCCATGAGCTTGAACCACCTTTCCTTCCACCCTTGCAATAATGGCCCAGTGCCGGTGGACCTTTTACTCTAATGTTCACCCTGTTCTCTTTCCATCCCCAGACTTTTTTTTTTTTTTTTTGAGACGGAGTCTTGCTCTGTCGCCCAGGCTGGAGTGCAGTGGTACGATCTCAGCTCACTGCAAGCTCTGCCTCCCAGGTTCATGCCATTCTCCTGCCTCAGCCTCCCGAGTAGCTGGGAGTACAGGCGCCCGCCACCAGGCCCGGCTAATTTTTTTTGTATTTTTAGTAGAGATGGGGTTTCACCGTGTTAGCCAGGATGGTCTCGATCTCCTGACCTCGTGATCTGCCTGCCTCGGCCTCCCAAAGTGCTGGGATTACAGGCATGAGCCACCACGCCTGGCCTCCATCCCCCAGATTTCTTAACAGGCTGACAGGATCCGCAGTATGACAAAGGTGGAGGAGGAGGCTAGAGGGGCAATGTCAGTCATGTAACCTGGAGGGGTGATTTTGTGCACTGTGGTGTATGTTTCAGACAATGCAGGAGAAAGGAAAGAGAGTTGAGGATCAAGAAAATTAGAATTAAATGTGATTGTTGGGGAGATGTCTCAGACAAAGTTAGAAAGGATTACTGGGGGCCTAAAGTTTTTCAGGGCCTTTTGAAATTTCTAAACTTGTCTGGGCACAGTGGCTCATGCCTGTAATCCCAGCACTTTGGGAGGCTGAGGCGGTCAGATCACCTGAGTCCAGGAGTTTGAGACCAGCCTGGCCAACATTGTAAAACCCCGTTTCTACTAAAAATACAAAAATTAGCTGGGTGTGGTGGTGCACGCCTGTAATCCCAGCTATTCAGGAGTCTGAGGCAAGAGAATCACTTGAACCTGGAGGGCAGAGATTGCAGTGAGCCAAGATCACACCACTGTACTGCAGCCTGGGCAACAGAGCGAGACTCTGTCTCAATAACAACAACAAAACAACAAACCGGAGCTCATGACACGGCTGGAATTTTACCATTTGTGAATATGTATTTTAAATGTTTTCAGCTTGTTTTTTTGTATTTTTTTCCATTTTCTTTTAAAAGATATGCAGATAGGACTTTTTCCTCTTTAACTGTCTTATTTTGGGAGCCCCCAGATTTCAGGGAAGAGCCCCACACTATATGAGCACATGAGTTGGACATTTCTGGTTCCCCGCCCTGAGTTGGACATTGCCAGTCATGTCTGCAGAAGAACCATCCTGCCTGTTGGAAGCTGCAGTTTTACCTTCTGGTTCTTGCCTGCTCATCCCCTACCATACTAAGCCTCCAGAGTGTGGGAATGTGCACCATTTCCTAACTATATTAACTCACTGCCACCAGTCTGGTGTGGGTGCTCAGTACAAGTGAATCCTGAAAAAGCCTCAGGCTCTTGGATGGAGGAAAACTGGCTGCATTTGAAAGCCATACTTCAATTTCTATTGGTCACTGCTAGTATAAACTTTAATTATTGATTTAAACAAATTTTATCTGGATCCAATTATGTTGATAAATTATTTTTAGGTTTAATAATTTGTTAGATTCATTTCCTAGCTTTTCTAGGTTTAGAATAAATAATGATTTATTTGTCTTTTGATGTCACTTATGTTGTGCATTAGCAAGAACTTCAGAAAACATGGAACAGTAGATGTCTTTCTCTTAACGCTTGGGGGAATGTTTTTAGTATTCTGCAGTTTCATATCGTGTTCATTGTTGGATTCTGATGTTCTGTTAGATTTAGGAAGTTTCCTTCTAATCTTATTTCTAGAAGAAGCAGTGTAGTTTAGTGGTTAAGAGCACAGATTTTGTTCCCAGTGCCCTAGGTTCAAATCCTGAGTCCACCACTTTGTTAGGTGTGTGATCCTGGGCAAATCACTTACCTTCCTTGTATCTTATTCCTCCATCTATAAAATGGAGCTACCTCATAGGGTTGTGAAGAATACATTATTGTAACAATACTGGGCACACAGTGCACAGTTTCCCAATTATTATTATACTTACAGTTTTGTTTTCTGTTTTTTTTTTTGACAAGGTCTCCCTCTGTTGCTCAGGCTGGAGTGTAGTGATGTGACCATAGGTCACCTCAGCCTTGAACTCCTGGGCTCAAGAGATGCTCCTGCCTCAACCTCCCCTATAGTTAGGAATACAGGCATGTGCCACCATGCCCGACTAAGTTTTTATTTTTATTTTTTGTAAACATGGGGTTTCACTATTTTGCTCAGGCTGGTCTTGCGGTCCTGGCCTCAAGCGATCATCCTGCCTCAGCTTCTCTAAGTGCTGGGAATACAGGTGTGAGCCACCATGCCTGGCCTATACTTAAAAAGTTTTTATTAGGATTGGTTGCTATATTATATCAAGTTTAAAAACTCCATCATTGTAATTTTATGAGTTATGGTTTTTTCTTTTTGTAATTCATTTTCTTGACAAGTTTGCAAATATTTGCAATTTCCTTGTACTTTTCAAGTAAAATCTATTTGTTCATAGTGAATTTTTATTAAGTACAGAAGTAGATTCAATTTGGTAATGCTTTGCTAGCTTTGCAAAAGAATTTGGAAAAAATTTTGTTTATCTTATTGCTATGGAGAGTTTGTATAACATGGGAATTGTTCCTTGAAGGCTTGCTAAAAGTAACTGGGCCTGGTTCTTTGGGTGAGGGGATTGGGAGGGATATATCTTTAGCAACTGTTTTAGTCAGTTTGAGCTATTATAACAAAATACCATAGAGGATGGCTTAAACAACAGACATTTATTTCTCACAGTTCTGTAGTCTTCATAATTCAACATCAAGATGCCAGAATGGTTGAGTGCTGGTGAGGGCTCTCTTCCTGGTTTGCAGATGGCCCCCTTTTTCCTGTGTCCTCAAATTTCAGAGAGCAAGAGCACTGGTGCCTCTTCCAAGTCTTTTAAGGGCGTTAGTGAGAGTGACAGCCCCATTCTCATGACCTACTCCAATCCTAGTTATTTTCCAAAGGCCCCCCACCCCCAAATATAACATTTGGGGTTAGGGCTTCAACATAAATATTCATTCTATAACATTCCACTCCTAGCCACTCTATTCATATCCTTACATACAAAATAAGTTCATTCCATCCTAACAGCCTCCAAAGTTTTAACTCATTCTAGTATCAACTAACATTTAAAGTCCAAAGTCTCATCTAAATATCTAAATATCTAAATAAAGGCCGGGCATGGTGGCTCACGCCTGTAATCCCAGCACTTTGGGAGGCCGAGGCGGGTGGATCACTACGTCAGGAGTTCGAGACCAGCCTGACCAACATGGTGAAACCCCATCTCTACTAAAAATACAAAAATTAGCTGGGCGTGATGGTGTGCACCTGTAATCCCAGCTACACGGGGAGGCTGAGGCAGGAGAATCGCTTGAACCCGAGAGACAGAGGTTGCAGTGAGCCGAGATCGCACCATTGCACTCCAGCCTGGGCGACAGTGAGACTTTGTCTCAAAAATATCTAAATCAGATATGGGTGAGACCCAAGGTTTAGCTTATCCTGAGGCAAAATTCCCCTCCAGCTGTGAACCTATGAAACCAGACAAGTTATGTGCTTCCAAAATACAGTGATGGGATAGGCAGGATTAGGTATTCCAATTCCAAAAGTGAGAAATTGGAAGGAAGAAAGGGATGATGAGGCTGGGTGTGATAGCTCATGCCTTTAATCCTAGCACTTTGGGAGGCTGAGGTGGGAGGATTGCTTGAGTCCAGGAGTTCGAGACCAGCCTGGGCAACATAGGGAGACCTTATTTCTACAAAAATAATAAAAATAATTAGTTGGGCATGGTGGCTTGAGCATGGGAGTTCGAGGCTACAGTGAGTTGTGATCGTACTGCACTCCAGCCTGGATGACAGAGTGAAACCCTATCAATAAAAAATAAAAAAGGATGGGGGAGCAGGGGGATGATGGTCCTATGCAAGTCTAAAACTTAGCAAGGCACGTTTCATGAGATCTTAGGCTCATGAATAATCCTCTTTGGTCCTATACTGTCCTCTCCAGGACCCCCTGGGCGGTGGTCCTGACCCGATAGATCTGCCAGGCAGGGGTGACTCCCCCGTGGCTTTTGTTGGAGACCATCTGGCCTGTGGAAACTGGGGCAGTATCCCTCATGATCTCTAAATAGCCAAGAGAAGAGTCATTCTTGTATGGAACAATGGACATTCACAGCCTTCCTCATTCCTGGCTTTAGGACTTCAGATACAATCATGTCAGAGCTCAGGGCTTCAACATATGAATTTTGGGGGCACAGTTCAGTCCATAGCAATACTTCCATTCCCCTGACCTGCAACATGTCCAGTTACTTCGAAAAGTACTTGTCATCCACTATATTAATAACATGCTCATTGCCAGCCTATGAAACAAGTTGACCACTCCATACATAAGGTCATAGATAATATGACACATGCAGGTTGAGTTGTCAGCCCTGATAAGATCCCAAGACTTGCCCAACAAGTGCAGTCCCTGGAGCTACCTGGTCCAGTAATTAGAGGAGTATTCCTGATAAAGTCAAATATTGTCCTTGGCAGCCCCCACCTAAAAGAAGCTCAATAGCTGGTATGCCTGTTTGTCTATTGGAGATAACATGTATCACATCTGAGTATTATTTTGCCTCCTTTAGTTAAAATTACCCACAACACAGCCACCTCTGAATGGGGCCCTCAACAACAGCAGACTCGAGAGGCCTACTATGCATTAACATGGGCCTGACATTAATGTAGGCCCATGGAACTACAGGTCTCATTGACTCTTACCCATACAGATTGGATACTGCGGCAACAAGAGACTGCTATCAGGATGCACCAGGCCCTTAGGTTTTGGACATATAAATTACCCAAGATGGTTGCCATATACATTCCCTTTGAATGGCAGCTACTAGCCTGCTATTGGACTCTAATTTAAACAGAACACTTGACCACTGAAGCACTGTATGTGACCTTAAGACCTGAGCTGCCCATCTCATGCAGGTATTATTAACGAAAAATAAAAATGGAAGCCCCAGTTTAGAAATACCCTAAGGCTGACTACCCGCAACCGTGTAACCAAAACTAATCATTCTGATTTTCCTGAAATGCTGTCTCTGATCATAAATGAAATGCAAAATGTAAGCTTTACATCCTTGCCAGCATGATTCACTGAAATTAAACCAATCAGCTATAGACCAACAAGCTTAAACAGCTCAACTTGCCCTAAAAAGAATGTATAACAGCCAATTATAAAAAAGGTCAAAATATTCCCCCCCTTTATGCATTATAAACTGTGTTGTAACTGCTGTAAGATTAATTTCTTACCACTTGATTTGAGTCTTCTAGATTGTGGTCTGTACTTCTTGTTTGAACAATAAACTTTTAAATTTTTCTTTATCTGATTTTATTTTTTTCACAGTGCTCACTAATCCTAATAAAACACGACAGGTTCAGCCAAGTACCATCATTAAATGGAAATGTTACATATAAGATGGAGCCTGATTGGGATCCCAGGGGGTCTGCCAACTCCATGAAGTAACTGTCTTGCCAGAGGACGCCGAACAGCCCATAGGGGATGTTCCCTTAGCTAGGTGCAGCCCATGGTTCAAAGATGTTCCAGCTGATGGTATGAGTTGGCTCACTGAGGGAGCTGTGAAACTCAAAGCTGATAAACTCTAATGGTCTGCTGTAGCCGTCCATCTTGCTGTGGATTGAATGGTTTTGTCGCCTCCAAAATGTTAAAACTTAATCCCCAGCTGGGTGCAGTGCTGCATGCTTGTAGTCCCAGCCACTCAGGAGGCTGAGGTGGGAGAATTGCTTGAGCTCAGGAGTTCAAGACCAGCTTGGGAAACATAACAAGACCTTGTGTCTAAAAAACAAAAAATCCCCAATACAACAGTGTTGGGAGATGGGGCCTAAGGGAGGTGTTTAGGTCATGAAGGCTTACCCTCAGGAATGGATTAATGTCCCTATAAAAAGGGCTTATGAGAGTGGGTTTGCTTTCCTCTGCTGTTGTGCCATGTGAGGAACAGTGTGCTCTTTCCCCCTGGAGAGTGCAATGTTTAAGGCACCATTGTGGAAATGGAGACTTTGATTTTGGACTTCCCACCTCCAGAACTGTGAGAAATTAAATTTCTATTTATAAAATTACCCAGTCTCAGGCATTCTGCTATAGCAGCACAAGTAGACTAAGACACATCCTAAGGATAGTCATCTTTTGACTGAGACCAGACAAGGATACTCTGCCCAGTACTCTGGGTGAACTCTGTGCTGTGGTGATGGCTGTTCAGGAAAATATAACAGCAATTATCTGCTACACATTTACAGACTTATGGGCCATTACAAATGGACTAGCCATATGTCCAGTGACTGGCAGATTAATGATTGGACCATTAAGGGCTCCTCTATGTAGAGACAAGGACTATGACAGCAGTTTGTGAACTAGGAAAGAGACCTACTTGTCACGGCATAGGACCATTCAAAAGAGAACATGAACTCACAAGCTGATCTAGTATGTGCTCAGAAAATGGCCAAAATTATCCATGGGATCTACCACAGAATGGGACATGGAAGTCCACCTCAGATGCAAGAACGGGCCACATCACGAGGACTTGCCCTAAAAGAGATGGAAGCCAAAGATCCAGTACAGTAATGTGAGGCCTGCCTTTAGCCCAGGCCGTACAATGTGGTGAACTGGGACACATCATCTGGACAGAGGGCCCATGCCAGTGTGATATTGACCACATTGGACAGCTAGCTCCCAGACGTGGATTCTGGTGAAGCCTCACTGCCATGGGTACACGTTCTGGAGATGAGACCACCATTCCAGTATGCCATGTAGATGTGGAAACCACTATTATGGCTTTAGAGAAACACCTCTGTTGTATTCTGATATCTAGCAGGATTCCAAGCCAATCAAGGCCACCACATTTGCTGCCGCACAAGCTACACAGTAATGGGCATTTTCCCATGACATATGATGGGACCTTTTGTACTCCCTAACATTACCTGGTGAATGGGTTGATAGAATGATGGAATGGTAGAACTTGAAAAAAAAATTAGGAAGAAAAAAAGATGATGGAATGGGTGGCTCAAACAACAACTATGCAAAAGCCATTAGGGAGAACAACTTAGTGGGTGGTACCCCTACCTCACAAAAGCCATCTGAACACTAGACACTGCAGTGGAAGAGAAACACATCACTGCAATGCATGTTGGGAAATACTGAACTTGCAACAGGTGGAGGACCAGGCAATCCCTTGATTAGGCTGAGCCTATGAAATCCCAATTTGAGTATACCCAGCCATTCTTTTTTTTTTTTTTTTTTGACAGAGTCTCACTCTGTCACCCAGGCTGGAGTGCAGTGGCACGATCTCGGCTCACTGCAAACTCCACCTCCTGGGTTCAAGCAATTCTCCTGCCTCAGCTTCTGGAGTAGCTGGGATTACAGGTGCATCCCACCATGCCTGACTAATTTTTGTATTTTTAGTAGAGACGGGGTTTTGCCATGTTGGCCAGGCTGGTCTCGAACTCCTGACCTCAGGTGATTTGCCCACCTCAGCCTCCCAAAGTGCTGAGATTACAGGCGTGAGCCACCACGTCCAGCTCCCAGGCATTCTTTTTCTTCTTTCTTCCTGCTGGAAATCACTACCCACTAGAGCCACCAGTGAGCCTCCTGATTTAAATCTGGAGGCAATGGTACCTTTGGGCATTTCTTTCTTGTGGGACCCCATGGGGACAGGGAAAGCATTGACAGAATATTGAGGAACTAATGTTCCTCCAGTTGTAACCAGGACTTCTGATCCCAAAGTGGGCAATATTATAAGATATGCCAAATTTCTTCAGAATGTGATCTCTCTCCCCAGGTTGGATGACCAAGGCTGAAAGTTTAGGTCAAGTAACAGGCGTGATGGATCCCTGCATAAGTTACAGCCTCAGAAATCAGAATACTCTCCCCACGCCACTGGACAAGAGCATCTGGCTGGGGAGTTTCATGGGGTGGGGCATGTGGGATCATCAATTTTTACCTTGCTCAGTCTCACAGAAGACTCTGCCATGCCCGGCATGACAACATCTGGATAAGAAGCAGTACAGCTGTGGTGAGAAGGAAGCAAGCAAACAATGCTGGAGTTGTTACTGAAGTCTCTCCTATCCTATAATTCCATTGTAATGGCCTGGCTGTTACCCAGTGTCTCGGACTTTCCTCAAGCTATCACGCCTGGCCCAGTTCACATTCTAAGCTATCGGTGGCTCAAACTGCTGAGTGACTCCCTTGAAACAAGTCCGCATGCAGGCGTACGCTAGAGTATCCTGCTTTAATATTATGATATGACAAAAGGACTCCCATGTTGGCGTGGGCATCACTGACTTATATTGGCACTTCAGATGTGGATGTACCACATGTAGTTTTTCTCACCCTGCAACTATGGGGCAAAAACAGGCTGAGACTGTATATAAATGGACTGACCAGGACTATAATAACAAATGCCTGACAGGTGTCACTTGTGCCCTTCTAGGTTATGAATTCTTCTGTGGGCCTCAATGTCTATCTCCAGAAGGATCTTGTTGCCTTGGAATCCTAGGGCCCACTGTCCATGTCAACAACTGTACAGAGAGCTAGAAGGGACCTGCTCTGCTAACCTGCCACAGAATGACTTGTAGCACTCTCCCAGGAGAACAAACCAACAGCTGGTTTAATTCTGCAGTTCACATTCTTTTTTTTTTTTTGAAATGGAGTTTCACTTTTGTTGCCCGGGCTGGAGTGCAATGGCGTGATCTTGGCTCACCGCAACTTCCACCTCCTAGGTTCAAGCGATTCTCCTGCCTCAGCCTCCCTAGTAATTGGGATTACAGGCATGTGCTACCACGCCTGGCTAATTTTGTATTTTTAGTAGAGACGGGGTTTCTCCATGTTGGTCAGGCTGGTCTCAAACTCCTGACCTCAGGTGATCTGCCCGCCTTGGCCTCCCAAAGTGCTGGGATTACAGGCGTGAGCCACCGTGCCCAGCCATTCTTTTTTTTCTGAGACAGAGTTTTGCTCTTGTTGCCCAGGCTGGAGTGCAATGGTGCGATCTCATCTCACTGCAACCTCCGCCTCCCAGGTTCAAGCGATTCTCCTGTCTCAGACTCCCGAGTAGCTGGGATCACCACGAGTGTGGTGCGTGGCACCACACCTGGCTAATTTTTTGTATTTTTAGTAGAGACGGGTTTCGCAATGTTGGGCAGGCTGGTCTCAAACTCCTGACCTCAGGTGATCCACTTCGGCCTCCCAAATTGCTGGGATTACAGGCGTGAGCCACCATGCCTGGCCCAGTTCACATTCTAATACCAGGCATCAGTATATAGACTCTTGAAAAAATAGTGCACAACCTGTCCTTAACCATGGTAGAAATAACTAATGCTGCTGCCCAAGCTATCCAAGACCAATGAGGCTCACTAAACTAGCTAGCAAGGTGGTAATGGACAATTAAACAGCTTTTGATTATCTGCTAGTGGAATCATGCTATTGCTAAAACCTATTGTTCTGTGTATATTAATTCAGAGAAAGTAGAAACTGAGCTACAGAAGATCTATGCTCAGGCAGGATAGTTATCTGCTCTATACCTGCAGTCCCCTTTAGACTCATTTGTTGAATTCTTCAATTTCAATTGCCTTATTCTGGGCACTTGGGTTACTGGCTGAGCACCATCCTCTAGGGAGGCCTGAGTATCCTCCTAGCCCAGGTTCTCCCAGTGATCTTGTGAAGTGCTGTATCAAAGTGGCAGGGATTCTCAGCAAACTAGGAATAGAGAGTAACTTTCTCAACTCGACAGAGAACATCTACAAAAAACCTACAGCTAACATTATACTTGATGAGAACCTAGAAGCCTTTCTGCTAAGAACAGGAGCAAGATAGGGATGTCACCTCTCACCAGTGCTTTTCAGCATAGTACTGGAAGTCCTAGCTAGTGCAGTAAGACAAGAAACAGTAATAAAAGGTGTACAGATTAGGAAGAAAGAAATAAAACTGTCTTTTTTTCACAGATAAATGATTGTCTATGTAGAAAATCCAAAAAACAAAAAAATCCTGAAACTATTAAGTGATCATAGCAAGGTTGCAGGATACAAGGTTAATGTACAAAAGTCAGTCAATTCCTTATATATCAGCAATGAACAAGTAGAATTTGAAATTTAAAACACAAAACTCCGTCTCAAAAAAGAAAATTATACAAAATTAGCCAGGCGTGGTGGTGCATGCCTGTAATCCCAGCTACTCCGGGGGCTGAGGCAGGAGAATTGCTTGAACCCAGGAGGCGGAGGTTGTGGTGAGCCAAGATCGCGCCATTGCACTCCAGCCTGGGCAACAAGAGTGAAACTGTGTCTCAAAAACAACAACAAAAAATTACCATTAACATTAGCACCCCCCAAAATGAAACACGTAGGTATAAATCTAACAAAATATGTACAAGATCTATATGAGGAAAACTATAAAACTCCGATGAAAGAAGTCAAAGAACTAAATAAGTGGAGAGATTTATATTTAGATGTTCATGAATAGGAAGCCTAAATGTTGTCAAGATGTCACTTCCTCACAACTTGATCTATAGATTCAATGCAATCCTGATCAAAATCTAAGCAAGTTATTTTATGGATATCAATAAACTGATACCAAAGTTTACATGGAGAGCAGACCCAGAGTAATCAACTTTATTGACATAGAAGAACAAAGTTAGAGGACTGACCCTACTTGACATCAAGACTTACTATAAAGCTATAGTAATCAAGGTCACGTGGTATTGGTGAAAGAATAAACAACTGGACTAATGGAATAGAATAGAGGGTGTAGAAATAGGTGCACATAAATATAGCCAACTTATTTATGGCAAAGTTAGAGTAAAGGCAATACAATGCAACAAAGTTGTCTTTTCACAGATGGTGCTAGAACATATGGACATCCACATGCCAAAAACAATTTGAATCTAAGGCCGGGCGTGGTAGCTCATGCCTGTAATCCCAGCACTTTGGGAGGCTGAGGCCAGCAGATCACGAGGTCAAGAGATCAAGACCATCCTGGCCAACATGGTGAAACCCCATCTCTACTAAAAATAAAAAAATTAGCTGGGCGTAGTGGCGCACACCTGTAGTTCCAGCTACTCAGGAGGCTGAGGCAGGAGAATCACTTGAACCTGGGAGGCGGAGGGTGCAGTGAGCCAAGATTGCGCCACTGCACTCCAGCCTGGTGACAGAGCGAGACTTCGTCTCGAAAAATTAAAAAAAAAAAATTTGAATCTAGGAACAGATCTTACACTCTTCACAAAAATCAAGATGAACCATACACCTAAATGTAAAACACAAAACTAGAACACTCCTAGAACATAGGAAAATATCTAGATGACCTTGGATAGGTCTAATGACTTTTCAGATACAACACCAAAAGCACAATAATGAAAGAAATAATTGATGAGCTAGATTTTGTTAAAATTAAAAACTCTGCTCTGCAAAAGTTACTGTCAAGAGAATGAGAAGGCAGGCCCCAGACTGGGAGAAGATGTTTGCAAAAGACATAAAAAGAACTGTTATCCAAAAAATATGGAGAACTCTTAAAACTCAACAATAAGAAAATGAACAACTCAACTTAAAAGATCAACAAGGCCAGGCATGGTGGCTCATGCCTGCAATCCCAGTACTTTGGGAGGCTGAGGCAGAAGGATCACTTGAGCCCAGGAGTTCAAGACCAGCCTGGGCAACATAGTGAAATCTCCCATCTCTAAAATAAATAATTTTAAAAATCACCAAAACCTGAACACACACCTTGCCAAGAAGGTATGAAGATGGCAAGTATGCATATGAAAAGATCTTCAGCATCATATGTTGTTAGGTAATTGCAAATTAAAATCACAGTGAGAGGAGACACTGTGACACACCTATTCTGGATCTAAACACTGACAATACCAAATGCTGGTGAGGATACTAGCAAATAGAAGCTCTCACTCATTGGTGGTGGGAATGTAAAATGGTACCGTAACTTTGGAAGACAGTTTGGCTGCTTTCTTATAAAACCAAAAATACTTCACCATCTGATCCAGCAATTGTACTCCTTGGTATTTACCCAAATGAATTGAAAATTTATGTCCACACAGAAACTTGCACACAGATGTTTATAGCAGCTTTATTCATAACTGACAAAAGTTGGAAGCAACCAAGGTATCTTTCAGAGGCTAAGTGGTTAAATAAACTGTGGTATATCAGGCAATGGAATATTATTCACTGCTAAAAAGAAATGAGTTATCAAGTAATGAAAAGACATGGAGCCCAGCCTGGGCAACATAGTGAGATCTCGTCTCTATTAAAAATAAAAAAATAAAATTAGCTGGGTGTGGTGGCATATGCCTGTAGTCCTAGCTACTCAGGAGGCCAAGACAGGAGGATTGCTTGAGTCCAGAAGATTGAGGTGGCAGTGAGCTATGATTGTGCTACTGCACTCCAGCCTGGACAACAGAACAAGACTCTGTCTCTCAAAAAAAAAAAAAAAAAAAAAAAAGAAAGAAAAGACACAGGAAAGGTCAATCTGAAAAGACTGCATACTGTATGATTTCAACTGTATTACCTTCTGGAAAAGGCAAAACTATGGTAAAAAGATCAGTGGTTGCCACAGGGAGGAGGGAGGGATGAATAAGGAGAGCACAGAGGATTTTTAGGGCAGTGAAACTATTCTGTATAATACTATTTTATGGTTATCAGTAAACTGATTCCAAAGTTTACATGGAGGGCAAAAGACCCAGAGTAGTCAACTCAGTGTTGAAGTAGAAGAACAAAGTCAGAGGACTGACTTTACTGGACTTTAAGCCTTACTATAAAGTTATAATGATCAAGACCATCCTCCTGCCTCAGCCTCCCAAGTAGCTGAGACTACAGGTGTGCACCACCACACTATTCTGGAAACTATTCCATATGACACAGAATACATGTATGTGGATACATGTATTTATACATTTGTCAAAAACCATAGAATGTATAACACCAAAAGTGAACCTCAATATAAAGTCTTGGCCTGGCGTGGTGGCTCATGCCTGTAATCCCAGTATTTTGGGAGGCTGAGGCAGGTGGATTGTTGAGTCCAGCAGTTTGAGACCAGCCAGGGCAATATAGCAAAACCTTGTGTCTACAAAAATACAAAAAAATTAGCCGGGTGTAGTGGCTTGCACCGGTAGTCCCGGCTACTCAGGGGCTGAGGTGGGAGGATCGCTTGAGCCTGGGAGGTCAAGGCTGCAGTGAGCTGTGTGATTGTACCACTGCACTCCAACCTGGGCAACAGAGTGGGACCCTGAAAAACCAAAAACAAAACCAAACAAACACACAACAACAACAAATATATATATGTGTGTATATATATAACATATATATCTGTGTGTATATATTATATATATAATATATAGTATATATATAATATATATTACATATTATTATATATAATATATTATATATATACTATATATTATATATATAATATATAATTATTATATATTATATATTTATATATAATATAAAATTTATTATATAATTATATAAAATATATAATAATATAAAATATATATTTTATATATATATATATATATATACACACACACACACACACATATATACATATTTGGCTGTAACTAATGTACCACTGTGGTTTGGGATGTCTATAGGGGGAGGTTATGTGTGTATGGAAACAGAGTGAATTGGGAACTCTCTGTTCTTTCTGTTCAATTTTGCTGTGAACCTAAAACTGCTCTAAAAAATCAGGGTTGTCCAGGTGCGGTTGTTCATGCCTGTAATCCCAGCACTTGTGGAGGCTGAGGAGAGTGGATTGCTTGAGCCCAGGAGTTTGAGACCAGCCTTGGCAACATGGTGAAACCCCATCTCTACCAAAAATACAAAAATTAGCCAGTCTCATAACCTGGTCTCAAAATAAATAAATAGATTTTAAAAATAAGGGTTATTAATTTTAAAAAGTGACAGGAAGATTCTGTGAGCAAACCTAATCCATAGGGGTTGTTCAGGCCCCATCAGACCCAGCTTTGCCTCCAAATTCAGGGCAGATGGTGGTCTGCTAGATTCAGTATGTTTTATCTGCTATTTCAGCAGCCAAGCAAGGGTCAGTGGGTAAACTGCTGGGAAAGACACTCCTGCACAGCCTGTCAAACCTTGCAGTTTCAAAGAATGTGCCTCGGGCTTGGAACTTTTACTTACATGGTGATAAAGAGCCTCCACACCCTGTGCTGGGCTCACTGCCCTGTTTGGGAATATCTTTTCCTGTTCCAGGTTTGACATGTACTTCTTTGTTCTGCTTAAACATGTGCATCATATGGTACCAGCCCAACCCCACTGCTATATCTGTTCTCAGTGGGATGGGAATGGGGTCCCTCCCAGGCAACACACAAAGAGTGTATGCAGACCATCTGTCTGTCCTGGTTGCAGGGCAAGTCCCACTGGCCATGGGGAACCAATGCTCCCTATTGAAGCTGATCTTACTCTGTCTCTTCTCTGTTGAGTAAAATGTTCCATCCAGTGCTTGTGTAAGTCTTGTCTTTCTTGACAACCCCCAAACCTTCAAACCCTGCAGTGGCTTAACATCGTAGGACTGCTGGTTTTGGTGGTACTCATTTTTATGCTCTGCTGTCCTCTACCCAGTGGGACTTCTCTGTTGGAGGTGGAAACAGGTGTCAGTTGCTTGACACCTGGTAACTGATATACCCCAGGTCGGGAACAGTATCTAGCACATAGTGCATAATCAATAAATTCTTTGTGAATGAAAGAATTAATGAGTATAGATAGATGTGGCTTCTAGTACCCATACTGACACTTCCTATTTCTTTCTTCAGATAGAGAATAAGGAAAGCAGGAGGAGCAGGTTTGCCTGGGGCACAGGTGGTGAGTGAGTTGTTGGTGCCATTGGAATGATAACACATCATGAACTAATTCTATTAGTTGTGTCAAGTCTCGGAACTTCCACCTCCAGACTTTCTTTTTTTTCTTTTCTTTTTTTTTTTTTTTTTGAGACGGAGTCTTGCTCTGCCGCCCAGGCTGGAGTGCAGTGGCGTGATCTCAGCTCACTGCAAGCTCCGCCTCCCGGGTTCACGCCATTCTCCTGCTTCAGCCTCCCGAGTAGCTGGGACTACAGGCGCCCGCCACCACGCCCAGCTAATTTTTTTGTATTTTTAGTAGAGACGGGGTTTCACCGTGTTAGCCAGGATGGTCTCGATCTCCTGACCTCGTGATCCGCCCGCCTCGGCCTCCCAAATTGCTGGGATTACAGATGTGAGCCACTGTGCCTGGCCTCAGACTTTCTATAAGAGAGCTTTGCTCCCTCATGGGCTCTTGTAATGCCAAAGCTTTGCTTTCTAAGCCTGTCTGTGATACAGACTTATTACAGAAATCAAAGCTAACATGATTGTTTTCTTTCCCCTTACATTCTTTCTCTAATAAGGCCAGCACCCTCTCCTCTCTTCCTGCTTCTCTCTCTCTCTCTTTTTCTCTCTCTCTCTTGGCAACGGGTGTCAGTGAACAGGAGGAGGATCACTTCAGGGCCCTGAGGAAAAATAAAATTTTGAAGATTATTTAGTGATGTGATAAAAAACACTTGACATTAGAATGGCAAGTGAAAAAAAGGCAGGACAGAAGCAGTTGTCAAAAGATGAAATTACGACAAATTTAGTTTGAAGACTAAATTAGGCCAGGTGCAGCGGCTCACGCCTGTAATCCCAGCACTTTGGGAAGCTGAGGTGTGTGGATCACCTGAGATCAGGAGTTCAAGGCCAGCCTGGCCAACATGGTGAAACCCTGTCTCTACTAAAAATACAAAAATTAGCTGGGTGTGGTGGTGGGCGCCTGTAATCTCAGCTACTCAGGAGGCTGAGGCAAGAGAATCACTTGAACCCAGGAGGCAGAGGTTGCAGTGAGCTGAGATCGTGCCACTGCACTCCAGCCTGGTGACAGAGTGAGACTCCGTCTCAAAAATAAATAAATAAATAAATAAATAAATAATAAAGACCAAATTAGGTTTTGTTAGTGATTCTAGATTCGGGCAACATCTCATTCTATAAAATAGAACGGGTATTCTGATAAGCTGAACAGAGGAGATTGGCTTTATAAGCAGAAAAAGGCCAAAGAAAGCAAAAATAGGGAACCAAAGGCAGACTGGTTGGCATTAGTTATTTCAGATTACTTTCCTTGTAAGGATTAAAGCGGAGGGGCCTTCGTTATCATGCCAGCTAAATCTGGCCTGTTTGAGGATTTGGCTATTATCACAATAGAGACCTCCTAAGGGCCTGGGTTAGACATAGAGAAGATTGATTAGTCAACAAATGTTTATTGAGTACATACTATGTAGTCAGTGCTGTTCTAAGTACTTGAGGTATAGCAATGCATAAAAGCAAAGATTCCATAGTTTTTCTTCCTCATGGCTATGGTCTGACTCAAAGATTCTTTCACCCCCTCCACTACCAATAAAGTTTAAATTCGTGTATATTCTCTCCTGGCTTCCTGATCCTCTCTCTTTCTCTACTTTTATGTTCAGATGCAAGGAATATCCTCTGCAGAAAAAGATGGAGGGTGGAGGAGGGAGTTGAGTTCAATTTTTCATTTTAAGTCCTTCATTAGTACTAAATGCATCAGTATTTCTTTGATATAAATGATAATTTTAAAATTCATTTAAAGTTGGATCACCTTCTAAAATCTCATTAAAATGTATTTTTCAATATCTTAGAATTAGAGGCAGAAGGGGGAATTCAGAGAAGATTAATTATATGATATAATATGTAATATATTTCAAATGGCCACAATTACACATAATTTAACTGCTTAAACATTTGTTTTATGTTTTTCTTATAGAAGAGTACACTAATCCAATGGATCACAGTAATCACCATCCTCAGATACATTGCTCTATTTTATTTTCATCCTAATATTTCAACCTGCCTCCTTCAAACTACAGAGAAGGGGCTGAGTTTGAGGCCAGAAAAGGAGTGAAAATCCTACCAGGCCAATTTGTTTGCCCACAACTGATTCTTAGTTTTAACATCTTATCTCTTTTCTCAAGTCACATTCCAGATCCCCATCTCAACACCCCAATTTTTTCTTCCCCATTTCAAAATAAGAAGAAAAAAATTAAGGAGGAAATTTCCCCCTTCTGTTTGAAAGGCAGAATCCTGATACACTTTAAATTCCAAAACAAAGAAGCAAATGAACATGCAATCCTTTAGCATGTGGTTTTTACATGTAGCAAGGAATCAGGGTAAAAGGATAATTATCTACTTCCAGGTTCTCAAATGTTGGAATCATCTAGGGATTTTAAAATCTAGGCTTGTCAGTGTCTCACCCACAAAGATTTGGATTGAATTGATATGAGGTATGGACTTTTTAAAAGCTCTGAGGAGGATTCTAATCTGCAGCAAAGTTAAGAACCACTGATTTACATGCACAGTTCTTTGCTTCTCCAAGTGTGGTCCAAGAACTGCAATATGGGTACACCTGGAAGTTTGTTAAAAATATTCGTTGGTCCCTCCCCAGACCTCCTGAATTTGAATCTACAGTTTAACCAGATCCCAAGTGATTTGTATTCATATGCACATGAGAATTTGAGAATCTTACCTAGGGCTTTTACTAAGCAAACTGCCCCGATCTGAAAGAGTACAGTGCTCAGGAAGTACAGCTAGCAAGAATATGCCTCCTACCAGAAAAGTGAAGAAACCTCATGGTTATAGGCTCGAGTGCTGTGGCACTCGGAGAAATCAGGTATTAGCAGAACTTCGAGATTCAAGAAGCTGTATAGGTCTTAAAATCAGAGCTGCACTCCCAGTGGCTGCTTCCCGAACTTTGCAAGTGCTGGTGAAGCCAATTTGGTTGATCTGTTTGATCACACTAAATGTGGGTGCTATCCATGCTAACCACCTATCACGTTGAAAAACATCCAGTAAGTACATCCCAAACACAGAGAACCTGCTCAAACTCTTCTACGATGGGAAAATTTTGTTCTCAAACAAAACTTGAAAACTCTTCTCACCACTATGGGTGGTTCTGAGTCACTCAAGAACATTATATCGAGTGGAAATTAATGGACAAATTAGGCATTGACAAGCAGTTTCTATTTTCCTTTTTGTATGTGTTGGATATTTTCCAATTGCCCCTCCATATTCAGTCTCAGTCCTCAACCCTGCTGTGACACTTGGGAGACTGAGTTTCCTGGATTGCCCTCTGGCTTCCAGTTGAGTTGGGCCAATGGGAAGCCCTGGCAGGAGATCAGAAGAGAGCTGGGTTCAGGTTATTTATTACCTCAGCTTCCTTTGTGCTGGACTATGGCTTGGATGTAGCCCTCAACTGAAAGCCACAGTTTCTCTCAGATGGCCTGCTCCTAGGGGTGAGAATAGCTTCTAAATTTTGCTAGCCATGGGATTCTGCACCACTCCGTGTTGCATTTCCTTAACCCTGTCCACTTTGTGTAAATCGCCCCTTGTGAACTCTCCCCACTTACCTTGTTTGAATGTGCCATCTGTTTCTCTATCACCTTGTCACCATCTTCCTGGTGTTCAGGATCTATTCTCTGTTTCCATCTTTGGTGACTGGGGCATTAAAAAGGGGTGGATCAGATGAGTAAAGCAAAGCCTCAGGGCACAGATGGGCATCATCAATGCCCATCTGAAAGATCAATCGTCAACATGTTGCAGCCTGCCACTAGGAAGCACAAACCAGAGGACTACCAGGACAGCAGCTTGTAGCATGCCCTCCAATGGCAGCAGATGGCCTTATGGCTTTGGCTGTGCACCCTCAAGGTTCTCTGGCACTGGCAATAGATGACATTTGCTCCTACAGGGGGTGGGCAACCTCTCCAGGTTGCTTCACCTCCTCTTCAAGCAGCCCCTCCACCCCCTACCCCCAACCTACTCCTCCCAGATTCCACATATTATTGGGCAATGGCATCATTGTTCACTCACCAGGCGAGCCTAGTTAGAATTCACCCACAGGAGAAAACGAGTGAAGGCCGTGGGAAGCTAAAGTATGGTGCACCTCTGAGCTGGCTATGAACAAGTATTCCTGGGTATGGTGATGATGGGGATGAGCTCGTCTTGGAAAGGCAGGAGTTCTGGCACCTAGCTTCCCGTAGGATCTGGTTCCCCTCTTTGAAGTGTACCCAGGCGAAGAATGAGTGGCTCCCTTAACCCCTTCTCCTGGCCAGGACCAGTCTGCTAGATACTGCTGGCCCTATTTTCACCCCTAGCTTTGGATCCCTTTCTTCCCTGGAGGGAAAGAGGCCTTCAGGGCAGCCCCGCAGACACGACAGGAGGGATGCAAGAAAACAGGCGCGGCTGGGCATCCGAGCGTGGAAGGGAAATGTCCAACTGAGGGAGGTGAGGGATGTTGGACAAGCCCCGCCGCCCGCCGCACCGGAGCCGGAGAGAAGCAGAGACGTTGGGCCTCCCAGTTTCCTAGAGAGGCCGCGGAGGGCCCCGGGCGCCGACGCGCGTGCGCGACTGGAGCCGCCGGGAGGTAGGCGCGGGACGGGCGGCTGCGGTGGCGGCGGGTGGACCGATTGTCGCTCGGCGGCGGGAGTCGGTGAGAGGCCTGGCGGGGCGCGGGGGTGGGGGTGGCGGCATTGCGGGCGCGGGGCTCCCCGAAGTCCGCGGCATTCTCGGGCCTGCCCGGGCGGCGGACGGGGCCCGGCCTGGAGGCTGCGCCCGTGGCGGGGGTCTGGCGGTGGATCCCGCCCCCGCCACGCTGAGGGCGTATCTAGAACCTCTTTGCCTCCCAGGCGTCCGGGGTAGAGAATCTGGAGCCCGGGTTTCTCCGGGCTTTCTCGTTTCATCCAATTCTGCATATAAAGCGTATTTATCAGAGACAATTAGATAACACGGGAAAGTAGAAGAAAAGTAAAAGTAGCCGCAATCCTGAAATCTGTCTCCAGGCCTCCTGACATTTAAAATATCTGTGCATAATTCTGCACACTGACATCCATAAATATATATTACGAAATGAGAGCGTGCTCTTGCTTTTTAAAAAACCTGTTAGTATTATTGTGAGGAAACAATATTGTGCCAAAATAACACATAACATTTACCATACAATACATAAACGTTTACCATTTAACCATTTGGAAGTGTGTAATTCAGTGACATTAAGTATATCCATACTACTGCTTTTTAAAAATTATAATCTCCTGAATTTGTAGAATGCATTTGTTCTTATTTTGGCTAAAATTAGTGCTGGCATTATGACACCACTAAAACATTTTTTTTTTGGCGAGGATAATTAAGAAATCGTGTTTGCAGTTTATTTTCTGTAGGAGACACATTTGCATGAAGCTCTAAATGGTGAAGTGACATTTGTGCAGAAAAATAGCAAAATCTTGTTTGTCAGGGTGGTTATCTTTCACAATGAAGTAACTAGTATATAAAATGCAGTTTTTAAACAAAGGCAGAGCTCTAACCTGCAGCGATTGTAGCACACTCTGACTTGCACAGGCCTAAGAGATCAGAGTATTGTCTCCTTCCGAATTTAAAAGTGGTGGCCAGGAAAGAATGTTATTCTGTTTCAAACGGCTTGTAGTGCAAAACTAAAAACTCAGTATTAGGTTGGTTGTTTTGCAAGGAAGTGCCAGGGAGTGGTTTGAGCAGTAATTTGATTAAGCAGTTTCAGAGAGCCTCCATGTGTTGTGTGTGTGTCTGCGTGTGTGTGTGTGCATGCATGTGTGTGCATATTCAGGGACCAAAGAATTAGGCTGCTCTTTTATGTTATCTTAATGAAAGGCAGACACATTTTGGTTAGAAAAAAAAAAAAGTCTTACTGTAAGCCGAAAAGATGAGAATGTTTTGAAGATAAACCTCAGTATGCACTTAAAAAGGAAACTGACAAAAAGCATGAAAAATGGCAAGTATTCCACCGCTAGGTTTTCTCTGGCTTCCGGTATCCAGGAAGAATTAGTGCATAAGCAGTCTACGATGTCAGAGAGTAAACTATAGTAAAACATAACACTGTATTTTGCAATTTTCAAGATTTTGTATTAGAAACAATGTGAAAGAGTACATTTCTGTGACTCTCAGGCGAATTGTTAGGTGTTCTGTAAGATTGAATTTATGAATTTCTTTTTTTCCTTCCTATTCTTAAATTTATTTTCTTTTTCCTTGTTTATTTTATTTATTTTATTTTTGAGACGGAGTTTCACTCTTGTTGCCCAGGCTGGAGTGCAGTGGTGCAAACTCGGCTCACTGCAGCCTCCGCCTCCTGGGTTCAAGTGATTCTCCTGCCTCAGCCTCCCAAGTAGCTGGGATTACAGGTGTGTGCCACCACGCCCAGCTAATTTTTGTATTTTAAGTAAAGACGGGGTTTCACCGTATTGGTCAGGCTGGTCTCGAACTCCCGACCTCAGGTGATCTGCCTGCCTCAGCCTCCCAAAATGCTGGGATTACAGGCGTGAGCCACCGTGCCCGCCTCTTGTTTTATATTACTATGTAGCAGCTGTCACTGTTTAGCATACCACGAATCTGTCTCCTCATAGACGCCTCAAGGCAGTACTGGAACATACAGTAGGTTCTCAATAAATATATGACAAATTAATGAAAGAAGGAATCCAAATTGGTAGATAAAAATTGACAGTATTAAATGTCCTCGATTTTTAAGAGCCACTTACCAAGTTAATCTTTAATACCTGGCTGAGCATGGTGGCTCATGCCTGTAATCCCAGCACTTTGGGAGGCTGAGGTGGGTGGGTCACCTGAGGTCAGGAGTTCAAGACCAGCCTGGCCAGCATGGTGAAACCCCATCTCTACTAAAAATACAAAAAATTAGCTGGGCATGGTGGCGGGCACCTGTAATCCCAGCTACTTGGGAGGCTGAGGCAGGAGAATTGCTTGAACCCAGGAGGCGGAGGTTGCAGTGAGTGGAGGTCACGCCATCGTACTCCAGCCTGGGCAACAAGAGTGAAACTCCGTCTCAAAAAAACAAAACAAAACCTGTAATACCTAAAATGGAAATAAATCAGATAAAAATGATGATGACTGAATGACTGGAACTTCTCAATGTAAGATAAGACAAACCTTTTTTTTGAGACAGAGTTAACGCTCTTTCACCCAGGCTGGAGTGAAGTGGCATGATCTCAGCTCACTGCAACCTCTGCCCCGCCCCATCCCCTTTGAACAATTATCCCTCCTTAGCCTCCTGAGTAGCTGGGATTACAGGCATGCGCCACCACGCCCAGCTAATTTTCATATTTTTAGTCTCAAACTCCTGACCTCAGGTGATCCACCTGCCTCGGCCGTCCAAAGTACTAGGATTACAGGTGTGAGCCACCGCGCCTGGCCAGCAAACTTTTTATTTGGAATAATTGTAGACTTTCAGAGTTCTCTTACACCTTTTACCTAGTTTGTCTCAAGTTGCTATCTTGGATTACCATAGTACGTTCATCAAAATTAAAAAATTTACGTTGGTACAGTACTATTAATTAAACTGCAGACTTTTAAAAGTTTATTTAAGCATTCTTTTTCTGTTGTAGGCTCCAATCTAG